>NC_000020.11:38435931-38738961 GCF_000001405.40 Homo sapiens | reverse complement strand
AGGAGTTTGAGAGCAGCCTGACCAACATGGAGAATCCCATCTCTACTAAAAATACAAAATTAGCCGGGCGTGGTGGCACATGCCTGTAATCCCAGCTACTCAGGAGGCCGAGGCAGGAGAATCGCTTGAACCCAGGAGGTGGAGGTTGTGATGAGTCGAGATCTCGCCATTGGACTCCAGCCTGGGCAACAAGAGTGAAACTCAGTCTCAAAAAAAAATAAAACGGGATCAAGTGTAAGAATTGAAAGTAGTTGCCTCTGGGGAAGGAGAAATTGGAGGAAGGGGCTACAGAGTGCTATTTTAGTTAACTTGTAGAATTCATTGATTCTTTAAATTATGTGTATATGTAATACAAAAAATAAAACTTAAAATATTGAAGTATGGCCAGGTGCAGTGGCTGTAATCCCAGCACTTTGGGAATCCAAGATTGGAGGATCACCTGAGGTCAGGAGTTCAAGATCAGCCTGGCCAACATGGTGAAACCCCGTCTCTTTTAAAGTACAAAAATTAGCTGGGTGTTTTGGCACATGCCTGTAATCCCAGCTACTTGGGAGGCTGAGGCAGGAGAATAGCTTGAATCTGGGAGGTGGAGGCTGCAGTGAGCTGAGATTGTAACACTGCACTCCAGCCTGGGTGACAGGGCAAGACTACATCTCAAAAATAAAAAAAATAAATAAAAATAAAAAATAAAAAATTGAAGTATGGGCAAAGGCATATTAAACAAAAGCAAACAAAAGGAAAAAAAGGCAAGTTAATTTGAATATCAGAGAAAGTATGTTAAACTCTCCTTGGTTGGGCATGGTGGCTCATGCCTGTAATCCCATACTTTGGGAGGTTGAGGTGCAAGGATAGCCTGAGGCCAGGAGTTTAAGACCAGCCTGGGCAACATAGTGAGACCCCATTTCCACAAAAATAAAAATAAAAAAAGTAGCCAGACATGGCAGTGCACACCTGCAGTCCTAGCCACTCAGGAGACTGAGGCAGGAGGATCACTTGAGTCCAGGAATTTGAGGCTGCAATGAGCTATGATCACACTACTGCATTCCACCGGGGGCAACAGAGTGAGACACTATCTCAAAAAAATTGTTTTTAATAAAAAATAAGTAAACTCTCCTACTATGTTTGTAAATTAGTCCATTTCTCTACATTCTATATTTGGAACCTGTGTTATTAAAAACACCAAGTTTAGAATAATCATCCTGGCATATTTTGTCATTTTTTGTTTGTTTGTTTGTTTGTTTGTTCTGAGATGGAGTTTCACTCTTGTTGCCCAGGCTGGAGTGCAATGGCGCGATCTCGGCTCACTGCAACCTCCACCTCCCGGGTTCAAGCAATTCTTTGGCCTCAGCCTCCTGAGTAGCTGGGATTACAGGCATGCACCACCACGCCCTGCTAATTTTGTATTTTCAGTAGAGATGGGTTTTCTCTATGTTGGTCAGGCTGGTCTGAAACTCCCGAGCTTAGGTGATCCGCCCACCTCAGCCTCCCAAAGTGCTAGGATTACAGGCTTGAGCCACTGTGCCCCGCTGGCAGCTTTCTTTTGATTAGTATTAGCCTGGCAAATGTTTCCATCTTTTTATTTTAATCTTTCTCCATCTTTTGTTTTAGATATATACCTTGCAAAGAGTGTATAGATGGACTTTCAAATTTCAATCTGAGAATCATTGTCTTCTGACTGGCTAGTTTAGTCCACTTATCTTTATTACTTATTCATTTATTTTTACTACCCTGTATTGACTGGAAGGGCCTTTATTTTGCTCCTTTTCTTTCTTTTCCTTTTCTTTCATTTCCTTCTTTTTCCCTGACTTCTACATTGATCATGTTTTCTTTCTTTCTTGTCTTTCTTTCTTTCCTTCCTTTCTTTCTTCTTTCTTTCTTTCTTTCTTTCTTTCTTTCTTTCTTTCTTTCTTTTTCTCTCTTTCTCTCTCTCTCTCTCTTTCTTTCTTTCTTTTTTGAAACGGAGTCTCGCTCTGTCACCCACACTGGAGTGCAGTGGCATGATCTCGGCTTACTGCAGCCTCTGCCTCCCAGGTTCAAGCGATTCTTCTGCCTCAGCCTCCCAAGTAGCTGGAACAACCAGCAAGCGCCACCACACCTGGCTTTTTTTTTTCTCTGAGATGGAGTCTCACTCTGTCACCCAGGCTAGAGTGCAGTGGCGCGATGCAAGCTCCACCTCCCACTTTCACATCATTCTCCTGCCTCAGCCTCATGAGTAGCTGGGACTACAGGCGCCCGCCACCACACCCGGCTAATTTTTTGTATTTTTAGTACAGACGGGGTTTCACCATGTTAGCCAGGATGGTCTCGATCTCATGACCTCGTGATCCGTCTGCCTCGGCCTCCCAAAGTGCTAGGGTTACAGGCGTGAGCCACCATGCCCCACACCTGGCTAATTTTTGTATTTTTAGTAGAGACGGGGTTTCACCATGTTGGCCAAGCTGGTCTCGAACTCCTGACCTCATGATCCGCCCACCTTGGCCTCCCAAAGTGCTGGGATTATAGGCATGAGCCACCGCACCCAGATCCGTGCAAGTTTTCTTTATTTGCTCTTTTCCTTCTACTAGGTTGGAAGTTACACGTTCTCCATCCATTTGTTGTCGTTCTTGTCATTGATGGTTGTGATAGTGGTGGTGTATGAGTAACACTCTTGCTCATCATTAAGCCTAAAGTTAATGGTATTTCTCCCTATATTTGAATTAGAAAGCCATAGAAGATAAGACTTCAATTATTCCCTCCCATCTTAGAGGTTATTTACCAAAATTTTAGTTCCACCTTAGATCCCAAGAATTGGTTATTGTTAATATTGTTTTCTATGGGCAGTACTTGCTCAGGCACAGATTTGCTTCCTACATAGTCCTTCCTTGTGGGTTAAGTTTCTTTCTTCCTGAAGTCTATTCTTTGATAGTTATTTCAATGAGAGGCTGTTAGTGGCAAACTCTCACCTCCCAGACGTCTCAGATGGATTAAGCTCCCATTATTGACAGGTGCTTCCCTACCCATAAAGTTTCCTGAATTGACATTCTTCCTTTCCTTCCCCGTCTCACTTCTCCACTGTGCTACTGGTACTTCTTGGTATCAGCTCTCATGTGAACTACTTCAGTCAAATAGGTCTGTTGCTGGGGGAATCTAACCGACGGCAGCCTCTTTTCAGTCCTCATCTTTGTTCGTCAGCTTCCTCTCTCTTCAGCTTCTCTTGGTCGGCCTTACTTACTTGTATTCTTCAACTCTCCCGCTTTGAACACCTCTTCAGAGTAAAGGCTCCATGACAATTGTTTCCAAGTCTGATCTCACTCTTCTTTGAGAAGCTTCTAGGTGTGTTTCTTCTACTCCAAAATTTAGAAACAAAGAGTACACACATGTATTAGTCCATTTGTGTTACTATAAAAGAATACCTGAGGCTGGGTAATTTATAAAGAAAAGAGATTTAATTGGCTTACAGTTCTTCAGGCTGTACAGGAAGCACAGTGCCAGCATCCACTTCTGATGGGGCCTCAGGAAGTTTTCAATCATGGCAGAAGGCGAAGCGGGAGTAAGTACCTCACATGGTGAGAGCAAGAGCGAGGGATGGGGGTGGGGTGCCATGCTCTTTTAAACAAAACAGTCAGATCTCACGTGAACTCAAAGTGAGAACTCACTTATCACCAAGGAGATGGTGCTAAGCCATTCATGAGGGATCCTTCCCCATGATCCAATCACCTCTCACGAGGCCCCACCTCCAACATTGGGAATCACATTTCAACATGAGGTTTAGAGGGAACAAACATCCGAACTATATCATCACATCTCCATGCCTGCCTCAAATCAAGATGATATGTGTCCAGAGAAAGAAAATAAATAAATTCTTATCATTTTCTCCATCTTGCAACCTGTCCTTCCTCAATTCCAGGATATCATTCTCTTTATATTCTTCTCCTCCCTGTCAGACTATGTTTTATCAATCTTGACTCCTCATTCTTTTCCTCCTTCTCTTCATTTGCTTGACTTTTTTTTTTTTTTTTTTTTTGAGAAATAGTCTCACTCTTGTCCCCCAGGCTGGAATGCAGTGGTGCGATCTCGGCTCACTGCAACTTCCGCCTCCTGGGTTCAAGCGATTTTCCTGCCTCAGCCTCCCGAGTAGCTGGGACTACAGGTACACGCCACCATGCTCGGCTAATTTTTGTAGTTTTAGTAGAGACGGGGTTACACCATGTTGGCCAGGCTGGTCTCAAACTCATGACTTCAGGTGATCCGCTCTCCTTGGCCTCCCAAAATGCTGGGATTACAGGCGTGAGCCTCCACATCTGGCCTGCCTGACCTTTAAATATTGCTGTTATCCAAGGTCACTGGCCCGGTGCTTTTTAAATGTTCATGCACTCTCCTGGTTGACCTCATAGTTTCTGTGACTTTAGTACTATTAATGTGTCGATAGTTTTCTGAAAATACATTATTTATTTGAACATAATTTATTAAGAACATTCTGTATATCAGGTCTGTGTTAGATAGTGGAGATCCAGTAGGGTGCCAAACAGAGAATATCTCTGCCCTTGTGGAGTTTACTAAAGTTTGTTGCTATGGACCTGTTTATGTTTCCTTCTTTTCTTCCTTTCATCCATGGACCATTTATTGGTCCACCATTCATCTATAATCCATTTTTTTCCTTCACTCACTGATTCATCTATTCATTGGCTCAACCATCCAACCCTTGACCTCAAAGCATTTACTAATCCATCCATCTATTCATCCATCCATCCACCACCCTCCCATTGACCAAACCTTCTCAATATTAGTGGTCCCAAGCCAGTGGCACGTTGGGAACTTGAAAGAAGGAGGAAGAAGAGGAGGAGGGGGTTGAGGAGGAGGAAGAGAAGGAGGAGAAAGGTCTTTCTGAATCTGAATCTAGGGGTTTTGTGGGGAGCAGGAATTTCTAGAAAGCTCCCCATTTTATTCTGATTCACCCAGCCTGGCACCTGCCTATGGAAAGATATTTGGGGACCACTATATTACATTAGAAGCACTGTGAATATAGGATCTTCATTTACCTTTCCCTAAAAGTAGACCCTAAGACAAAGATTCAGATGCAGTCAATTTATGTGGGAGGTGAACCTTGAAAGTAGGGAAAGGAAGAAAAGGAAGGGGGAAAGGCCAAATAAAGATTGCTTTGATGAGCTTGTGGACACCTGAGGTTCAATCCTGCTGGGGACCCTCCAAGATACCTTGTGGAATAGACCTAAAATGGTCCCATCACAGGACAGGAGACAGGCATTTATTGCCAATTGATTGAGCACTAGGGGCTGTTAGCTGCCCGACAATTCCAAGTCATGCTCCCAAGGTAGCCTAGAAAGCCCTCAGGGAGATGAGGAGAGATGGAGGCACTGGCAGTGGTTCATGTTCCACAGCTTCAGGTAAACTTAGGTGCATCTAGGGAACATAGGGTGGGCACTGACAACTACCAGAGAGGCCATGTCTGTCTTGTTTCCTGTTGCATTCCCACACATTAGACCTTAGCCTAGTGTGTGGCCTAGAGTGGGTGCTTAACAAATATTTGATAAATAAATCTTGTTTAACTACCAGACCTTGAAACAGGAACTGAATCACACTAACAATTCCTTTAATTGTGCTCTCCCTTCTAGCTGCACCGCCTTCCCTTCTAGACACCACCAACCCCTCTATAGCATCCTCAGCCTTTTCACCCTGTTTCCATCCCACCCCCAAGAGGGTTGCTGGAAGCTTCTGGAATCGTAAAGCTCCCTCCACCCCACCCGCTATGTGACTCTGCTGGACCATGCTGCTGGGTGTCCCTGGTCAGAGGCTCTGCTCTCACTGTGCCTTCCTGGACTCCACAACTGGCAGAGATGGTGCCCAAAGCATCACTGTGGAACCAGCTATAGTCAGACTCTTGAAAAATCTCAATCCAAATCTCCCGGGGGGGCAGAGCTCATCTCCCAGGCCTGGCCTCACATCCAGGACCAGGATTAGCATGAGGCAAGTGAGGCATTTCCTTTGGTAGCAAAATTTAAGAGGGTGCAAAAAATCCAGAAAGCAATATAAATAAAATTTTAATGCAATATTTTTTAAAAATCAAAATTAATGCAAAAGTGAACCATAACGTTCAAAATAATGTAAGCAAAATAACAATATCTGAGGTAAAGAAAGGATGGATATTGCTTTTTTTGCCTTGGTCTCCAGTGTGGCTCAGATTAGTGCTGTACTGATGCTGTGCTATCTGAATGTCACTGTTACTTGTCCTGAAAGCTTAAAAATTTGGGAGGGGTGGCTGGGCACAGGGGTTCATGCCTATAATCCCAGCACTTTGGGAGGCTAAGGCAGGGGGATTGCTTGAGCCCAGAGTTTGAGACCAGCCTGGGGAACATGATGAGACTCTGTCTCTACAAAAAATTTAAAAATTAGCTGAAAATGGTAGCACATGCCTTGCCTGTGGTGTCAGTTGCTCGGGGGGCTGAGGTGGGAGGATCACTTGAGCCCAGGAGGTCAAGGTTGCAGTGAGCTGTGTTCTCACCACTGCACTCCAGCCTGGGTGACAGACCGAGACCCTGTCTCAAAAATGATAATAATTATTTGGGAGGGAAATATACTGATGTCTGCAACTTTTGAATGTTGTTTTTTTTTTACAGGTAGACTGTTGGATGGATAGATGGATAGGTATGGGGTAGATACAGTGTTTTAAACTGTTAATCATCCAGTCTAGGCGGCGGTGGGTGTGGGTGTATGTATGTTCAGTGTGGAATTCTTTCACCTTTTCTATACATTAGAAATTCTTCATAATCTTGAAAAGGAAAAAACGAAAGAGCTATGAGAAGGACACCCAAGGCTGGCTCTCTGAGGTCAAACAAGTGCAACGAATGAATCCTTGGCTGTCCAGGACTGAGTACCCTACCACACCCTCACTCATGGTGAGGATGGAGCCCACCTAGGGACCTGCCCCCTCCTTGACCAAAGCCTCTCTCTGGCTCTTGTCCCTGAAGTCCCCTCTAGAATAGCAAGGCCTGGATCCTCTCCACTTCCTGGATGGCCCCCATGGAGCCTGTTTGGCTCCCTCCCTACCAGGTCTTTAAGTGAGGAACACTCAGTCCCTGGGATAAGACGGTGTCATATAACAAAACATGTTCAATAATAAGCATCCATCCATGTTTGGGGAAAAATGACTAAAAACTTTTGTAATGTTGAGGACCTGAAATAAAGCACTAGAAAGAAGCAATGCTTATCAACTAAGCAGGAGGTGGGGTAGGGGGAGACAAGAAGCATTTAGGACTAGGGTGGAGAACCGTCCTTGCGGGCCGGCAGTTTGCGCTCTCACCGCTAGGGGGCGAGGCAGGGCGGTCTTGGGACCGTGCGATCGCGATCCTGGGTTCCGCCGGCGCACGTGGGTCTTGGTGGTTCCAGGTCCTGGCCCCAAGGCAAGGGGCCAGGTACACCTACACACTTATGCTGCGGACCCAGGTGGGGACAGCTTACAGGGTCTGCAGCACGTCCAGCTAGGGTGCCCCATAAGAACTGATGTGAGCCCTGTGGGGCTGACGCGGATTCCTCCTCTCCTTCTCAATCCGATCCCAGAATGAGCCTTGCCAGAACTATCTGCTCTCTTGGACTTGCACAGCGAGCCCACTGCGAGGAAAGCTGGGACTTCTTCCTTTCAACATCTACCTTTACGCTTTAGTGATGGTGGAGGTGGGGGTAGATGGGTGGGGGAGATGAGAGGTGCAGAGACGGGTGCCATCCACTCCTCCTCCTTATTTCTCTCAGTAGCCTGGATGCGAGTCCGGGTATCGGTGTCCTACCGACCAGGGTTTCGGGTTTCCCTTGGGCGTCTAGGGTGCTAGTTCTCCCGCCCCTGCCACCCTCAGGATTCGCCCCCTAGGACAAGAGACGCTGCAAGCTGAGCACAAAACCTGGAGCCAGGATTAGTGGAGCGGATCCAGGCGAGCCCGCAGAGTTGGCGCCGCTATCCGGAGCCTGCCTAGTGTCTCCTTCGACCTTTTAAAGACGGGAAGGACAGAGATGGTGCAGCGTGACGCTCCCACCTTCCCTTCCACCATAGAAGTCCGGGATTTTTCTGAAGGCGACACACTGACTCGGAGAGCACCCCAGGGTCCGTGGACCCGCTGAGAAACCTTGGGAGTTGGGGCGGGGGAAGAACAATCAGCTCCCCACCCCACCCCTCGGCCCCAGGCCTGGGAGACGTCAGTGGTCATGGGAAGACGAGAAACTGAGGACCCTTCAGCCAGTGCCGGATCCTGAACACGCGACAATAGTGACCCCGGGGAATTAGGCCGAAGGTAGCGGACTTCTCAGATGGCCCGTTTTAAAGCATTAGAGCCACAGTGATGGCTGAGGACACCGGGTCCTATCCCTCCTCCCTTCCCACTCCAGGTCTGTGGCCGCAGAACCAGGGTGATGCGAGGTCACCTCTGTCGCAGGCGCTTTAGGGAGCACGCCCACCCGGATGCTCGGCACACACGCACACACGCACACACACTTACCAAGGTTCTCACAACACACGATGCAGCCTGCCCCACCCCACACGCATATCTTCACCTAGCCTCTCACATGCCCCTTGCAAGCGGGCGGGGAGCAACACACACCCTACTTAGGCATTCTCCCTGGCTTCTTTCCCGTGCACCATTCGCACCTGGAGAAGTCGTTCCTAACGAAGCCTCTGCCTCCGTGGTGACAGCGGACCCTGGAACCCACCCAGCGGACTTGCACTCCCAGCTCCCACCCAGAAAGTCTGACTCTGACCTTTCCCAACAGTCCCTGGACTGGCCCTCCTGGAGTCAGTGCAGGTGCTGCGCCTGGAGTGGGATCAGCACAAAAAAGACTAGATCTTTCGGGTAATTCAGGCAAACACTTTATCAGACAGGCTGCGCAAGATAGGGGGAGACTGGGACCCTACAACTTGAGGCTGTTGATTCTAGAGTCAGATCTCTTTGCTATGGCTGTGCAAACCCCACCTTGGATTGCACGGCAGGGTTCTCCTGGGTGGCAGATGCCTCCTGCCGGGCCAGATTGGCTCGTGGCTCTGGGGACCTGGTGAAAGGCACAGCCCACTTCTGACTTCCTTTGTAGCCCTCTTCACAATCTGAAGTCACGTTGTGGATTCCTGCCTGTCCTTGTTTATTGCCTGTCTCCACCTCACTAGACTGTAAGCTCCCGGAAGGCAAGGCTGAGTTTCTTTCCCCAGGTTTCCAACACTGCCCCAGCCCTGATTGGCTGTTTATAAATATTTGTTGAACAAATTTATAAAGTTCTGGTACATAAAAGCTCCCCCTGTCCCTCTCTGTTTTGAGGTTGGAAGTTGAGAGCTTCCACCAAATTCTCAGATGGACCCGCCCCCAGGGGAGAGATTCGAACAAACCTCGACCTGGCAGCTGAGGGGGCCGCTACAGCACTCTCCGTCTTCAGCTTCCTCCTCACACCTGAGGAGCCTCCTCGCCGCCAACTAATCTTTGTACTCCCTAGAGCCCTCCCCGGACCCTTTAACCACAGCTGCTCACCATCTCCGGTTTCAGCCGGCGGGAGCCAGTTCCCACGCCTCCCAGCGCCAGGGGATCCCGGCTGGTACGAACACACAAACCCGACACCGGGCCGCGCAAGCCTTTGTCTCTTCTTTATTTGCGGATATAATTATGTACCGCACTCTAAATTAGAGATAGATTTTTTTCTGATATACATTTCATCTTATTCACCACGAGCACACCACACGCACAGTAGAACAGTTCCACACCTGATAAATTGCACAAGATGAGAGTTTAGATTCCTGAAAACCGGCAGGCAAGCTGGCCCCGCCGCGGCTTCTCGCCTTCCGGCTTCGTTGAAGGAAATTGCCCACCCAAAATGGATTTCCCAGTCAGCCTTTCCCGCTGCAGGGTTGAAACGTCTCCGGAATGGGAAGCGCTCTTGCTGGAAATGGCTGGACGCTGTAGATTCCGAGCTCTGGATGGATGTGAAATATTCCCCCAAGGTCAAGTTGCCACGCCTGCGAGCTGCGCCCCCTCTCCCTCCCTTCCCAACCCCCTCGATGACTGGAACCAAAGTGTCGGGGCCCCACTTGGAAGGACAGAGAACCCTGCCCGCAAATGCACCCCGCCTCCCCCCAAAACCAGGGTGTTGTGGAAAAGAAAGGACAACAGAAACGCAGACGCGATGGATCGTGAATCCCTGTCCCCTCCCATCCCCCCCATCCCCGAATAATCAGAAACTAGGAACCAGAGATGTTTAAAGCTTGGCCTCCCAAGCGCGGCGGCAGGGCGCACTGGGCTGGTGGGGGCGGGGTGAGGGGAGAAGGGAGAGAGCGCAGAAGCGCGGCGGGGGCTCGCCCTTGCGCCCTAGTCCTCCGCGTTGGTTCGGTAGGCTTCGATGAGGCCCTCGAGGGAGTGCACGAAGCCGGACACGCTGCAGATGCCGCCGATGACGAAGATGGCGACGTCGAAGAAGACTTGGTGCCACAGCAGCTTGCGCCAGAGCAGGCGCAGGTGAAAGAGGCTGGGCAGCAAGAAACAGAGGCCGGCGCCCGTGAGGCTGCCGGTGAGGCCCATGAGCAGCGCGAAGTGCGGCACATAAATGGCCATGAGCAGCGTGAAGACGACGAGCGCGCAGCGCAGCGTCAGCCCCCAGGACTTCAGGCGCCCGTCGCCGCTGTAGCAGGCCGGGAAAAAGGCGCGGCTGCCTTCCTGGAAGAGCGACTTCTCCAGCACCTCGACAGCGGCAAAGAATGGCAGAGGATAGGACAACAGCGCCTTGGCCACCAGAAAGATGTTGACCACGGCGCGGATGGAGCCGGGCAGGTTATCCGTGATGACCTCCTTGGTCTCGTCGGCCCAGGTGAGGTAGGCGACGAGCGCGAAGAGGCCCTTGAGCACGCAGGCTGCGATGTGCGTCCAGTTCATCATGCAGTGGAACTCGCTGGGCTGCTGCATATTGCCCTCCAGCGAAGGCAGGAAGATCTGAGACGTGTAGCTGAACACGATGATGCCAATGGAGATGGGGAACTTCTTGACGTCGATGTAGAACTTGACCTTCTCCCAGGCCCAGTCGCGCGCCCGCGATAGACAGTAGGCTATGACCAGGATATTGATGACGAAGTGGGCCAGAGTGCACAGCAGACTGAACTTGGACACGGCCTTGAGGTTCTTAAGGAAGGCGCAAGGCAGCAGCACGGCCGTGGCGATAATGGACCAGGACTTCTGCGACACGGGCAGCCCCGGGAAGCTGTTGTACATGAGGTTGCCACTCACCACCACGTACAGGATGCACGTCATCACCAGCTCGATGATCTGCGCTACGTTCACCACTCGGCCGCCCAGCGTTGGGAAGCGCGGGGCGCAGCAGGCGTTGGCTATGGCCACGTACGAGTCCCGCACGCGCACCACCTCGCCGTCTTCATTCTCCTCGTACAGGCACGCGATGAGGATCTTGCCGGTGTAGCAGCACACAACGGCGGCGAAGATGATGAGAAACAACCCCAGGTAGCCGCCGTGCAGGATGGCGTAGGGTAGGCCCAGCACGAACATGCCCTGTGGGGCGGAGAGGCAACCAGACGCGGACGCTCAGCGAACTTGGCAACGGATGAGGGGCCCGGGGGGCGTGGCTTAACGCTGTGGCCCGAAGGGGGCGCTAAGGACACTGAGAATTGGGTCTGAGCCGCCGGGGAGGAGAGGTTAAGAGCAGGCTGCGGGGTGGATGTAGGGGAACTAATAGTGAGCCCGGGTGTCGAGCCAGAGATGGAGAGGGAGGGATGTATGGACGGATCTGAGAAGGAAAGGTGCGCTAATGGCTGGTGATAGCGAGAGGGCTAGGGTGGGAGAGGGCTGAGAATAGGGAGAAGCCACAGGAGGGAAGGGAGATACTTCGGGATGGTTTCTGGGGACAGGAACAGAATGAGGAGTTGGGGGAGGAGATGAGAAGGGACAGAAGGGAGCGTAGTCGGAAAGGGGCTCTAAGAAAGGTAGTGAGCTGGGCCTGGGCCAGTGGAAAGAGTGGGCACGGGATTTGTGGTGGGGCTGGAATGGGGCACGGGAGCTAAAGAGGAAAACTCGGGCGTCTCAGGCTCAGACCAGAGGAGGAAACGTTAAAGGCTGCAGTTGTGAGGCGAAAAGGAAATAGGGTAGAGAGGGAGAGGGGCTGAAGGTGGGGCAAAGCCCCTGGGAGGCAAGAACAGAGACAATGTGAAGACGCTTGGGGAGCAGCGCGCGGGGAGGAGGAAGCAGGGCTGGAAATTGAGAGTCTTAGGACAAGGCTGGAGTTAGAGTGAGGCGAGGGCGAGACCTAAGGAAGGGGACTAAGTGGAGGCTGGGGAGGCAAGCAGGAGGAGGAGCTTGGCGGGAAGGCGCCAGGGAGGCCAGAAAGCCGAACCGAGCAAGAGTCTAGAACCAGAAGCTTCAGGGTCAGGCGGACAGGGCTGTAGGGTTTAGAATCCACACGGGGACTAAGAGCTAACGAAATCCAGGGTCCCGGAGGCCTACGAGCCTCCAGCCTCCTGCCCTGGCCTCCCTTGGGGCCTATCAAACGGAGCCTTGAAAGACGCCCCGGGAAGTCGCGGGGCACAGCGAAGGCGGGAGCAGCCCCGGGTCCGTGATCCAGCAAGGCCGTCTCGCCGGGCCCCGGAGCGGAAAGCGCCTTGGGTCGGGCCATCTGGTGTTCGGGGCCCGGTGGAGTCCTGCTTACCCCGATACATGGAACAACCCCTGGGAGGCCTCTGCTCCCAGAAAACCTGCCTTCCGTGGCCCCAGTGATAGTGCGCTCCAGGGACGCCGCGGGGCCAAGCTGTAAGGGACCGGGGTTGCCTAGAGCTGAAGTCTCCTTCGGCCCAGAAAGCTGCGGCCTGCCAGCCCCTGCTAGCTCGGAGGTCGTTGCCAAGACTCCAAACCTGCTCCCTATGTAGGAGTCCTGCGCCGCCTGGTGGGGAGTGGGGGGTTAGGAATAAGGGGAGAGGGCCTAGAGAGCAGGGGCCATTCTTAGCCTCTGGAGAGGGCTTCGCCAGGGTCACACGGGGAGGAGCTGGCCGCCTCTTTGCGGTGCAGCCGGGATTTCGGGCGAGAGGGGCGAGTCTGTGCACAGGTAATGCTGGATTATTGCGGACTAAATGTGTTTGTGTGGGAGCATGTGTGTGCTTTCGTGTGTGTATACCTGTATGTCTCCAACAGGGCCGCACCCAAGGGAGCAGGCTGGTTCCTGTCTGCATGCATCTGTGCATGTGTGTGTGCATATGTTCAAACGAATATTCGTGTGTTTGGTATGTGCAGGTATATGCTTTTGTTTGTGGAGCTGTAGGGGTGTACGCAGGTGCATTTGGGGATAGTACTGTGGTCTATATATAGATACATGTCGTGTGCGCCTGTGCCTGCGCCTTTGTTCGTGGGAAGGGGGGCTGTGGGCATGTGGTGTGCCTGCCTATATACGTGTGCGTGTCTATGCGTGTGTGCGGGGGGAGGAGACTCCGACCTCAGCGATTTCCCCTTCTTCTTTCCTCCCAAAAATGCAGCTGTGAATCCGTTCCAGAGTCCAAGACCAAACCGTGCCCTCCAATCCTGATTTTCTTTCTTTCTCATCGCTTCCTGCTCCCTCCCCCCATTTCCTTCACTTTTGCAGTGTCTCCGGACAGGTGTCTCAGACCGAACTTCAGCCTAGCGGTCTTGCAGCTGGTGCCGTTGGGAGGGAGCGTGGGTTAGGGCGGAAAACACCGCCTGGGGGCGTAGGTCCCCGCGCAGGGCTGGGAGGGATGGAGAAAGGGAGATTCCTGGGTACAGGAGGGGGTCTCCAGGCCGAGATCACCGGGCGACTGTCGGGGGCAGAGCCCGGCACGCTGAGCTGGGAGGGGGGAGGACAGGCAGAACTGGGAATCCCGCGCTTACCTGGATGGCGTTGGTCACGTTCCAGCCTGCCTCCCACGCCGTGATTTTGGGCTTGTCGTGGCCCCCGAATTCGCCACCACCTCCCACCTGGTCCTTGGAGCCGGAGGGCGGCAGAGGAGCTCCGCTGCCTCGCTGATAATGGATGTCTCCCTCGACGGGCGCTTCAGCGCCCTCGTCCCCGCAGGGCTCTCCCTCGGCTTTCAGGATGTCCATCTGCAGGCCCTGGCGGTGCTCAAAGTCGAGGTCGTCGCAATGCGCGAAGCCCACCGCCTCCTCATCCGTGGCCGCCTGAAAACCCATCCTGGCGAACATGCCGCTCATCTTGGCCTGGGACTTGTTGGACACGGACGTGGCCACGTTGGACAGCTTGCTGCGGAGCAAGGTGGCCATGGCGGCGGTGGGGACAGCGGAAAGGACAGAAGGACCCGAGGATGCGGGGAACGCGATGCAAGAAGGCGAGGGCTGGGGGGCGCAAAGTCGCTATCTCCGCTTGCTCTCCGCGCGGCGCCCCGGGGCTCTCTGGCTCATGACCCTCGCAGCTGGCGTTCGAGGCTCTCTCAGGGCTGGACCGGGCAAGCTGGCAGCAGGTCTGGCGGAGCGGCGGCGGCGGCGGTGGTGGCTAGTGCACTGCGGAGCTGCCGCGGGGCGCGAGCTGGGCTGCGGAGGGCGGCGGCGGCGGCGGCGGCGGCAGCGGCGTCAGAGCAGCTACGCGAAGCTGGCGCGGCGCCCCCACCCGTGCGCAGCCCAATGCGCTCCCGCCCCTCGGAATCAGGCGGTGCGGGGGTGGGGGATTGGAGAGAGGAAATACCCGGAGGCAGGGGACGTGAGGAAGGGGCTAGGAGAAGAGAAAGGGGGCGCCGAGGGATTCAGACGTGAGCTGGGGGCAGAAGAAGGGCGCCCTTGGGAAGGAGGCGGGAGGGAGCGCGTGAAAGAGGGAGCGCCGAGGGCAGGGGAGGTGGGGGGGCGAAGTGCTGCATTTCTAGGGGAGGTGCTAAGCTCGCATCCTGGCCCTTCCCACCTCGCCGCCGCAGGGTGGGAGGGGGCCGGCGTGGGCTGATGCTCGCAGTCTCCCACCCCCGGACCACCCCCTCCAGGGTCCGGGAGCTGTGCAGCCCCAGATCCTCTGGCTAAGGACTGGTCTGGGCGCCCCGAAAGCCCGCAGGACTGAGTTGTCAGTCTCTCGCGGAGCGGGTCGTCTATAAGTCAGTTTCCCTGGCACCCATCCTTCGCGCGTAAACCCGGCCGCGAGTCCCCCTTGAAGGTAGAAGTGGCTGGCATGGATCGCTCCCAAGGAAGCTCAGCCTCAGGCTCAGTCACCCGGGTTCTCTCCGCCCGTCCAGGGACGCCGCGAGGGAAGCGATTGTGCGGATCGCTCGCCACCAGCCGCTCTCCAAATGCGTGCAGAATGGAGGCGAAAGGTTGGCTTTTCTCTTTCTTTTCGTTTGGGGGTCTGGAAGAAGGCAGGACTCTATGAGGACACCTCTCGTCAGCCTCCTAGCGGGTCTGCGAATGCCCACGCCGAGAGGGGCGCAGACGGGGCCAGGCGCGGAGGAAAGAAGGGCTCGCGGCGCTGCAAGGCGGAGGAAGCAGAGGCTCGCGGTGCGCTGGGGCCCTGCTCCGACGGCCGCCTCCAGGCTGTGAAAGCTTGGGCTGTTTGTGTTGATTGGGGTACGGGTGTGTGAGCGCGAGTAAGGGAGAGACCCAGAGACAAAGACCGATGCTGTATCAGACTCTGCTTGAGGTTGGATCAGTGTGGCCTCTGAGAATGAGGTTTGGTAACCGCGTGTGTTCTGTGTCTGTGTGGTTTTGCGCGCATTCCAGTGTGTGTGCCAGAGCTAGTGTGTTGGATTACGTATGTGTTCCCGAATGGGGTTGCCTGCGTTCGTGCCTGTGTTAGTCCCTTTGTAGTAGTCTCCGTGAGGGTCCGCTGCTCTGAATGGGTCCCTGCGTAAGTCCCCAGCTGATGTCCTGGCCGGGCTCCTCCTGAGCAGTAAACCGCAGGGCTCCACCTGGCAGTCCCAGCCTGAATGGAGAAGTAGCGGCTGTGACTGGAAGTGGGGGCGGGGGCGGACGGAAAAACCGAAGGAAACAAAAAAGGAAGCAGCTCCCCATCTCCCCTCTCTCGAGGCCCTTTCTCCCTGGGAACCCCAGCCACTCTTTCTCTGCAGTATTTCTAGATTAGCTCACGTCAGCGCACAAGTAGGGCGGCCCGAGGGCTTTGGCCAGAGAGTTGGAGCTGCCAGGACAAGACAGGCTTCCCTCTCTACACCCTCCCGCCTCCTGCCACCTCCTCCCATCCCAAGCCCCTCCCAGTCTCCCGGAGGAGGCTTCTCTCCAGATAGGGAACCTCCACCACATTGGACAGAGATGCTCCTAACCTCTCCCCAGGTACCCCCTTAATTTCCCCAGAAGCTCTGGAAAGCCCCTAGCTCCTGCCTGGTGGAAACCAAGACAGAAATCCTCTTCTTAGCCTCCAGCTACTAAGACCAAAAAACAAAACAAAACAAAGCAAAACAAAAAACAAAACAAAAAAAGACCCCTCTATAGAACCGTCCTCCAAATACAGACACTCCAAGTCATGACAGGACCCAGAACAAAGACAGGAAAGAGATTCTTCCTCCAAACACAGAGATCCTCTCCTCCAAGGAGGCTTCTAAATAGAAGCGATCCCCCATCCGAAATTTGCCCTATACGGAGAGCCTCGGCCCACCCCAATTCTCAGATACAGGAAAGACAGAGAGAGAGAATTTTCCCTACAGATTCCTATAGACAAAGATCTCCACATCCTAATTGCCATCCTCTCCCCTTCTGTTTCTGGTGAAATTCTTTGGCCCACAGGAGATGATCTGGGCAGAGGCTGGGTCTTTGTAGGATTCCCCAGTGCCTCCTCCACAGCATTACACCCAGACCTTAGGATGGCCACTGATGCCTTCTCTGACAAGTGAGTCTAAAGTGGGCTGTGACGTTTTTTCATCAGTGAGAGATGGGGTCATTTATTCCTTCATTCAGTGAACCTTTTCACAGCCCTTCCTGTGCACGTGATTCTGTTCTGGCTATTCCAGGAATTGTCAAGATGACACAAGCATAGTCTCTTCCTATACTCCCCACTCCAATTCTTGGGTCTAGGAGGGAACTTAGAAAGCCCTGAGTCCAATTTTCCTTTCTGCAATGTTTAAACCTCCCCCAAACATCCCAACAGAACCTCACATTTATCCTAGTTTTACAGACAAGAAAACTCAGGCCTGAGCAAGGAAGTGTCCTGCCCAAGGTCACACAGAATCCAGGTTAAAGCCAGGCTAGAACCCCCAGGAATCCTAAGGCTCTTTCCAGCATGCCTTGCCCTGCACTACCTCGTCTTGTCCTTACATCATTTCTCCCTGGTTGTCGTTTGGTATTTGGCCACCTCATTGTCCAAAGAGATGAAATTCAAAATCAGATTCTAGTCCCGCTGGCTATAATTAGATGCCAGCAGTTGGGAAAGGAATTCCCATATTTCCCTCCTTTCCTGCTGTTTGTAATAAATGCCTCTTCCCAGGCTGAAGGCAGGTGTGGCAAACTCTCAAACAACCCACACTTTATTGAATAATTCTACCCCATCACATACTAATTCTATGACATTGACTACTTCCTTGACTTCTCCTAGCTTCCATTTCCTCATCTCTAAAATGTGAAAATAAGAATAACGGCCTCATAGAATTATTGAGAAAATTCAATGAGATCTCATATATGAAATGCTTAACAGGTGCTGCATGCCCAATACGTGATAGCAATTATTTTGTGATTGTTGTAGTGACTATACTCAACAGCCAGTTCTCGTTGTGGGGCTGGGGGTGGAAATGGGAGTGCACAAGAAAAAGCCTGCGATTGGATCTGGGGGTTGAGTGAGTTGGAATGTACGCTCTTCTGTCTTTGAAGCTCTCTGTCCCTGCTCCTCACAGTCGCAAGCTGACCTGGAGAGAAGGGGAGGGAGGTCAGGAGCAGGGAGAGGGAAGAGCCCAGGAGACCAACAGGATGACTTCCCTTGCTGGTAGTGAGCTGGGCTCTGCCCTGGCGAAGCCATCAACCTCCAAATTCTCCCAAATAGCTCCTCTGGAAGGGTTCCCTAGGAGAGGATTTTGCAGTAGACTGGTCCCCTGAGTTGAAGCACAACACACACATACATTCACACAGAGCATGACAAGCCGATGGATAGATGTACAAAAACATGAGGACAACATAGAGATTCTAGTAGATTGAACAGAGCATTCTAATACATTGACAGAGCAACACACAGGTCATGAACAGGCCAGCACACAGACAGACACATGCAAGATTTGTACTAAGACTGCCTGCCACACAAAGAAATCAGGACAGACACTGGTGGGTCCCTCTGCATGGGCAGAGGCACCTGGATAACAGGCTCAGACACACAGCAGTGCAAGAACAGGTAAACACACACACACACTGACAAGCCCCCAGACACAAGAAATCACACACACACACACACACACACACACACACACACCGAGACGAGTAGTCAGGACTACTCTTGTGTGATCACTGAAGGGGAAAAGAGGAGAGAACAAAGGGCAGAAAGGGGCAGGGGACGTAAAAAGGACCAAGCAGGGAGATGGAGATGGAAGAGGGCTTGCTGAATGCAGCCACCAGCCAGTGGGACACAAAAGAGGCAGAGATGCCACAGCCTTTCTCTTTTGCTGATGCCAGAACCCAGATCTTGTGACTAAGAAACTAGGGACTGGGAGGGTATGTGGGGAGAGAGCAGGAGCTGTCGCTACCCAACCTGGGGGTGTCAGAGGGTCTCTCCTGCCAGGGCCACACAGGTTCCTACCTTCTCTCAGGACTTCCACCAAGCCTTGTGAAGCAAGGACTTCCAGATGAGGAGTTTGGATTAGGAAGGACCTGGATCGGATTCCCTGAAGCCAGGGCCCAGGTGAAATGCACGCACCCCTTCCTGACACATGAGCTCAATCTCTCTGCCTTTGATGCCTTCAGTACCCAGGGGGTTAAATGCCTGGCTAACAGAGATGGGAGTCACTTTGGGGGAATAAATAGGGTTAAATAGAACTGGGCTTATCTCCCAGAGCAGACAGCACCATGGGGGAAGGGGAGGCATGGAGCCCTTGAATTAATGGCCTGGAAAGCCAACATCATGAGCATCATTTCGGGGCTGAATGATCACAGATAGCCCCCTCCCCCTCCCCTGTAGCTCAGAGCCCTCCTTTTCCAGAGCAAAGTCAGCCTTGCAAGTCTTTTCCTGCTGAGGGGACAGGCACTGGCTTCATAAACCACTCCCACCCCCAAGTATCCTGGGGCTGGGACATTGGTGAGGTTTTCCTATAGCTGGAGGGAGCCATGTTCACCTTTCCCCAAATCAAAACCCAATTTCCTGATGCTGTGTCCCTGGGCACAAGGGAGGAGAGGCGCAGCAAGGCTGAGGAGCCAGGTGGGAGCCTATGCATGGAACAAAGACCCTGATTCTTCTCCCTTCAATGGGACAAATCAGGTGGGGCCATTGACCATGTAGGTGCTGCCCCTGTGAGCTCAGGGTAAGACATATTAAAATACATTCATGACTGTGTATGTAGTAGCAGTTTTCCTTGCACACATAATGAGCATCCCATCTCCAGAGGTGTCCAGGCAGAGGCTGGATGTCCTATCAGAGACAAGGTCTAGAGAAGTCCTGCCTCAGGGTATGGGAGGCTGCATTTCATGACTTCTGGGGTTCAAGGTTCATGCTTTCTGGGCTGACAGCTCTGAGAAGGGGTCAGAGAGCGGGAGACATGAGGACCCAGGTCTTGCCCTCAGCAGCCTTTAAAACCAGAAGCTACCTAGAACTGAAGGAGGGGCCCTGGACCTGACTTGGTGGGTTAGACCAATGGTTCCTGCCCTTTCCTGAGAACACAGCTTCAGTTATGCTGGGAAGCAGGGGCATGTCAGCCGTATTCCCCACTGTGTTCCCAGCACACATTAGATGCTCATTCATGGAGATGAATTAAGTCAATGTTACAAAGCCATTTCCCCCCTCTGAAGAAACACACAACAGCCAAAATCCAGGTCTGAATTATGAATACTGTAGCTCTTCTGAATGGATTTGTCTTTTGTGCTCACATCATCTTTTATGTAATTGAAAGTCAGTCCTACATAGGTGTGTGAGATGTGATTTTTGTTAATCTAAGCCTTGGGATGCACATCCAGATTCAGGGATTCCTTGCAAGAACACTCAGAAACTACCAGCAGATTCTAGGTCTCTAGGAATCTGTGGGTCACTGGTTATAACTGGGAGAGACAGCTGTGTTGGGGGCTCTGATTCCAGCAAACCCTGGGACAGGGATCCTGGGCTCCAGCAGTGCAAACGGGCTGTGTGTCTGACCTCCTACACTCTCTAGGTGCAGAGCTCGCCTTTACTGAGTGCTCTCTGTGTGCCAGGCACTGCTGAAAGTACACTCTCAGGATTGTTTCCTTAAATTCTCACAATCCTGAGACTAGCCCACTGTCATCTTAGGAGGCTGCAGGCAGGGCCTGCAGGAATGGACTTGGAGAAGTGGATAATTGGATGGGCATAAGCAGGGAAGAGGACGGTTGGGAGGAGTGATGATCACTGGGGCCAGGGGAGCTGCAGGTGGTCCTTGCTTTAGTTAGAAGCCTCAAGGGTCAGCCTTTGCTGGTCAAAACCTGCCTCCACCGAGATCTAGAATAATCTATCTCACTGACTGCTATGGACTGAATTATGACCCCCAAATCCATATGTTGAAGCCCTCCCCCTCAATGTGACTGTATTTGGAGATGCCTCTATAGAAGTGATTAAAGTTAAATGAGGTAAAAATGGTGGGATGCCAATCTGATAGGATCAGTGTCCTTATAAGAAGAGACACTAGAGTGTCCTCTCTCTTGATTTCTCTCTCTCTTCACTCTCTCTCTCTCTGTGTCTCTCTTTCACTCTCATTCTCTCTCTCTCTCTGCCACATGAGGACACAAGGAGAAGGCAGCTGTCTACAAGCTAGGAAGCAAGCCCTCCCCAGAAACCAATCCTGCTGGACCATGATCTGGGACTTCCAGCCTCCAGAACTGTTAGAAGATGTGTTTCTGTTGCTGAAGCCACTCAGGCTTTGTCACTTTATCATGGCAGCCTGAGCTAAGACTGAGTGGTTCTGCCAGCCCTGACCTAGCTCAGCGACCAAAGATTTTTCTAGGTCACAGCCCCCGTGGACATCTGGTGAGGCTGCAGATCCTTCTTCTAGAAACACACACACAATATTGCACAAGGTTTCATATCCCTAAGCCCACCCATGGTGAGTCCATGGCCTCCAGCCTAAAAGCCCAATCTAGACATTTTTGTTCTCTTCAAATTCTGTTGAGAGCTGGAATCGGGAAAGATATCAACACTAACATTTACCAAATGCTTATTCTCTGCTAGGTTCTAAGCTAAGTGCTTCCTTTCCCTGTGTCACAACATCATGGACAAGCCTCTCACTATCTCCATGAGCATGGGTTGGTTTTATGTTTAGTTTATAGGTGAGGACCCTGGAATGTAAAGAGGTTAAGTGACTTGCCCATGGTCTCACAGCTAGGTAGTGGCGGATTCAGGAGTCGAACCCAGGATCAGAGCTGTCCTTATAACCTCAGCACTCTAGGTGAGTCTGCAGGGCAGGGCTTGGGTCTCTGGGCTCCAGAGAAGCACTGCAATCCAGATCTGACTCCCCGTGGCCAAACACCTCTTTGTGTCAGTTCCCAAGAATGCTCCCTGCACTGACTGGTATATACATCTATTCTGAGGCACCCCTGTCTCCCTCTTGACTACTGAGGCAACTCCTGGGACAGGGAGGTGGGAGGCATAGGGCCAGGTACATAGTAGGTGCTCTCGGAAGACCTTGTGGATTTCATTAAAGTCTGGGTGAGATCTGGCCTCAGTGGTCTGGGCCCTGTATCCTGGCTTTCCAGCCCCAAGAACACATGGCTCTTCCCCATAGGATGTCTTAGACCTGCACAGCTGATAAAGGCTTGGTCTGGTGCAGTGGGTCACACCTATAATTCCAGCACTTTGGGAGGCCAAGGCAGGCAGATCACCTGAGGTTAGGAGTTTGAGACCAGCCTGGCCAACGTGGCGAAAGCCCGTCTCTACTAAAAATACAAAAATTGGTGGTGTGTGCCTATAGTCCCAGCTACTCAGGAGGCTGAGGCATAAGAATCACTTGAACCCGGGAGGTGGACTTTGCAGTGAGCCGAGATTGCATCACTGCACTCCAGCCTGGGCAACAGAGCAAGACTACATCTCAAAAAAGAGGCTCCCGGGACACATTTATTGTTTCTCAACCTAGGCTGTGAGAGCTCTCTCTCAGAATTGGTTAATTTTATATTATATTATTTTATATTTATTTATTTATTTATTTTGAGACGGAGTCACTCTGTTGCCCAGGCTGGAGTGCAGTGGTGCGATCTCGGCTCACTGTAACCTCCACTTCCTGGCTTCAAGTGATTCTCCTGCCTCAGCCTCCTGAGTAGCTGGGATTGCAGGCACCCACTGCCACACTCAGCTAATTTTTGTATTTTTAGTAGAGAGGAGTTTCACCATATTGGCCAGGCTGGTCTCAAACTCCTGACCTGCAGTGATCCACCCGCCTCAGCCTCCCAAAGTGCTGGGATTACAGGCGTGAGCCACCGCGCCTGGCCAATTTTATATTATATTATTTTATATCTAAAAAACCTACCAGCGGATTCTAGGTCTCCTGGATGACCAAATACTGCTTTAATTGTTATGGGCCTTATGACAAAAGAACAGAGGGGGGCTAAATGCTGAACCATATTCACTGTGCAAGTGCGATTTCATTTCACCTACACACTATCCATCACGTTAAATTATTCGTGTTCTTTTGAAATGTCTGATATTGAGGCTTTGTTTTTGTTGCAATGGTATATTGTCTCCGCTTTTCCAATTGTGTAGAGCTAGCTTTCTGTCTGTACATATTTTCATAAAATTGTAATAAAGATAATTTGTCAATTGTTGACAGGGGGCTGTGACTTTTTTCCCCTTTAAACGTGGTTCCTGTATTACTCAAGGGTGAGAAGCATGCATTTAATTCATTCTGACCAAGTAGAAAATAAGCTTCACACATTGGTGCCCCACACACAGCCCCTGCCACCTGGATGGGTCCCCGTCCTCAGTTTGGCTCCCCCACTGCTGCCTTCGAGGGGAAATATGACAGCGTAATGAACAGTTGTACGACGTGCTATAAAAAGGCAATTAAGGGAACTATTGGACTGGGACAAGCCAGCGTGACCTGGTTAATAGCTCTGAGAGGAGCTGGGCCGTGGGGAGGGTGAGATGCAGGAGGGGGAGGGGCTTGCTGTTTCTTAGTGAGGGGCTGAGGTTGTTTTATCCACTGCCTGCCAAGTACCGAGGGGTCCCCAGGCTAGACTCATGACCACTGGGTCTAGGACCAGCCTGAGGCGGACGTTGCTTCAGGGTTCAGCTCTGGAATCAACTCTGCCATTGCTGGTTGAGTGACCCTTGGCAGGTGACTCACGGCCTCTCTGCTTCAGTTTACTCATCTATTAAATGGGGATAAAAATGATCACCCTAGAACTGTGCCCCAGCGGGGGGAAGAAGGGATGGGTCATTCATTGTTAAACTGGTCAGAGCTGGGAGCTGCACACAGCATTCAAAGGAAGGCATAGAGGAGGGTTTTACTCGCGTTAAGCAGGATCTCTCAATACAGTGCAATCTGTGGCTGTACCTAATCAGCTCCCTGGGCTTCCTGCCCTCTGCAGCGTGAGTTCTTTGATCTGATCCCCTGCAGTCACCATGTGGTCACCACCTTGAAGCCACCCCTCCTCTTTGGACCCCTTCTCTCATCCCCTCAGCTCTTCAGTTCCTGTCTCCTTCAAATGCCACTGTTTGTGAGTCACCTTTGGCATATGCCAACCTTTGGGATGGAGACAGAGAGAAACCCTTCCTGCCCCATTGGCATGCCTGCATCACTCCACTTCACAGTGCTGGTGGGAGGACTGACGAGACATCACATGGAATGTAGGTAGTGAAGCACCTGGCACTTAGTAAGTGCTCAATAACCTCTGGCTATTGTTATTGTTGTCATGATCGGAAAAGGTCTGGGTTTATATTGAACACCCAGCACAGTGCCTGACACATAGCAGGTGCTCAATACATATTTGGCGAGTGAATGAATGAATGAAAGGTCCTTTGGCTCCATTGTCTGCACTCTGTGATCGAATACACTAATCCCTCTCTGAGCCTGTTATTCATTCATCAAATAGGGATATGATCTGGCCCCAAGGGCCAGAGAAGTGGCTCACCAGCTGTAAACTCCTGCCCACTGTGGGGACTGGTTCTGTTCACCCCCACATTCATCTGTGCCTGCCTTTTGGATCTCTGAGAGCTCAGGAGGTGCCCAGCCCCCCGCCCCCCACATGTTTATTCTAAAATAGGAAACCAGCAGTGCACGTTGGTCTGAAGGGCCCCTCCCCACAGCCTCAGATGGAAGTGGCTCTGAGAGCCGGCCTGACAAAGGAGCAATCAGGGGTGATTATGGCTCATTTAGGGACAGCTTGGTGATTGGCTGAGAATCCTCAGCTTGCTCCTCGCTCCAGATGAAGAGGGCCTGAGTCCTTGGGCTCCTTCTCTCCAGTGCCTGGACAAGAGGGGGGCTGCAACAGGCAGGTGAGACACAGGAGGCAGCCTGTCACCCAGGGCGGATGGGCCACAGGCTCATGCACTAGCATTTCAGTCTGCATCTGTGGGCAGGATGCTTACCTTGTAGAGTTCTAGAGCCAGCCCTGGCCTTTTCCGTCATCCAGCTGCTCCCAAGATGAAGCACAAACTCCCCCCACCCTCAGCCTGCAAGGCCTCATGTGTCCCAGCCCCTGCCTGCTTCAGTAGCCTCCTATCCAGCAACTCAACTAGATCTCCTTAGTTCCAGCTGCAGGGGTTGATCTGCTTCCCACCCTGACTCTCATTTACTCTCATTTCTGTGGTTCAGAACACACTTTATTTATTTATTTATTTATTTATTTATTTATTTATTTATTTATTTTGAGACGGAGTCTTGCTCTGTCACCCAGGCTGGAGTGCAGTGGCATGATCTCAGCTCACTGCTTCCTGGTTCACGCCATTCTCCTGTCTCAGCCTCCCAAGTAGCTGGGACTACAGGCGCCCGCCACCACACCCGGCTAATTTTTTTGTATTTTTAGTAGAGACGGGGTTTCACCATGTTAGCCAGGATGGTCTCGATATCCTGACCTCGTGATCTGCCCGCCTCGGCCTCCCAAAGTGCTGGGATTACAGGCACGAGCCACCACGCCCGGCCCCAGAACACACTTTATAGTAGACAGAGCTGAACTCAAATCTAAGCTCCACCGCTTTGTAGCTGTGTGACCAGGAAACACTTCACCTAGCAGAGCCTCAGTTACCTAATCTGCTCAGTGGGCATAATCAGTCCTCCCTCTCAAGGTGGCGGAGAGTATTACATTCAAGGTGATAATACATCTAAAACACCTCACATGCAATCTGTCCTTCATGGATATTAGCTAGTATCATCATTCATTCCTAGGTCACTGCTTAGATGTCATTCCCTCCAGAAAGCCCTCTTCGATTCCCCAAGTTTTGGGTATGCCCCTCCTAAGTCTTCCTGCCACCCTCTGTGCTTTGCCCTGGCATGTTGCACATCCATGCGGGTATGGCTGACGTCTTTCTCATCCTTCTATCCTGGTGCTCAGCAAGAGGCTTCTATAAAGGAGGCTGTCCACAGGCCTGTGGACAAACCACTGTGCTGACAGCAAGGAACAGATAGAGATGCCTCTAAGGGCCTTGACCAGGGGAGGCGGGGCTGAGTCCTCAAACTGTCCAGCTCTTTGCTTCAGCAAGACCTGTCTCCTCATTCCAGCCCCTGCCAAGATGTCTTCCACCCTCCTCTCAAGCTCCTCCCGAGGAGGCTTCCTGGACTCCCCACAGCTCACAGTGGTGTATACAGAAAATAGAATTTAACCTTCTCTCCTTCCATCGACTGCCTCTAAAGGTGTGAATTTGAGCTGAGTCTGTGCTCTTCTGTTCTTTTGAGACAGGGTCTCGCTCTGTCACCTAGGCTGGAGTGCAGTGGCACAATCACAATCACTGCAGCTTCAACCTCCCGGGCTCAAGCGATCCTCTCACCTCAACCTCTCAAATAGCTGAGACCACAGGCGTCCGCCCCACACCTGGCTAATTTTTAAAACATTTTTTGTGGAGGTGGGTGTCTCGCCATGTTGCCCAGGCTTGTGCTGTCTTAATAATAGTCATCATAGGCCAGGCACGGTGGCTCATGCCTGTAATCCCAGCACTTTGGGAGGCCGAGGCGGGTGGATCACCTGAGGTCAGGAGCTTGAGACCAGCCTGGCCAACATGGCGAAACCCTGTCTCTACTGAAAATACAAAATTAGTCAGGCATGGTGGCGGGCGCCTGTAGTCCTAGCTACGTGGGAGGCTGAGACAGGAGAATCGCTTGAACCCGGGAGGTGGAGGCTGCAGTGAGCTGAGATAGCACCACTGCACTCTAGCCTGGGCAACAGAGAGACACTGCCTCAAAAAAAAAAATAGTCATAATAGTTACCACTTATTGAGGGCTTACTTTTTCCATCTAATGTGCTAAGTGCCCCTCATGTATTCTCAACCTCAGCTTAGGTTCAACAGGGCATTACTGGAAGAATGCTGTGGTCTCAGGTAATTATGGGAGGGGCAGACCTCAGGAGCATGGCCTCAGGACAGCCAGGACCAGAGACCCCTCTCTTCTCATTTCTGTGCTCTCAGCATGTCATCTTTTCTTCTGCTGTGAACTTCTTCCATATTGAAGTAAACATGATGCTAACCGCTTCCAAGCTTCCCATCTCATAGTTATTACTGCTGGAGTGGAACTAGCTGTTTGTCATAAGCTTGGCTTGAAAAGTCCTGGGGAAGGACTGTGGCCAGCTCAAATCAAGCACCGCACCCCCACCCACCGACCAACTCCAATAAATATGGAATCATTGGCTGGGCGTGGTGGCTCACACCTGTAATCCCAGCACCTTGGGAGGCTAAGGTGGGTGGATCACCTGAGGTCAGGAGTTCGAGACCAGCCTGGCCAATATGGTGAAACCCCATCTCTACTAAAAACACAAAAAATTAGCTGGGTATGCTGGCACATGCCTGTAATCCCAGCTACTCAGGAGGCTGAGGCAGGAGAATTGCTTGAACCTAGGGGATGGAGGTTGCAGTGAGCTGAGATTGCGCCACTGTGCTCCAGCCTGGGCAATAGAGTGAGACTCCATCTCAAGAACAAAAACAAAAAACCATGCAATTGCTGGGTTGCCACAGTCTTATAGTCAGAGTCAATGTCAGTGTCAATGTCATATAAGACTGTGGCAACCCAATGATGGCCCTGTGGATGGGGATGAGAAGAGAGTTCTCAGAGTAAGCACAGGCACTGGACAGACAATGACAGAAGCCCACCAGATATTGCCAGATCATTTCACACACCTGGAGACCAAGAAACAGAGAGCAGGATCACCTTCCTCCAGGCCACACAGCAACAAGAGCCAGAGTCAAGACTCAAACCCATATCTGTCTGTCACCAAAGCCAAACTACGTATCAGAGGTGATTCTGAGGTTCCACAGCCAATGACAGGGATCCCAGAGAAGCCACATCTGATGCAGGGAGTTTGGGAGGAAAGGCCGACTGGGGAAGAAAGCCAACAAGAGCTTGGTGTCACATCGCCATTAATGGAACCCATCCTAGGGTCAGACTGCTTTGATTTGAATCCCAGCACTACCTCTGCTGGCTGTGAGACCCAGGAGAAGTTATTTTACCTCTCTGTGCCCTTTTCTCAGTCTATAAAATGGGTCAATAATAGTACATTCCTCATAGGGTTGTTGTGAGGATTAAATGAGATAATGTGGGTAAAGTCCTATGCCTTTTAGTAAACACAGTAAATGGCAATTTTGATAACATTGTTATTGCTGTTGGTATACTTATTATTATCAACATTGACCATATTCAGCCTAAAAGGATGGTGGTACTCACAGGTGGGTACGCAAGGCAGGAGCCCCTGAGAGAGGTCAGGCCAAAGAAAAGTGTCTGTTCCTAGCATGAGGAAACCTTGTTAAGAAAAGGGCATTTGATGGCACAGGAGGCCATGGCCTGGACCAGCCTGTCACCAGGCTCCAGGGCAGTGCTCAAAATTATTTGAGCTTTGTACAGCCTGCTGGAGACCTCCCTCTGCCCTTGATCCTTGCAGCTGCAGACCAGGGCTGGGGTTTTCTTCTTGGGGACTCACAGCCTGGGCTGCTTTGTCTATCAACACGAAGGTCATCAAAAGGTTAGGAGGCCTTTCAGGTGTAAAAGCCAAATGAATGTGCTCATCAAAGACTTCCTATAGAGGATGTCCCTCTACAGGACACAGGCCTCCTACTGTGGGATCTCTGAGTCTAGATCCCAAAGACAAGGAGATATTCTTGTGCCTGGACAGCACCCAAGCCCCTCAGAGTTGGGCCAGCCACATCCAGCTGCTGGCTCCTTCCTTTGGCTCCAGAATCAACTCTGACCCTAGGTGCAGTTCTGTAGACTTCCCCCTACCCCGGTCCTCCCAGCCCATTGTGCTGGGGCTCTCAGCGTCCACTGCTCCCTGAAAGCATCTGTGCTATTTCCGCATTTGTCTGTCTTTATTTATTTATTTTTGAGATGGAGTCTTGCTCTGTCACCCAGGCTGGAGTGCAGTGGCATTATGTGGGCTCACTGCAACCTCCACTTCCCAGGTTCAAGTGATTCTCCTGCCTCAGCCTCCCAAGTAGCTGGGATTATAGGCATGCACCACTACGCCCAGCTAATTTTTTTTTTTTTTTTTTTTTTTTTTTTTTGTAGTTTTTTACTAGAGACGGGGTTTTACCATGTTGGCCAGGCTGGTCTCGAACTCTTGACCTCAAGTGATCCGCCAGCCTTGGCCTCCCAAAGTGCTGGGATTACAGGCGTGAGCCACCGCACCCAGCCCACATTTGTCAATTACAAATGTAATCCTGATGTCAGAGTGATTACGCCTTCCCCAATGTCATGGCTTATAGAAGTCTCTCTACAAGATATTGGATATTGTGATGTTTCTCAGGAGGTGGGTCTTAGGGAGAGATGACAAGGAGAAAGCAGGGACAATATTGCTTTTTCTTTTCTTTCTTTCTTTTTTTTTTTGTTTGTTTGTTGTTGTTGTTTTTGTTGCCTCCTTTGCCTTTTGTATCCAGGCCTTTAGGCTTCTCTTCCCCTTCCACCCCAGGGTAGTCTCCAGCCCCTCTATGAGGTCTTTCCTAACGTCTCTAGTCCCAATAGCCCACACCAACTGTACCCCTCAGCCATCGTGGGAGCGTTCAGAGGCTACCGGCTATCAACAAGAGAGATGTGGAATTTAGAGAAACAACTTCGGAAAGCTCGAGGCCCCTGGGAATTCATCTAATGTTTTCTGGTCCAAGATCAATAGGTTGGAGAACTCCAAGCCCTTAATTATACTGACTCCTTGAGAAGATGGGCTGTAACTAGGTATTCACTGCACGCTCCCTTCCCTCCTCAGCCATTAAGCCAGGTAGATCTTACTCAACATTTTCTTGGAGCAGAAATTTTCTATTTTTTTGTTTTCCTTTTCTTGATTTATTTTTTAACTTCACATGATTTAGAAATTTACAAAATATATAAAGGGCATATAGGGTGAAGTCTCCCTGTAACTCCTCTTTCCCATCCCCCCATGTTCTGACTGTCCCTAACACAGTGACTGGTTTTTGTTGTTGTTGTTGTTATTGTTGAGACGGAGTTTCGCTCTTGTCACCCAGGCTGGAGTGCAGTGCATGATCTTGGCTCACTGCAACCTCTGTCTCCTGGGTTCAAGGATTCTCCTGCCTCAGCCTCCTGAGTAGCTGAGATTACAGCTGCATTCCACCATGCCTGGCTAATTTTTTGTATTTTTAGTAGAGATGGGGTTTCATCATGTTGGCCAGGCTGGTCTTGAACTCCTGACCTCAGGTGGTCCACCCATCTCAGCCTCCCAAAGTGCTGGGATTACAGGCCAGTGACTGGTTTCTTAAGTTGCCTCTTATCTGCCTATACCACAAGTACAACTATTAATATATAAGCAAATACACATGTATATTCTTATTGTTCTGTTTTTTAACACAAAGATAAAGGATTCCACACCCTGTTGTATACTTAGCTCTTTTTTTCACTTAGCAATATGTCTTTCTAGATCTTTCACAGCAGAATGTAGAGATTATTCAGCACTTGTAAGGAGCTGAGAATGGACAGCACTGTATTTCTCCTTTCTTCTTTTCTCTATAGCTTTATACTCTATATCTTTCCCCAAATAGCTATGCCATTCATTCATTCATTTGCTGGTTCCTTTATTCAGCATTCACCAATCTCCTGCTTTGTGCTGGGCCCTTTGCCAGGTGCTGGTGCTACAGAAATAAATTAACCCAGCTACCCCTTCCCCAGGGCTCAGAGGCTGTGGGGAGACAGGGGGCATGAATGAGTGAGGGGGCAGTTCCTGACTCATTTTAGGTCTGTACCTTGCCTTTTCGATGCCGTTAGTCTCAGTTGGATTTTTTTTCTTCCTTTTGGCCCCACACTGGCCAGCCTGCCCATCTGGATGTCTAGGGAGGATCAATTTCCCCCAGTCTGGGGCAGTGATTTTTTTTATTTTATTTATTTTATTCTATTCTATTCTATTCTATTCTATTCTATTCTATTCTATTCTATTCTATTCTATTCTATTCTATTCTATTTTATTTTATTTTATATTTAGAGACAGAGTCTTACTCTGTCACCCAGGCTGGAGTGCAGTGGCACGATCTCAGCTCACTGCAACCTCTGCCTCCCAGGTTCAAGCAATTCTCTTGCTTCAGTCTCCCGAGTAGCTGGGATTACAGGTGCCTACCACCACATCCGGCTAATTTTTGTATTTTTAGTAGAGGCAGGATTTCCCCATGTTGGCCAGGCTGGTCTCAAACTCCTGGTTTCTCACCCGCCTCAGCCTCCCAAAGTGCTGGGATTACAGGGGTGAGCCACCCCGCCCGGCCCTAGGGGCAGTGATTTTTGGAACTAGGTTGGGGAACACCTAAGGATCTCTTGCAGGGAAGTGTGTCTAAGTTTTATAAAAGAATATTCACCATCAGAATGTCCATGGCTCTTCCAGGAACAAACAAAAACTCCCATTACGTCCTTAATACAAAGAACAGAAGATGATGCCCAGCTGAACTTGCTACCTGGCAAGGCATGCAGAAGCCAGAGTGAGAGGATTCAGAATGGGCCTGAAATTTTGTGGATGAAAAGTTTCTTAGTCACTTGTGATGTTTGTCATGTGCATAGGGTGTACTTTATGCACTGAATCATTTACTATTTTAATGTAAAATAGTAGAACAAGGATAACAGCACCTACCCTCTGAAGCCACAGAGCTACCATGGATCGGGCTTCACGTCAAACACTGTCCTAGTGACCTTACAAGGTAGATACAACCGTCAGCACCACTTTGCAGAGGAGGAAACTGAGTCACAGGGAAGTTAAGTAACTTGCCTAGGCCAAATGGCTAGTAAGTGACCTAAATGGTTCTATCTGGTTCCAGAGCCTGTGCTCTGACCACTACATTACATCACCCCCTTAGGGCCCATTCCACCTCTCTGTGTCTCCGCCTTTCTCATTGGTAACATAGGCATAAAAAGTACATCAAAGCCTGATTTGAGGATTTGAAGAGATAATGCCGGCCGGGCGTGGTGGCTCATGCCTGTAATCTCAGCACTTTGAAAGGCCAAGGTGGGCGGATCACAAGGTCAGGAGTTCAAGACCAGCTTGGCCAATATGGTGAAACCCCATGTGTACTAAAAATACAAAAATTAGCCAGGTATGGTGGTGTGCGCCTATAATCCCAGCTACACAGGAGGCTGAGGCAGGAAAATTGCTTGAACCTGGGAGGCGGAGGTTGCAGTGAGCCGAGATCGCACCACTGCACTCCAGCCTGGGCAACAGAGCAAGACTCCATTTCAAAAAAAAAAAAAAGAAAGAGGTAATGCCTGTACAGTATGTAGGACACTGCCTACTTCACTGTTATTAATATTATAAGATTAATACCAACAATACCACTATACTCAGGCTGCCAGGGAGGGATCACTTGGGATCACAGTGCTGTCTGTAAAGACTGCTTTTGCAGCCAACAGGCAGGGAAAGGTGAGGGAGAAGGGTTCAGGGAAGCTCATTGTGTTAATAAACTCACCTCTGCGTCTCAGGCCCCTTCCCTGCTTCCCTGGAGCTCATCCTCTGTTGGGCATGCCAGGGTCCCTCTGGGCAGGGGAGTCTGTTTTGGTTCCATTTCATTACACACTTGGCTGAGCAAGGGAGGAGGAGAGCCGGCAGCAGCCAGGCAGTAATTAATTGCCTGTTTGGACTCCTGCTGTTGCCTAGCTGGGAGGACGCAGGACAGCTTGCGCCTGGGCCTGGGCCGGCTGATGACTGGGAGAGGAGAGTCCCTGCTTGCCCTGCCCCCACTGTCCCCTCTGAATCTGTACCCAGGCCAGTTTGGGACGGAACTGGCAGCAGTAGAAGCCCCATCTGTCCACATCGAGGTCCTCACCAGTGTTACTAAAGACGCCCTCAGAATGCTCTGCTGTGGGGGCTGTCTTGGAGGTAGCGAGGGTAACTTTGCTTTAGCCTCTGAGAAGCAGTGCTAGGGATGAGAAAAGCATCCTGAACTCAAAGCTTCAGAACCCTGGGTATTAGTCCTGGCTTTTCCACTCACTGGCTGTGTGACTTTGGGCAGGGCACCTGGCATCTCTGAACAACCACTTTTCTCTTCTATAAAATGGTGAGGTGGGGGCAATTATACTCTTGTGGATTTGTGCTTTTTGTACCCCTAGAATCCATTATTTTGGAGAATCATCTGCCCCCTCCCCCACCCCACCCTGAGAGGTGACCCAGGTGTAGACATGATTGAGATAAAAAATACTCTGTTACTTAAAACCTAAAGAGGCCTGAATACTGAATAATACAATTACCTGTCTTTGACAGTTGTAGGAATGAGTTGTGGAGCCATATAGCTGACAGGACTTTGCAAGCCTCAAACCACAAAGTTCATCTGCAAATAGGATCATCATCACTGTCACCATCATTACTGTCACCACCATTACCAACACCATTGCTATCATCTGGGCCCCAAAACATTTGCTCAAATGCAAATAGGGTTCCCAATCATTTGGCAGTGGCTCGCAGGAGCCCTGGATTCTGATGATGAGTGTATCCTTAGTGGGAGGGAATATCATGATTACTTAGTGACGTCTCCCCTGGACACAGGAGGACAGAATGCCATGGACTGGTCATGCTGTCTTCAGTCCTTCTGGGTTGGAGATGAATGCTCAGGGTTAATTGACACCTCTGGTATTGGAAGCAAATATGGAATCTCAAACTAGAGACTTACAAGGACCCATAGGATACAGGTGTAAATTTACCCAATCGAAACCAGAGCTTACAGAGTCCTTCCTGCACCAAAAGTTGGAAGATTGGCCTGGACTTGAGAGGGGAATTAAAGGACCCCAAGAAGCTGCTACGTACTTAAGACCTGGAGTGGTCCTGAGCAGAACTGGCAGGGAGCTCAAAGGGGACAATGGGATATATCTGGCCCCAGAGGTCTTCAGTTGAGCCCCCTTGCCTGTGTGGAACACCCATCTGCTCTGCCATTGCTGGTTGAGGGATGTCTGGACTCACATCCTCCATCACCTTGGAACTTGCATTTTGGACAAGGCTGATGTCCTGAAAATTCTGCCACTGAGAATTGTTCTGATGAGGACACCTGAGAGAAAGGCTGAAGTTGGAGGCTTTTCCTCTGCAACCCTAAGGCCAAGGTCTCCCATGGCCCTGTCTTGGGCCACAGAGAACAACCGTCTCATCAGCCCTGGACCTCTATGACTCAGGTCCTCAATACAAAATTGTCAAACTGCAACTGACTAGTCATGAACCACCCAGAGCTGGGTCTTGGAGGATCCTGAATTATCCTGACAAGCCAGGCACTGTCAGGTCTGAGCAAAAAGTACATTCCCCTGTCACTGCTATGGTTAGAAAAATGGCAGAGGTTTTCTGTTTGATCTGTTTCGTGACAATGATTATGGCAATTTGGTGATGCTTTCATGAAATGTCAGTCACGTGCTAACCGTTTTGTGTTCATTATTTCACTGGGCTCTCATGACACCCCTGCCACGCAGGTATTCATATTCCATTTTACAAAGGAGAAAACTGGCCGGGTGTGGTGGCTCACTCCTGTAATCCCAGCACTTTGGGAGGCTGAGGTGGGTGGATCATTTGAGGTCAGGAGTTCGAGACCAGCCTGACCAACATGGTAAGACCCCATCTCTACTAAAAATACAAAAATTAGTTGGGTGTGGTGGTGTGTGCCTGTAATCCCAGCTACTAGGGAGGCTGAGGCAGGAGAATCGCTTGAACCCAGGAGGCGGAGGTTGCAGTGAGCTGAGATAATGGCACTGCACTCCAGCCTGGGTGACAGAGTGAGATTCTGCCTCAAAACAAAAAACAAAAACAAAACAAAACAACAACAACAACGAAACAAAGGAGAAAACCAAGGCTCATAGAGTTGAAATGGCTTGCCCAAGGTCACATAGCTAGTAGGTGTCACCACCGAGTTTCAACCCCAGGCCTGTCTGACTAGGAGCTCAAGAGCACTACAGCCTCATCTCACTCCCAGGCATGTGCCTCGTTGTCATCCCCCAGGCATCTGAAAGTCCATCCTGCCCCTCTGCATAGGGCACATGCTAATGTGTCACTGGGAACATCCTGGGCCACTTCTCATCCACTGAAAGGGGAAAACTCATGGCGAAGGAGTGGGGGATGTCAAGTGTGGTAGGAGCTGGAGAAGGCAGAAGGCATGTGTGGAAGATAGAGCTGGAAGGTAAGATAAAGTTGCATTGTGTTCTAAACATCAGGCATAGGGAGCCACGGACTGGAGCAAGTTCATGGAGGTGGGCTCACTTCAGGTAGCTTAGGTGTAGAGTTATGTGAGGGAGACATAGTTCCCCAGAGAAAGTGTTGTGGCTAAGAGAATAGGGGAAAGGGATGTCCCAATTTGAAGGGGCCTCAGAAGAGTTCTTGGAAGGGATGACACTTGGGTTGAGTCTTGAGGAAATAGAAGGAGTTGTTTAGATAAAAAGGGTGAAGGAGGGGCATTCTAGCAAGGTCCAGAGATGGGAAAGACCTGGTGCATTTGGGCAACTGCAACTGCAAGCCTTTTGATGTGGCTGGAGCCTGGGGCAGGCCGGAGAGGGGAGCAGGGACTCCTGTCCATAAGGGGGTCAGGCAGCTAAGGTTAAAGAAGAGGAGGGGTGAGAATTTGGGAGCTGGGCTGCTACAGGGCCAGACACTTCAGATCTGGAAGGGCCTGATGGGCAGGGGCTCAGTGTCCCAGAAGTCTCCTCCAGGGCATGCAGCAGGGTGGTGGAGTGAGGACAGGAGCAGGGTTTGCAGGAGTGACAGTGCCATCAACCCACCATATAGGGTGGGCCAGGGCATCGGGCCAAAGGGAGACTGCCCCCAGGAAAAGACGGGCCTGGGAAAGTCAGCTTTTTATACTCCATGAATCTGTGATCTAGATTTTGGTCAGTTCATGTCATTATCACCCCCATCATGTTACTAACACCAGCATCTCTTAGCTGAATTCTGGCCAATGTCTCCAGTCTGGACTCCCTGCTTTTGCCCCAACCCCTCCTGCAATCTCCACACAATACAGAATCTGGAGTGAGGCTGTTATGACATGGGTCAGATCCTGGCCTCCCCTGCTCAAAGACCTTCAGTGGCTCCCATCTCATTCAGAGCAATGGCCAAAGACCTTCAGGGTGGCCCACCAGGCCTTGTGGGATCTGCCTCCCCTACTCTGACCTCATTTCTTATCTTTCTCTTCATACCCAGCTTGCTGCTACTTGTCATTCTGGTTCTCTTCCTGCTTCAGGAATTGGCACTGACTATCCCCCTGCCTAGAACCCTCTCCTCCAGCATCCACATGGCTCACTCCCTCACCCCTTCAGTTTTTACTCAAATACTACCTTCTTGGTGCAGCCAAGGAGGCATCTAACACAGCTTCCTGGAGGAGGAGAAATCCAAGGAGAAGGAAACTCAAAAGGAGGCAGCTCCGACTCAGCTCCCCAACTTGTACACTGGGACACTACTGGGGCAAGGCTGTGGCTCAGTGGGTGATGAAGGTGTCAGGACTTACTGGGGTGTCTGGGAACAATTCACGCAGTTGAAATAATCCCATTTCTTACATTCTGGTCCCGTGGGTGGAAGCGGAGTTCCCCAGACCTTTTGATCTGGGTCAGAATTGGCCCCTCTGCACAGAGGAGGGGGACTGACCATAGCTGCTGGGGGTTGGGAAAGCAGGGCTGACACAGCAGTCCCTTCAGGGTGGCTTTTAGGTGCAAGGAGACCAGTGAGGAGACTAGTACAATTATCCAAATGACAGGCAATGAAGTTGGGGCCAGAGCAATGGCAGAGGGGACACAGGAGGGAGGTGCACTTGGTGCTGGGAACTGACAAGTCAACAAAACCAGGCCTAGTCCCTGCCCACATGAAGCTTGTAATCTAGTCAGGGAGCTAGACATTTGGTCAAATAATCCAGCAAATAGCCCCCTGGCCATGGGGTGCCACAAAAGAGAGGTTCAGGTGCCGTAGCAGCCAATGCAAGGGGAAAGCCATCCAGTCCAGGAAGTAGGAGGTGATGACAGCCCTCCTGGAAGAAGAGCTGACACTTCATGGACACAAAGGCCAAGGACTGATTCCCATCCAAAGTAAGTCTCAGCCCACTTGATCCCCTCCAGAAAGCCTCCGTTGGCCTCTCCATGTGGAGGCACGTGCATCCTTCTCCACAGCCCCCTGCTCTGTACTACACAGTATGTTCCTGATGCTACCGATGTGGGTGTCCACCAGCCCCAGCAGATGGGGCCTTTCAAAGGCTATGGCCCTGTCCCAGCATGGTGGCTCACGCCTATAATCCCAGCACTTTGGGGGGCCAAGGTGGGTGGATCACTTGAGGTCAAAAGTTTGAGACCAGCCCGACTAATATGGTGAAACCCCATCTCTACTAAAAATAGAAAGATTAGCCGGGTGTGGTGGCAGGTGCCTGTAATTCCAGCTACTCGGGAGGCTGAGGCAGGAGAATCACTGAAACCCAGGAGGCAGAGGTTTCAATGAGCCAAGACCCCACCACTGCACTCCAGCCTGGGTGAGAGAGCGAGACTCCATCTCAAACAAACAAGCAACAACAACAAAAAAACAAAGGCTATGGTCCCGACCCATTGGCCTCATTTCCCCATTTCCCAACCTTAGTTCCTAGTGCTGGCAAAAGGTCAATGCTACTAAATACTGTCACTGCCCACTATGGGGTGGGAGGTGGACACATTTGCCATCACTCTTGCTCTAGTTTGGGTTCCCCCCAAAGCCAGGACTTGAGTGGAGGTGGTTTGTTTGTGAGGTGATGGCAGAAAGAATGGTGAGGGAGTAGGAAAGGGAGACCGGGCAGGGGAGGGGGAATATAGCCAGTCAAGGTGCACTAATGAGCGAGTCACTGCTGTGGGCAACTGGGGCTCAATCACATTGGAGACTCTGAGCAATATTGCAGAATGTGCCTCAGAATTGGCCCAGCAAGGGGCAGAGAACCTGGATCCTTTAGCCACTGACCAACCATCCCTCATAGGTTGAGGTTGCCCTCACCCTGGGGGCGGGGTTGTTAAAATCTCTGGCACTTCCAGGTTGCCCTGTGAGTGGACTGCACTAGCTCTCATGGCACCAGAGGAAGACCTCAGGCTGAGAAGGATGAAGTGAGGATCCAAGATGGGCAGCTGCTAGCAGGCCCTGGGACTGTCCACCCAGGCCTGAGAAGAACTTGGAGGTGGCTGAGGGCATCAGCAGTCTGCTACCGTTCCCCACTCCAGGCTCCAGGACATTGCGTCAAGTCACTTCACAATCTTTTCTTCTGGGTCCAGACAGCTTCAGAATCCTCACTGTGGGGCCCTGGGTAGCTACCCATCATCGGGTCACCATTCAAAATGAAATTCATTTGCTATTGTAGTGAAGATCCATGGACCCATGGGTCAGACCCAAAATCCCCACCTTCCAGCACTGGGGGAAAGGCTGGAATGGTGCTTTATACACTGGGAAGTGCTGGGCACTTGTCAGAGGCTGTCATCAAACTGACCCCTGAACAAAGCCCAGGCTCTCTATTCACAGGGGCTGACCTTCGGGCAGCTGGGTCCCACCACAGAGGGGTCTTTATTCATGCAGTACATTCCTGCAGGAAATAGACAAAGCAGATGGTGGGGCTGCCCAAGGGAGACAGGCTGGGTTTATCAAAGAGCAGCAACACCTGACCATGCCGACATTGCTCCAAACACAGTCTGAGCAGAGGAATTCCATCCAGATGGCACTGGAAAGAGGCCTCCAGAACTGGAGTTGCCGGGCGGGGGTTTCGGCAGATTCTGCCCAGGCCAGCTGTTACCTCCCCTGGCCGGGGCTAAGGGGCCTTTGAGTGGAACTGCTGGCTGCCAGGCATGGCGGCAACAGCCTGTGGCCTCAAGAACAATGCTTTGGAAGTGGAGACTTCTGACAATCAATTAAAATGATCAGGCATCCAAAAGACCAGAGAGGAAGCAGGTCTACTGAGAGAGCCATCACCTGAATAAGTAGCTGCAACCTCCCGAAGTGGGGAAGAAGCTCAAACAGCCAATGGGAGGAGCAGCCTGGCAGCCCCACCCCACACCCTTGTTGTTGCTCCTGCTGGTCAGCTGGATGCTTCAGGCTGAGGAGTTTTTGGATTTCTTCCCTCGCCTGTCTTAAGATTCCTGAAAAGCCAACACTGAGACAACAATGTGAGTGCTAATAGCTGATTTTGCAGATGATTCCAGTGGGGGGATGCGGAGAGAGAGGGAGAGAGAGAGAGAATCCAAGAGTCCTCAAGTGAAGAACCCATAGGACTCAGGGTGCAAACTAGAGTGACCAGTGCTCAGGAGATATGGGCAGGGCACCAACGATGCCCGCCACATCACTTTCTCCATCTCCTCTTCCCTTTCTCCTTTTTTTCTCTCTTGTTTTCTTCCTTTCCCCCTCTAGATTCTTACTGTGCCTCATGTTTCTCACCTTTTCCTTGTGGAGCCTGGGATCCAGTGTTTCTTAAAGTGAGGTCCCCTGACTAGCCAGGAGTCTTGGTATAAATGTAGACCCCAGGGCCCTGCTCCAGCCCTAGTAAATCAGAATCTTTGGTTGTGGTCCATTTAGATAAAATTCCCCAGTGCTTCTGATGCATGTGGATGTTGCTAGTCTAACCCCCCTGCATCATGGACACAGCAGGGATTTGCAGGTTCTGGAATCCCAGGTTCTGCCCTTGCCCCCACCTGTCCACCTGCCTCCTTGGGCTTGGATGCTACCAGCTGACCACCTTGCTTCCCTGAAGTCTTCTTCTTCTTCTTCTTCTTCTTCTTTTTTCTTTGGAGACAGAGTCTCACACTGTCACCCAGGCTGGAGTGCAGTGGCGCCATCTCGGCTCACTGCAACCTCCGTCTCCCAGGTTCAAGCAATTCTCCTGCCTCAGCCTCCTGAGTAGCTGGGATTACAGGCACCCACAACCACGCCCAGCTAATTTTTTGTGTTTTTAGTAGATATGGGGTTTCACTATGTTGGCCAGGCTGATCTCGAATGCCTGACCTTGTTCTACCCGCCTCGGCCTCCCAAAGTGCTAGGATTACAGGCGTGAGCCACCACACCCAGCCTAGGCTCCTTCTTTTGCCCAGCTACTGGACTGGCTGCCTCTTGGGTGTTGCCTCTGCCCTGGACTGATCCTTTCTGAGATTTAAGGCTTAGACCTTTATCCAACAGTTGAGAAGTGGTGCCCATCCTACATACCATCATTCACATTCGCCACATCTGTCCAGGTGCTCCTCAGAATGGTCCTGGTCCACTGGGAGGGGAAGTCAGAGATTTAGGTCCTTCTGTGCACACAAGCAGTCACAACAAAGTGTCCCACTAAAACACAGTGTCCCATGACTTCACTGTGTGTAGCACAATACCCAATTTGCAGAGTAACACACAGGCACATCATTTACGTGTACCTTTGTACACCAGACAGCGTAATATAGCCACGTGCGAAGTCACTGATAAATTTACAGTGTGTGTGTGAGAGACAGGACTAGCTGGATTTCTTAGGCCGACTAAGAATTCCTAAGCCTAGCTGGGGAAGGTGACTGTGAAGTGCAGCGGACAGAAGTACAGTGGACACCCTGCCTGATCCAGAGGGGTGGAAGTCAGCGGCGGGTCTGCGAGGGCGGCAAACAGCAGTGGTGGATGGCAAGCGAAAGCTCAGCTCAAGCCTTAACCAACACGGACCAGAAAGAGTGTGCAGTTGCAAGATTTAGCAGAGTGAAAACAGAGCTCCTGATCGGGCTAGAGGCTCGCCATTGTTCCTGCATGGCTAAGTGCCTGGGTTCGTCCTAATTGAGCTGAACGCTAGTCGCTGGGTTCCACGGTTCACTTCTGTGACCCACGGCTTCTAATAGAGCTATAACACTCACCACATGGCCCAAGATTCCATTCCTTGGAATCCGGGAAGCCAAGAACCCCAGGTCAGAGAACAGGAGGCTTGCCACCATCTTGGAAGTGGCCCACCACCATTTTGGGAGCTCTAAAAACAAGGACCTCCCCCGGTAACATGTGCACATGAACACACACACACAGAGGTGGCCTCTCACAGTGGACCACCAAATTACATACAGTAATGTGCTGTATCACGATAACACACAGGCAAAAATTGTCACAGCACAGAAAGAAACTCTTAGAGCAACACAAGATCCCAGACATGTAGCCTTAGGGTAACACAGTCACAAACCACATAATACAGCTGCACAGCGAGACAGTGTCACAAACACATATGTGTACACACACACAAACACAGAGTAATTCAGTCGATGAGTGGACTCCTATACACTGGCAAAAAGAAACCCACACAGAGCATAGCTCCAGAGTAATATACGGTCATGGCATAACCACACACCCTCACACAATAACACACAGTCTTGTAGCGGGGGTGCAGAGAGGCAGTATCATACAACCCCTGATTCAGCCGCAGTCAGACAGAGCAGGATGGGCACCAGGGAGTGGGATGAAGTCTGATCTTGAGGAGAAAGGTAGGCTTTATTTGAACAGATGTCTCATAAAGCAGCCGGGGTATTATTTAGCTGCTTTCATGAGCTAATGGATTCCAGTGGCTCAGGAGCCTGGGGAATTCATTAGTGGCCCCCAGAGCACTTGCTCCTCCTTTACACCCTCCCACCCTTACTGACTTCTCACTTCTTCGCTGCAGCAGCCAACCTCCATCCCCAAAGAGAATGCCCTATTTGAACAAGAAGGGCAGAAGCCGAACAAATATTTGCGTCTTCAGGCCTCATTTGGCACTTACTGTGATGGGAGCTTCCTTCTCGGAAGAACAGATTCTGCTCGGCTTGGCCTGGGTGAGAGGCCTGGGTTCAGGCTGGGATCTCTCCTGGATCCCCATCTCCTGCTGGCTGGGGGGCCCTTTCTCTCTCCCTCCACTCACCCCATGCCTCCCCCATCATTCACAGCTGGGCTGTCCCAAGAGTGGTCCACCTGCCACTTCACCTCCCATCCACTTCCAACCCACTTTAACCTGGCTGCCACACGTCACTCCACCAAACTGCTTCATCCAGGACCTCCGATGTCATCCTCATTCTGCTCACCGACTCTGTGGCCTGGGCCGCTCGCTCTTGCCCACATTTGCTCCTCTCACATCTGACTTCCAGCACACACCCATCTCCTGCTTCTTTTCCTGCCTCTTAGTTTGCCTCTTCTCATCTCCTTCCCATGCTCTGCCCTTGATGTCGACACTCTCTGGCTCTCAGTCACTGACTCTCTCTGAATGCCCCCAGGAGAACTTGGGTACGTCTACATTCCACACCATCTACAACCCCTTCTGCTGGTGGTCAAGAGTGGTGATTAAGAGCACAGACTCTCTAGACTGCTATGGTTCAATCCCTCCTTTGGCACTTGCTAGCTGTGGGGCATTGCAGAAGTTACTTTGCTTTTGTGTGTCTCCGTTTTCTCATCTGTAAAATGGGGGCAAGGATAACTTCTACCTCATAGGGTTCTTTAATGGCTAAATGAATTAATATATATATAAAGTGCTTATGAGAGTGCCCGGCACTTAGTAACTGCTACATAAAGGATGGCTGTTTTCATTACTCCCAATGTAGTGATAACTTACACACCTGCACTTGTAACAGAAGAAAAATATGCTTTGCTAGCTAACCTTGTGTGTTGGAATGCAAAGTAAAATGAACAATTGAAGACTAATAGATGCCCTCAAAAGCATAGGCAGAGGTGACTGAGAAAGTCTCAACTTATGAATAACTTATACACAAATATCACGGTTTCCCCACTGGGAATATCTCCCATAATTGTAGCCGGTGTCCAAGATGGCCCCAGTGATTCTCCTCTCCTGGTATCTATGCCTTTGGGTAGTCCCCTTTCACACTGACCAGGACTGACCTGTGTAAGCAACAGGATATGGCTGAGTACAGTGGCTCACGCCTGTAATCCCTGCACTTTGGGAGGCTGAGGCAGGAGGATTGCTTGAGGCCAGGAGTTCAAGACCCACCTGTGCAACATAGCAAGACCCCCATCTCTACCAACAATAAAAAAGAAAGAAAGAAAAAATTATCCAGGCATGGTGGTGTGCACCTGTAGTCCCAGCTACTCAGGAGGCTGAGGCAGGAGGATCACTTGAGGCCAGGAGCTTGAGGTTACAATAAGCTATGATGGAGCCACTGCTGTCCAGTAGGGGCAACACAGCAATATCCTGCCGCTTAAGAAGAAAAAAAAAGCTTATGAGACATTGTAGAAATAATGAGATGTGACTCCCAAAGCTATCTCATAAATGATATTGCAGTTTCTACCTTGCTCTCTCTTGGATCGCTTGCTTTGGGGGAAGCCAGTCACCATGTTGTGAGGACACTCAGGTGCCCTAGAGTGAAATCCATGTGAGGAGGGATTGAGGCCTTTTGACAACATCCAGAACCAATTTGCTATCCAGGTAAGTAAGCCACCTTCAAAGCAGACCCTCAGTCCCAGGCAGGCCTTCAGAAGACAGCTGACATCTTGACTGCAAACTTATGAGAGACCCAAAGCAGAACCATACAGCTAAGCCACTCTTGAACTCACAACTTATAGAAACTGTGAGAGGTAATAAATATTTATTGTTGTTTTAAGCCACTAGGTTTTGAGTGTTTTTTGCTTTTGTTTTTGTTTTTTTTTTTTGCCCAGCAGAAGATAATACACCCACATTTTCCAATTCAACACTCTTGGGAAGTGACTAAGGAAGAAAGATTTTTTAATGCTATTATACACCTTAGAGAGAATGAACAAGACCTGCCTCATCTTCATTCATATCTCTGTTTCCACAATTGAGCTCCCGAACTCTGCCCCTTACCCTCTGTGCCCCTGATGTGAAAAATGTTGGTGTATGGGTTGAAGGCAAGATGAGATTAGTAATTCTTAGGCCAAAAAGTTGAATATGTTTGCAGAATTTGTCTAATTTATGGGCTCTTGACTGGGCTTATGGAGTACATGGACTTCTAAAATTGTCAGTGGAATGTATATGCAAGGACACTCTTCTGGGGAGAGGCCTATAACTTCAATAAGATTTGTAGGCCAGGTACAGTAGCTCATGTCTGTAATCCCAGCACTTTGGGATGCCCCGAGGTGAGAGGATCACAACAAAGCAAGACCCTGTCTCAAAAATAAAGGGGGGATTGTAAATGTGTCAGGACACTAAAATGTCTAGAACTACTGACCCAATGTAGCACCCATTTAAAAGACTGGACAGCAAAAAACAAAAACAAACAAATAAAAAAATAAAAGATTGGACAGTAACAATGAGGGTCCAGAGAATGTTAGAAACCAGAAATTCACAGGGAACCATCAGCACCCCAAATATAATAGCCAAGAGTGAATTCAATTGGATTGAATTCTAGAGCTCAAGGGGATAACTATTATCTATTTTGCTTACCATAGGCTCTCTAGATCCTAGCACTGTGCCTGACACATAGTAGATGCACAATAAAAATGTGCTGGGGCTGGGCACAATGGCTCATGCCTGTAATCCCAGCACTTTGGGAGGCTGAGGTGGGAGGATCACTTGAGGCCAGGAGTTTGAGATTAGCCTGGGCAACACAGTGAGATCCTGTCTCTACCAAAAGAATTTTTTTTAATTAGCTGGACATGGTGGTGCATACCTATAGTCCCAGCTACTCAGGAGGCTGAGGTGGGAGGATAGCTTGAGCCCAGGAGGTCGAGGCTGCAGTGAGCCGTGATTGCATTGCTGCACTCTAGCCTGGGTGATAGAGCAACACTGTCTCAAAAAAAAAAATTGTATAAATACCACCCATTCCCTTGACCAGCCCTAAAAATGTATTGGATGAATGAATGAATGAGTGAATGAATGAAGTAAATAAATGAGGGCAGCAGAGGGACAAAGGACGCATGGGCAGGGACATATTTGACATGAGTCAGGGGATCTTGGCCAGTTAGAAAAGAAACAGACCAAGCAAAGGGCAAGCATTTTGGTAGGAAATGGAGACAGAAAGAACTAGAGATCTTAGTGATGCTAAAGAGAAGGCAGAGTGGAATTAGAGAATGAAGAACACAGGAGCTGTCACCAGAAAGTTTAATATTTTCGAGACGGGTAAGTTGTGGGTGATGACAAAGTCTAGAATGTGTCCGCAGGCACGAACTGAAGGGGTAAGGGGGTGGAGGTCATTGGAGTTGACAGGGTCAAAAAAAACTACGAAGCCAGGGTGCTGGATGGTTGTCCAAAGCAACATCAAAGTCATCCATAATGGTGCCAAAATACAAGCTAAATAAATAATCCTTTGCATTCTTTCTGCATCAGCAACAAATGAGGAAGCAGAGTGAGGTTTGCAGATATACGTAAAAGATCAGAAAAAAAGGCAAGAACAAGAACCAGTTGAGAGACAGACATGAGAGAAAGAAAACAGGAGGGTATGAGAGGTGAGCCCATGAGAAATCACAGCCTAAGCATAGAAGAGGAGGGGAACGGGGGGATGATCTTGCCACCTGGGGAGTCAGGCAGAGCAGACCTCCAAGCTGAGACCCAGCAGTGCTCCACACTGTACTCAGTGGGCCTGGTTAGTGGGGGGTAAATCTCAGATCTCCCACCGCCCAGCCCTCACATATATTTATCTCACTGGAACTTCATACCACCTGGCAGATCTGATAGTTACAGATGAGTAGCCCCAACTTACAGTTGAAGAAACTGAGGCCAGGGAGTGAAGTGACTTGACTATGATCCCTAAATCATTCATCAAGCTGGGGTCAGGGAAAGAACTAGGACCTAGGTGTGCTGAGTCCCCATTTCATGGCTATTGGGGCTATGGTAGGGAAAGGTTGCGCAGCAGTGGGGGAAGGGATATAGCCAAGCCAGGGCAGTGGAACCCATCCCAAAATATGTCCCCAAGTGTAGGGTCAACAGCTTTGCTCCAGTGGGGTGGAATGGGAAGACACTAGAAAATGTGGGAGCCCCTCCACACCCAACCTTTTTATTTCTCAAGAATCCAGTGCTGGAGAGAGGCTGTTAGTGCTGAATCCATGGCCTGCATAAACCACCTCGAGAAAGCTCTGTTCTCCCACTCCATTCCCTTAGCAGCGTCTGTGGTGCAGGGAGCTGGGGAGGGAACTGCTTGTCTGTTATCATCCACTAACACCTGTGCTCTAGAGATAACATGATTAACTCCAGAGAACAGGGGTCAGAATAGTGGGTGCACAATGGAGGCCACGGGTCCCTGGGTGACAGGAAGGAGCTCTGGGGGCCTGCTGGGAGGAGGGGGTGCTGGTGAGGTGCCAGGGGTCAGAGACACACTTTAGATCTTGCTGCTTTGCCCTGGGGGCTCCATGCAGGCCTTTCCCTAGGCAGAGGGGTCGCCCATTGTTTCCTTATCTCTGGGAGCCAGTGACAGCCTGTCCTCCAATGATGCTGATCATATGGTATTGTTATCACCCTGTGCCTGTCACCGGCCAGGGCCGTGGGGCTGTCAATTTCTGACAAACAGCACTTGAGCGCTAAAGGGAATCTGTTCTTGGCCTTATCTCCGACCTGCGTATCCTGCTTTAGCTTCACATTTGGTCCCTGTGGGGCCATCACTTTGCCAATAGCAGTCCCTGGGGCACCCAGATAAGTTGCTAGCTGCCTGTGCCCTGGGGCTCTAGTCAATGGCTGTGGGGACTGGCAGTGCCCAGGCTGGCACCTCTGGTCCAGGTCAGCATCAGCATCTCCGGGGCACTGTGGCCAGAGATAATGGCCAGAGCCGTGGCCACACCACAGGCACAGAGATTAGCTTGGGGAATGTCCCCAGCTTCAACATTCAATAGCTGTGTTGTCTTTTCATTTGCATACAGAGTTTGAACAAGACAGAAAAACAAGTCAGCACCACGGACAGCGTCCTGTGAGGCCTTTCATTAAGCCAAAGCAAGCAGGGAAGAAAGGAGGAAAGGAGAAGGTAAGGGAGGGAGGAGAAAGGGAGGGAAAGGGGGAAGAGGCAAAAGGAAAAGGAGAGGAAATGGTGATGGTAGGGGAGGGAGAGTTTCTTTGCTGGCCAAATAATGGTGTGGTATTTTTTAGTCTCTACTTTCAGCTTGGCCAGTGGTTGAAGAAAAGACTATTTGACCAAGGAAGGTTAATTGAAATTAAAGGTTCTTCTGACCTTAGATAAAGAAGGATATGTGGCCAGGCATGATGGCTCACAACGGTAATCCCAGCATTTTGAGAGGCTGAGGCAGAAGGAGTGCTTGAGTTAAGGCAGATGAGACCAGCCTGGGCAACATGACAAAACCCCATCCCTACAAAAAGTACAAAAATTAGCGGGGCATGGTAGTGCATGCCTGTAGTCTCAGCTACTGGGGAGCTGAGGCAGGAGGATCATTTGAGCCTGGGAGATTGAGGCTGTAGTGAGCCAAGATCCTGCCACTGCACTCCAGCCCAGGGTGACAGGGCAAGACCCTGTCTACACAATAAATAAAATAGCATAAAAATAAATTAAAATTTGTTTAAACTTAGCTGGGCATAGTGGTGCATACCTGTGGTCTTAGATACTTGGCAGACTGAGGAAGGAGGATCTCTTGAGCCCAGAAATTCAAGGCTGCAGTGAGCTATGATTGAGCCACTGCACTCCAGCCTAAGTGACAGAATGAAAATCTGTGAAAAAAAAAAGCAATGAGATACTCCACACCAATAGAGACCAAAGAAGGAACTTGGAAGCAATGACGACAAACACAAAGTAAGCATTTGTTGTGCTCCATGCTAAGTTACTTATATGCCAGAACTCAACTCATTTAGCCCACCCACCACCCTTATGACATAGTTGCTATCAGATTCCCCATATTACAAATGAGGAAACAGAGTATGAATGAGGTGTAATAACTAGCCTGAAGTTGCACTGCCAGCTGATAGCAATGTCTGTAACCTTGGGAGGAAGTAGATCCCAGCTTAACTTTCCTTCCATTTCACTCCTTTCTGATCTCCTCCTTTCACCTTGAGTATCCAGTATCTTTTTGAATTTTTAGTATGAGTTGGCTTCTTAAACTTACTGGTTTACATGCCCCTATGTTTGCAAAAGGAGAGTACTGGGTTTCATTTTTTAGCTTAAAACACTTTTTTGGATTTTCCAGCTAGGGCATGGTTTGCTTCCATGAGGCAAAAAATGGGCTATTTGGGGAAGACCTGAGGTCTGACTTGCTGCCCATAGTCATACTGTGGCTGATTCCTGAGGAGGGGGCAAGACTTGAATGCTTGAAAATGGACCTCTGAGATTGTCACATGCAAGGCTATCTCAGGAAACTCCTTGTGTGTTTGGCTGATCTGAGGTAAAGATAATAATCAGAAAGCCCCCAAAGTCAAGCTCCAGCTTTGCTGTCAACTTTTCATGACCTTGGGAAAATCCCCTTTTCTCTCTAGACCATACAGGGAACTCATGGAGGCCCCATGTGGTCACACAGGGCAGATACTTGCCACATGTTATTAATTAAGGATGAGTTTTCTCCATCTATTTTTCTTTGGAAATAAGAAGTGCTTCATTACTTTGTAGCATAGCCTGATCTGAGTGCCTGAGCCTGTGTTTCACACTGAAGATAACACTCAGTGTACAAGGAGATGACAGAGCATGTGCTACTAGGGAGATTAACACTGGATGGGAAGAAGGTAGATGATTGGCAGATGGAGGAAGGCTTACACAGCCTTGATAAATAAGAGTTGCCATACACTGTAACTCTTTGGGGGAAGCTCAGAGATCCTCCCTAAGGCACCCTTCCCCCTCCCCCCAACACACACACATTTAAATCCTCAAGGACATAATTCCTGAGCTACAGAACGGGGCTTTTTTTTTTTTTTTTTTTTTTTGAAATAGAGTCTCGCTCTGTCACCCAGGGTGGAGTCCAGTGGCACAATCTCAGCTGACTGCAACCTCCGTCTCCCGGGTTCAAGCAATTCTCCTGCCTCAGCCTCCCGAGTAGCTGGGATGACAGGCACGTGCCACCACACCTGGCTACTTTTTTTGTATTTTTAGTAGAGACAGGGTTTCACCGTGTTAGCGGGGTTTCACCATGTTAGCCAGGATGGTCTTGATCTCCTGACCTCGTGATCTGCCTGCCTCAGCCTCCCAAAGTGCTGGGATTACAGGCGTGAGCCACCGCACCCAGCCAGAACAGGGGCTTTTGATGGAAGGAGATAAGATGGCTTCACAGCTCTTCTTCCCCATGACTTTCTCTGATGAGCCCTCTTTGGGGCTTCCCTCTGTCCTTATGGATAGCTTCTTTCTTGGCACATCCTGAGGCTGGTGCTCAGGGCCTCTTTAGCTTGGGGGAGAGAGCAGTTGGCATGGTTTAGTGAGTATCACAGCAGTCTGGTAGATATGACTTAGGGTATGAGCTACAGAATGGAAAAGGGTCTTCTTTTATTTCTTTATTTTTAAACTTATTTTTATTTTTAAAGTAAAAATAAAGATGGCATCTTGCTATGTTGCTCAGGCTAGAGTGCAATGGCTATTCATGGGCACAATCATAGCTTGCTGCAGCCTTGAATTCCTGGGCCCAAGTGACTCTCCTGCTTCAGCCCCTTGAATAACTGGGAATACAGGCATGCACCACTATGTCTGACTGACAGGGATATTTTGAAGAGAGTACCAACTCATAGAGAGATAGAATGTGCTCAGCAGTGTAACCTTTGCAGATAAAGAGAGATCCAGGTTCAAATTCGGGCTTGATGACTCTAGTTGTTTGACCTTGAACAAGTTGCCTCAGTGTCTTCATCTGCTTGGGAGAAATGGGTTTGAAAGATCTGTTAAACCTCCAAGTTGACAAGTCAAGTAGGCTGGGCCTCAGAAGAGAGAATAGGACTGAAAAAATAAGCATAGGAGCTGTTGTCTATGGATGATCTTGTAAGTCATGGGAATAGATGAGTTTCCTGCAGGAAGGTTAGGAGAGAGATGTGTTATCTTGGGCAAGTTATTTAACCTGTGTTTCAGCTTCCTCATCTGCAGAATGGGGATGATAATAGTATTTACCTATTGTTCTGAGAATTGGATTTAGATAGCTCATGTTCAAGCACTTACAGTCTGGTAAATGCTTAATAAAGAAGGATGATATTATTAATCCTTACCCAGCACTTCAAGGCTCATGTAATCATCCCCATTTTACAGAGAAAGAGACTGAAGCTCAGAGAGTCTAAGGTCTCATGAGTTGTAAGCAGCACATGACTATCTATAAACCCATGCCACACTGCTCCTGTTCTTGTAGGAGACTACCATATAGACACAGTTCTTAAAATGCAAGAGGTGAGCTATATGAATCTGGCTAGAAAGGGCATGGCTGATCCTCCAAATGGCAGTGGTAGGAGACTCTGGGTTCAGAAGAAGCCATGGTAGGGTAGAAACTACCATGATCCTTTTAGGATAAGTTCCAAGGACAAACTCCATATTATGTGCACACCCAGTTCCCTATCTCCCACATTTAACCCCCAAGTTGATAAATGTTTTCCGTGATTCAGTTCCTCCCAGTTCCAGAATCCAATGAAGCAAGGTTCGTGCAAGGAGTGAGTCCCATTTGCAGCCTCAGATGAGCCAGTGAGGCAGAAAATGTAGATAATAAAGAGAGTTAATGACAGGCCTCTCCAGCTTCCCGAGCTGGCCCTTGGGGAGGAGTCAATGAGCTCCTGTCGCTGCTGTGCCGGATTCCCGATTTCTTCATCTTCTGTCTCCTGCACAGTCCCCTTCCCTGCCTGGCTTGCAGCCTTGGCCACTGATTGCAGCAGTTCACACTGGGAAACAAGACCACAAGAGATCTGGGGTATCTCTAGGGCAGTGGTGAGATGTGGGTGGCAGGAGGCAACTTGGTTTTCTTAGCAAAGATTGTACAACTTCCCCAGCTCCCCAGAAAACAAACTTCCTTAGGAATCACATGGAGATGACATACAAGGAGGGTCCCACCCTGGAACTCATTGTTAATACCACTAGTAAAAACTGTCACTGAAGTGGGAGAGTTAGAATATGTCAAGCGCTACACCGAGAGTTTTATATATAGTACCTCATTTAGTCCTTACAACAGCCTTTCAGTGATTATATTATTATTATCCCCATTTTACAGATGAGGAGACTGAGCCCATAGAAATGACATTATTTTCTTAAGGTCACACAACATGTAGTTGGCAGATCTGGAATTGAAATCCAGGCCAATATTACTCCAACGTCTAGGCTGGATTGCCTCTGTCCTTACATATTGTCTTGAAAGACAATCAGTTTCATTAATTTATTCAAAAATTACCCAGTCTGTCAGAGAAATGGTCCTAAGCTAGGTGTCTCTTACTTCCTTTGTTGGGAGCTCTATGCCTTTAGCAATAAAACCTTGGGTTGTGTGCTTTCTTGATACTAATTGAGTTGCATGATTGACATTCTAGAGTTTGTGGTCAACTAGAATCTTCAAATCTTTTTCATGTGGACTAGGGTTAAATCAGTGGACTGTATTCACACAACACACAATGGTTTCAAGAGGTTTTACTACCCTGGGAACCTGATATCCTTCCCCTCGGTAGTTCAAAACAGAGATATTGCATTTAGAATGGTTTTCACTTTGTTTTCTGTTTTTACTTTTTAATCAAGGTATAAGTACACAGTAAAGTGTGCTTATTTCAAATATATATCTAGTTCAATTAATTTTCACCCATATGGAAATAGAGAACATTTTCCCCATAAGATTCCTATTCAACTTCTCTACCCCAGAAGTAACCACTATGGATTTCACTGTTTTAATTTGAAATGTTCATTTTTGCAAAATATCAACTTTTACAAAAGGAGATTTAAGTCTAATAGAATCCTTTCATCCCAGCAATTAACATTGTTCATTCTTCCTTTTTTTTTCAGTTGTTGCTAAGTTTTGAAAAGCCCTTTTACCTTATGATATCTGATGACTACCCACATTTATGTTTTCTGGGTTTTATCTATGTTTAAAAAATATTTTATTGCAGCCATAAAAAGGAATGAGATCATATCCTTTGTAGGGACATGGATGAAGCTGGAAGCCATCATCCTCAGCAAACTAACACAGGAACAGAAAACCAAACACTGCATGTTCTCACTCATAAGTGGAAGTTGAATATTGAGAACACACAAACACAGAGAGGGGAACAACAAACACCAGGGCCTGTTGGGTGGTGGGGGGTGAGGGGAGGGAACTTAGAGGACAGGTCAGTAGGTGCAGCAAACCATCATGGCACATGTATACCTATGTAACCAATCTGCACGTTCTGCAAATGTATCCCTTTTTTAAAAAAAAGAAACAAAGAAAAAAAAGAAGCACAAAAATATGTTATATGTTTATATTATTTACACCTAGGCATTTAATTCAGTTGGAATGTATTTAATGACTGCTCTGGTGTGAAGGTCAAAATAATTTTTTCTCATCAATTATCTTTATACCATTATTGACAAATTGTTCCCTTCTAAGTTGATCTTTGAAAGTTCTTTTATTATAAATTAAATTCTGATGTGTAACAACTTTCCCATCCTTAAATTGGGTTATTAATGATGCCTATCTAACAAATGAGGGCAAAAACCAGATTATGTGTGATAAGGTAAGTGTAGCATCTTAAGACAGTTTAAGTTTTTGCACACAGTGGGTTCTCAACAAGTGTCAATTTTAATCCATCCGCCTACCCCCCAGACCCTCTCCCACACATATTTAAGGCACTGTAACTATGGAAAGAACTTTCTAATAAAACTGTAAAACAGGCTAACCCTGGAGATCAGATGTGCAGCCAGAAGTCAGAGCGCCTCTGATTAACATGTTTTTGAGAGATTCTATTTCTTTCCTGAGGACCCAGATCAATGACTCCCAAATGCCAGTTTTGAAGCTGATGACAATGCATGGTGATGTTTCCTGTGTTTCTCAATGAAATTAGAAAAAAGGGCAAACAAGGAAGTTTTTACAAAACCATTCTAAATAACTGTTCCTTATTCTGAGATTATGGCTTTCCTACTTATTAAGTTTTAAAATGCCTTTTGTTTTATTCAAGCATTGGAGAGAACAGGTGATAGTTGTTACTCTTAAATGTCTTCGCTTGGCATTGTCCTTGATGGCTTGCAATTTTTCTGGTTCACAAAATCCTGAAATCTCACAACAAGATCAATTGTGAGGTTGACTGCAACATCACAAGAAAAGGATCCAACAATTTCGGTTGACATTTTTCCCATTTTTCAGAGCACCATATACTATACATAGTAGGTGGTCAGCAATCATTCATTCGTTCAATCCACAAAAGTTACTAATCACCTGCCTGGAAGTTTGTTTGTCATTGGCCAAGAAGAAACCCATAAAGCAGGGCAAACTTGATTGGGCTGAGAACTGTGGACCAGGCATTTACCTCTGGGCGTTGTGCATACATTCAACCGCTCCTCTCGCCCAGCCGTCAGCACCTCGGACAGCTCAGCCGCAATTACCCGGGTCTCTGAGGAAACCTAACTAAACATAGACAAAGGCATTTTTACATTATCTTTTCTCCGCTTCATTATTTAAACAAGCGCCTCCTGTTCATACACAAGCCTTCCTCTTCGTATTCTTAAACCTCCCTCTCAGATTGTTTGCCTCGCAGTTTGCAATTCCCTAGCAAAACGGCGAGCTCCAATCTGAGCTGCGGAAATGCCAATTTTAATTAAAAGTGCAATTTTCAAATCCACCCAAAGCTCAGATAGGATATGGCACACTTGATGCCCTGTGATCTTTCTGGCTGCTTTGTTGATTAAAATGGGTGTCGCTCTAAGTGCTTTGTCAAATCTTCACAAAAAGGAGGAGAAATTGACATTTACACCTTTATACCGATAAGAAAGTGATATATTACATTCACCCCTACTGCCACAAAGGCTTGATTGTGGCTTAAGGGCAGAATTAGGCCAAAAGGTCCCCAGTGATAGCTCTGTTTTGATGCTTCAACCTTGAGGGCTCTTTCTTCAGCTGGTGGTGATGGTGGTGGTGGTGGTGGGAGTCGCTACACAATGTTCCCATTAGCTTTCCTACCCCTCTCTTCCCACTCAGTGCCTCTGCAAGGACTTTGAGTTTCTGGGGTAATTGTTCTCTAATTTTGGTGGATACAAGGACAATCTAAAAAGCTCTCTTAAAATCTAGATTCCTTGGCCCCACTTCTAGAGATTCTGACTCAATAAATAGGTTTGGGATGTGGTCCCAGAATCTGAATTTTAATGAAGCACCAGATAATTCTGATGAAGGAAGTCTTTAGCTCATACTCTGAGAAAATGTGTTCTGGTAATTCCCAGAAAGTTGTCCACAAGGGTCTGAGCTATGGAGCGGGCCAGGGATTAAACCCTGGGCAGGGAATCTAGAGGCATGACCCTGTCTAGCACTGACACTTGCATTCTCATATCCTTGGACAACTCACTTCCCCTCTGTTATCATTTATCATTTTCTATCTTTATAAATGAAGGATCATGCAAGAGACACACTTAATCACTTAATATGCAAAGATCTTCAGCAAATCAGTAATAAAAAGGGAAACCACCTGATACAAAGATGGATAAGTGATATGAATAAGCATTTCTTGGAGAAGAAAATACAAACAATGAACAAACATTTGAGAAAATAACCAACCTTAATAGTAATCAGATAAGTGCAAATAGAATAAAATAAGTTTTGGTGTTGTTTTTATTTCTGCTGTTTTTCTGCTTTGCTCATCTGCTCATCATATTGAGGGAAGAGAACGTTGTGAGTTGATAGCAGCCAGTGTAGGGTGTAGAGAAATGAGAATGTCCTATGTCATTGGTGGAAGTGTGAAAGACTACAACATCTTGAGAAAGTAATCTGTCAGGACTTGTTAAAATAGAAAAGTGCATTCTTTCACTCACAGTTTAGCTTTGGGGATTTATCCTACACAAAGAAATGCATTAGGACATGTAGATATAAGCAATGGATGTTTCCTGAACATTATTTGTAGTGGCAAAAAATGGAAATTACTTAAAAGTCTATCAACAGCGGACAGGTTGAGTAAATTCTGCTACATCCAAACTGGGGAATATTATACAGCTATTGAAAAAAAAAAGTCTATTAGATCTGGAAGGGCTGATCTTGAATGATATCCATGATCTATTATAATGTGAAATGTCAAATCACAGAGTAATGAGCGTAGCATGATCCCATTTTTCGAAACAAAAAAGAAGAAAGCTCCAGACTGTTTTTGTATATATGTGTATGAGCTCCAGACTGTGTTTGTACATATGTGTATGAGCTTGGAATAATGTGTGGAAGAAAATATGCCAGACTATTAATATTGATTTCTTTTCTTTTCTTATTTTTATTTACTTTTTGTGTGTGATGGCTTACTGCAACCTCAACCTCCTGGGCTCAAACGATCCTCCCACCTCAGCCTCCCAGTAGCTGGGACTGCAGGTGCACGCCACCACATCTGGCTAATTTTTCTATTCTTCTTAGAGACCAGGTCTCTCTATGTTGCCCAGGCTGGCTTTAAACTCCTGGGCTCAAGCAGTCCTCCCACCTCGGCCTCCCAAAGTACTAGGATTACAGGAATGAGCCACCAAGCTCGGCCTTAATATTGTTTTTTGTTTGTTTGTTTATTTTGTTTGTTTGTTTGCAACATGAGATTATAAGGGAAACCATAATACTTTCTATATTCATTTCCACATTGTATAATTGTTCTGAAAGAATATATTACTCTTATAAATGAACAACTATAAAGTTGGCTTGAGAGCTAATCAAAAGCCAAAAAGTCCTAAGGGCTGGATACAAGAGACCACTGAGATCCTTCCCAGCTGCTACAACCTGGGAACACCCATCTTCTTCCCCAGATTGGGATCAAGGTCCATTTATGTTAAAGATTCAGAGTCACCTGGAACCAGGCAAGATCCTCATGGCAATGTTCATTCTAGTGTGCCCACTGCAGAGTCCATCTAGGAGAGACCCTGCCCTGAAGTTGGATTTTGGGGCCAGATAGCACCTTACAATCCTAACCCATCCTGGGGACTTGCAAGTGGAAAGACAAAGCAATGCTGTCTCTCTTCTCAGGTTCTCCCAGAGCATCACCTGACTCCATTTTACCCTGTGAAACTCACACCCAGGCCCATGTGGGGTCCTCTGGAAACTAAGGAGAGATCTGAGAGGCCAAAATAGATGCCCCTTTATCAACTAAGATGAACCCAAACGTTAAGGAAACAAAGTTACCTATTGGTTAAGGGTTCAGGTCCTGACTGGCCTGGCACATTTCTAAATTCCTATAGCTCTAAGCTCCCTAACAATAGGAGCTATCAGACCCCTCCTAGCTCTGATTTACAACCCAGACCACTACAGCTCTGACTAGACAGAGGACTGAGCTTGCATTCTTTTATCATAAGCAATTGCAGACCTTAAGCCATTTTCAGCTAGCTTATAGAGGCTGTGTGCAAACTATCTTTCTGTCCTATAGTTCACCTTTTGATATAAAGAGCCAAATTCTACCTCATTTTAATGCTAAAACCCCACCCCAAAGTGAACATGGGATGTATGTTACATACATATTTACCTAGTGTGCGTGGATGTGCTCAGCTCCCCTCATGAATGTATATACCTTTTCCCCTAAACCTGCTGACTATGTATGACTCTATTGTGTAACATGGACGCTGTGAGGCAGAAAATCCAACCTGTCCTTTCTCTCTTCAAAGAGAGAGCACCTTTAATCCATGCTGGAGACTTTCTCTTCCCAGCTTACAAACTGATATTACCTATAAAGCTCTTTTTTACTGTTTAGCCATCTGGTGGTCTTCTGGATGACAAAGCCATGCCATATCTCATGGAGATGATCTAAGAAGCATCCAAAAGAACTTCAGATCCTATGTGGCCCTTGGTACTGCCATTGTGGGGTTGCCTATTCACCACACAGAAACACAGCCAAGAAGGATGCTGGCACCAGAGGGTCCCCTGAGAGCCACCCTCAGCCCTCCCATTGGTGTGCCAGGCTTCTCACAGTTATGTTCAGAGAAGGACCCAGTGACTCAGGCTACAATGATGCTTTTTTGCCTCTTTTAACAAAAATATTGAAATATATCACAAGCTTAGAAACATATAAAAGATATAAATGTGCACAATTTATTTAAAAATTCTAAACATCTATGTGAGCACCACTCAAATCAAGACATATATGTCGCCTGAGACTCCCCATGTGATCCACCCCAATCATGTCCCTTCCTCCCCCTGAAATAAAACACTATGGTCAACCATTTTGTTGCTTTCTTTTATATATCTACCACCTTAGTAAATATCCCAGGACAATATTTCAGCTTTATCTGCTTTGAATTTAATATAAATGAAGTCATGTTGTATGTATTTGTGTCAATATAAAAATTATCCATGTTGTGAAGTGTACTGTGGTTCATTCATTTTCACTACTGTATAGTATTCTGTTGTATGATTACACCACAATTACTCATTCTGCCTTTGATAGGTTTTTGGTTGTTTCCAGTCATTGCCTATTACAGACCATGCTGCTCTGATTATTATGTATATGTCTCCTAATGTTGTATACATACAGAAGTATCTCTAGACATAAATGGAATTGCTGGGTTGAAGGGCTTGCATATCTCCAAATTTACTACATAGCGTCCAACTGTTTACCCAAATGGCTATACAAATTTACACTCCCACCAGCAGTGACAAAGTTCTCAGTACTACACTATCTCACCAGAATTTTATGGATGCTCTTTCTCTTCTAAGAGTCTTTGAAGATACTGGTCCTTCTTCTCACAGTATTTCCTTTCCCTATTTTTTATTTATCTTGTTAGCTCTAGGTCATCATTAAGGACTCTTCCTCTTGTAGCCTTCCCTGACTCCTTCAATCTTGGCTATGTGCCACCCCTGGCTCCCACAGCCCCCTACATTGTCCCCTCTATCATAGGTATTAGACTGTATTGTTATGCCTGCTCCCTTCCCTATCTTGCCCCCCACCAAACTGGGGACTCTCTGAAGGCAGGGGTGTATCTTGCTCCAGTGCAGTGCCTGGCACACACAGGTGCTCAATTCATGATTGTTGAATAAACAGGTAAAACTAATTTCTCTTCTCAACCCATGGTTCTCCTCAACCATCAGGAAGCCAGGTGAGTATTAAGGCTTTTCAGAGAAATGTTGCCAAAACAATAAATAATAACTCTGGGGAAATTAATTGTTAGATCTGGCTCTTTCATTAGTAGCTCATCAAAGGACTGTGAGCCCCCAGTGGGACTCTTAAAAATAAGTAACCGATCAGCATGGAAGGAAGGGCATCCTCTTCCCAGCACCCCCTGCCACTACCACCACCAACACACAAACAGACACACCTCCGCGAATTGCAGGGCCTGGCCATTTAACACAGTTATTACCAACTCCCACTTAGTGAATTATGAGCAAGAGCCTCGAGAGAGCTTTCAAAGATCTTCAAATGGATGTTTAAAAGCATGCGATTGCTCAGTCAGGCTCAGCTAATGGCATTTATTACTTGGAGGATAGGGTATTTACATAAAGCTGGATTTTTATTATAATGGTCAAATCGTTCCTGAGAGGGAGGGTGGAAGGGAGAAGGAAGGGTGAAGGTGTAAGAATCAACTTCAATTCCATTTGAGCAGATGTCAAATCCTCTATTCCCACTATAAGGCTGGTTCTCTCAGATGTCAGCATAACAATCACTAGGGCGGGTCTTGAGTAGGGTGACCCTGGCACAGGAGTGGGCAGATCAGAGCATGGCACTGTGTTCCCCTAGAACAGAATACTCAGGACCCTGGACAGCTCACAGTGTCCGCTGAGGATCTGTTGGTCTGTTCTCTAGACAGTTCATTCTTCCTAGGGTCCTTCCACTGATGTTTTAGTGGAGGTCCCTCATTTATCCCCCCTCTAGTCTGGAATGGAGACAACCAAGGGCATTCACTCTCTCCTGGCTTCACCAATGGTCCTAGGGGTCCCCATGTACTCCTCTGAATGACAAGGTGCGAGATGAAGATGAGTTGAAGTTAGTTATTATTGGCCTCAAGGAGCTTGCATTAGTTGTCTATTGCTGCATACCAAACTACCTCCAAAACTTAAAGGCTTAAAACAATAATGACATATTATTTTCTCATGATTCTGTAGATGAACTGGGTGATTCCTCTACTGGTCTTGCCTGGATAACTCATGCAAATACAGTTGGCTGGTGGATCAGTTGGGGCTGAAGGATCAGGCAGTGAGTACGTGTTTAATGGAGGAGGTGATTAGGGGATGACTCGGGAGATGAATGTAATGTATGTTCTCCAGGTAGGAAAGACTGAGAAGAAAATTTTAAGAAGAGGAAGCAACATGAGAGCAAAGGTATGAAACAACAGGCGGCTGTTTGAGAGCCATGGGAACTGGCAAGTGGTTCCGAATGACCAGCTCATAAAAGAGAGTTGGAGGAGAATGATTTCAGATAACTCTGGGGAGGCAATTAGGGCATTGGGTATCATGTAGGACAATTGGCCTTACCTCATAGGTGTTGAGGAGACCTGGAGTGATAGGTGTTATTTAAATGAATTATACTACATTCCAGGCACAATGCTGAGCATTGGAGATGCAACATTATCTCACTTAATCCTAGCCATTATCACCATTTTACACATGAATAAATTGAGGCTTACCCAGGATCACACACACAGGTGTCTGGCTCCAGAGTAGTTGTTTTAATTATTATATTCCATAGCCCTTCTGAAGGGGCTTAGAGTTGGGAGTGTAACAGGTAATGAGGAATGGAACAGGATTAAATTTGCATATTAGCAAAAAAAAGGTTGAAAGAGGTGTGGGGAATTCCATAATTAAACACAGAGACTGCTGGGTTAAACAAAGTTTATCAGAAACCTGGTACTGCTGGACTTCTCAGAGCCTTTAGTATGCTAATGTGCACTAGAAAGTAAGCCCTTTTATTGACAGCTCTATTCCCAATACCCCAAATAGTGTCAAACATATAGTAGATGCTCCATAAAAGTGTACTGAATTAATAAATGAGTGAATGAATTTATGTTGGGAAGCTGCAAAGGCTTACATATTTCAAAATTGTTTATAGAAATATGAGGTGAGAGCTTGCCATACACCAGATCCCAGGCAAAGCACGAGGACACGAAGATAAGTTGACATGCCCATGCCCTCAGGAAGTGGCTAGTCAGAAGGTATTTTCTCATTTTACACAGGATTTAATTTTTATGTAATTCTTAACAATCTTGTGAGGTTTTCTATCTCATGAGAAAAGTAAGGCTCAGAGAGGTGACATGACTTTCCTAAGGACTTAGAGCCAGGATGAAAACTGCCAGCACCTTGCCTGATGGATGTTACCCCTGCATTGGTGGAGGAGAGAAAAGTGGTGGATGGCTTGGAAGTTACCACCCCATCTATACACTAGAATCCTGAACAACCACAGGCCAGGACCACACTGTCCCTTCAGACAGGGTACCTGAGATTGTCACTGTTTCTTCCTGCTATGGGAGCCACTTGCTTCTCCGTGGCTTGACCACCCAGGAGAATTCTGAGGCAGGGAAGCAGCTAATGCGAGGCTGTGACTAGATCTACCTAGGCCCCTCAGTGGGTGGACTTTTCCTACAGAAGGCCAGTCCATTGCCAACACAAGCCCTCTTGCTCTGGGTGCAGGGGAGGTGGTGGGGGAGTTCCCTCTATCATCAAAGGGCCCTGTATCCTGTGGTCACACAGTCACACATACAGTGTGACTATATGTGATAGTCCATACATGCACAGAGACACATGCACACACATACACAGAACCTAGACTCTATGTGCACACACACATAAGCACATCCCTAACAGAGCATGCAAGTTCATGTACACGCGTATTCTCATATACAGAGAGCAAACATACAAACGCACAGAGCATGCCCACATAGGTGGGTTTGGACACACATGCATAATCACATACCTGATAGCCATCAATCACCCCATGCTGCAATTCCTCTCTGGAGGGAGAGAGTAGGAGGTAACTGGAGAGGAGAGGGTGCTGAGGCAGAGGGGCCTGGGGGAACTAGTGACATGCTGTCCTTAGACATGACAGCTCTGGCCAAGGCTGGCTGTTTTAGAAGGTCTCTCCCTTCAGCCACAGGTTGTCTGTTGTACCATCAGTTGGGAGGCCCTAGCAGACCTGGCCTCTTGTAGATTCTAGCTCTTGTAACAAAGTAGTCATCTTGACAGGTGGAGGAACTTAAAAGAGGTTCTCCTAGGACCAGGGGCACTTGTACAACCCCATTTAATACTCCTGAAATAAGTTGAATTAACCCCATAATTTTAGGAGCCAGAATCATCCCATCACTTATTTCTTTGAATCAAATGGGGTCAGTTTTAAATCCCCATCCACCTGGCCAAGAAGGAAATTAATTTGTCCTAATGAAGCTTCTTCACCACACCCCTACCCCTGCCAGTGGAAGAAAGGTCACAAGGGTTTATCCAGAGCAGGTCATGTGGGGAGAATCCTCTTTTCTTCCATTTCCACTGGCCACTGCTGAAATGCTCATTGTCCAAACTCACATAGTCCCTTGAAGACAGTTGCTTCTGAGGCTTGAATGTCAAGCATGAGCTGCTGGGTCTGGAAACCCTGATGCCCTGGACCTTTGCTGGGTCTACCCTTCCTAGGGGCAACTTCTCTATTGGCCCAGGTAGACAGCTGGTGTTGATGGCCAGCTCTCCTCATTCTCTCCATCCTTTCATTCACCAAATGTTTACTGAGGGCCTCCAAAGGGTCAGGCACTGGGCAGACAGTGATGAACAGGACTATCTTCAAAGAGCTCCCAGGAAAGGCAGACAGTAACTGCATAATAACCCTCAGATTGGCAATGTCTGCCTACCCTCTCCTCCCAGATGGGGCTCTGGAGGCATTCAAATCAGTCCACTTTTCTTTGCCATTGCACTCTGTTGGGCATGAGCTGATCATCTTCAGCTGCACCCAAGTCTTTTAGGGCCCTCCTACATGAGAGTGAATTATCTGCCCCATTCCCCAGAGGTTGGGCAGCCACCACCTGATGGAGATAATAGCAGAGTTCCCTTCATCATTTCTCTAAGGGAAGCCCAGACCCTTCCTATAGGGAGGCTTCTAGGTGGTCTTCCTCAGCACTCCAGGGTTCTAGAAGTGAGTGTGCAATTCTCTCTCTCTCTCTCTCACACACACACACCCCACACCCCAAATGAGATTCTTACAATAAGACCCTAGAGCATAATCAGTTAAAAGAACCATTGAAATATGCCTTCTTTTATAGCCCTGATTTTCCCACACAAACTAATCTACTCCAGCAGACTTAATTCAAATGAACTGCACGTTCTCAGCACTATAAAAGTGACTTTATCACAGTCAAGAGAGAAAGATTAGAAGAAATGAATATGTGGGTGATTGAATACAGGATGTCCAGTGACAGGGGATGGAGGATGCGGATTTGCTATCTTGGTTCAGCCTCGGTTTATGATGATTGAGAGGGCTGCCCTCTCAATGGGCAGAGGCAGAATGGCCACAGGGTAAACACCGCTCCAGCCATGCCTGGCAGCCACCATCTGGCACTGAGAATGGCCAGCCTGAGCTGGCCTGGCCTCATCCAGCCTCCTGCTGTGGTCAGCTTAAAGGAAGCACAGAGGTGGGATCTGGAATCAGCCTGCCTGGGTTTGGACACCAGCTGTCCCACACAATAGCTGTGTGGCCCTAGGTAAGCTGGTTTACCTCACTACGCCTCACTTTCTCCATCTGGAAAATGGGAATGATTACCGCGAGGGCCTCACCAAGTTTGCTCTGAAGATCGAATGTTATAACACACACATGAAGTGGAGTGCTGGTCCCACAGTCGAGGACTGGCCAGGTAGACTTAGTATCAGCATCTCTCTACTCAGCCAGACCTCTGCTGCTGTTCTGGGCCTGGCTGGGGCAACATGGAGCCTCTGACCCTTTGAGAAGAAATCATCTAAGTTAGGAGGAGCCTTGGACTGGGTGTGGGGATGCTTTTGACCCTTTCCACCAAGCCATAGCATCCATGTACTGTGCTGTGACTTGGTAATAGTGCAACCACCTTAGGTTCAGATCCTGGCCCTGCCGTTTACTAGCTGTGTGAATTTGGGCATATCATTCAACCTCTCTGGGCCTCATTTTCCTCATGTGTGTAAATGGAGCCACCAAGAGTCCTTACTTCATAGGGATGACATGAGGACTAACTGAGATAACCCATCTGCAGCAGGCAACACAGCCCTGGTGTGAAGGAGGCGCTCAATAAACATGGGCTATTATTAATCCATTATCCTGATGGTATCTCACGGTACTGCTCCTCACATTATGACTCTAGATTTTACCTACCAGGCTGTTTCGTTTTGAGACGGAGTCTCACTCTGTCACCCAGGCTGGAGTGCAGTGGTGTGATCTTGGTTCACTGCAACCTCTGACTCCTGGGTTCAAGTGATTCTCCTGCCTCAGCCTCCCAAGTAGCTGGGACTAAAGGTGCGCACCACCACGGCTGGCTAATTTTTGTATTTTTAGTAGAGACAGGGTTTCACCATGTTGGCCAGGCTGGTCTTGAACCCCTGGCCTCAAGTGATCCACCCACCTCGGCCTCCCAAAGTGCTGGGATTATAGGCATGAGCCACTACACCCGGCCTAGATTTTATCTACTAGGTTGTGAAGCAACTATCCATCCATTCATGCATTTATTGAGCAAATTGCTATTTAGTGCTCAGCTCAGAATGCAGTGATGAACCAGCAAGGCCTGGACCCTGCACTGCCTCATTCATTCATTCATGCATTCTTTAGGCAGAGACTAGGCAATGGTGTCCCAGGTCCTGGAAATACTGCAAAGAACCGAGCAAAGCCCCTGTCCTCAAGGAGCTCACAGTTTTGTGGGGGAGACAGAAAAGAAACCAATAGACAAATCCAAATACAACTTTGGGTGGTCAGTGCCGTGAAGAAACAGTGGGTAGGGTATGGGGATGGGGAGGGTCTTACAAAAGGTGGTCAGCAAAGGCCTCTCAGAGGAAGGGACGCTGAACAGAGGCCTGTGTGAAACGAGGGCCTACTTACGTAGGTGTGGAAAGTACAAGGTTAGGAAGGGGGTGGGAGAACGAGGTCTCCCTCATCTGCTCAGCCCAGCAACCCTCATTCCTTCCCAGTTTCTCAGGAGACGTCCCCCCGCCCATATGGTCACGGAAGTCAGAATCTTGGGGGTGTCCTCATTTTCCCCCTCACCCCTAAACTTGACTAGCCACTGGTTCTGTAAATTTTACTCCCTAGTCTTCTTTTGCGTTCTATCCCCCAAGACCTCACCGACATTTTCTCCCACCTGGACCACGGCAGTTACCTCGTCCTCCTTGGTCCTCTGGACTCCAGTCTCAGTCTCCGCCTCCCAAAAGCCAAAAGGACCTTTGTAGAACACAAATGTGAGCAAGACCTCTGCCCACCTCCACCCCCAGCCTCCCTGCAAATCCCTGCTGTCCTCAAGAACCATCCCAGACCCTTTGCCGGAAATTCGAAGCCCTCCAAGACCTAACCCCAACCCCATCCTCGGCTCCGTGCCTCGTGGACTCTCCTCCAGGAGGCCTTCCCGGATCCCACGGGCTGGGTTTGAGGGTGCCCCGGAAATCCTGCCCGAACCTTAGATATGGGTGTCCGCATTGGATGAAGGAACGGATGGCTCCGGGAAGACTGGGCTGGGAGTCTGAGCACAATTCAGTTTAAAACTCCCTTCCCACTCCCACCCAGGGAAACAGGAAGGGGGGGCTGGCGGCGCCTACAGTTTGCATTCCTAGCGTGGGGCGAGCGCGCGACGGAGAACAAAAGGGCGGTAATGATCCGCAGCTGGGCGAGCAGCGTGTTCGGCCTGCGGAGACACCCGACCACCGGGGGTCGCCGTGCTCACTGCGCGTGCGCGGCTAGCGGGCGGGGCGCCCCGGGGCTCTGGGGGCGGGGTGGGGACGGCCTGGTGTGTGGGTGAGGGTGTGGGGGCGGGACTTGGTATGGATGGGCGGGGCTTGACGCGCGGGGGCGGGGTCTGGTGTGGGTGGGCGGCAGCGGACGCCTGGGACCGGGCAGGCGCCTGGCGCTTCCTTCCGGACCAGCTGCTCCGCGCCGCTCTGCTGTCATCAGGCGGGCGAGGAAAAGCCCCGCGTTCGCCGGTCGGCGCGGAGCCGAGCAGAAAATTGTTGATTCAGAGAAAATGAGAGCATCACGACTAAACAATGGCGGAAAGCGGCGACGACGCCGACAGGGCGTCCTAGCATCCCCTCCCTCCCGCTCGCGGGGACACGGGGAGCGAAGAGGGAGCTGAGCTGAGGGCCCGCGCGGAGAAGGGGGCGAGCGCTGCCAGCTCTGGGTTGGAGGCTGGGGGTACCGACCCCAGGGCTGCACCCTGAAGCCCTGAACTTAACGTCCCTCTCGGGTCCCCAGAGGCCCCGGATCCCGCTACCCTGGGTCCAGCTTTGAATGTTTCCGGACTTAGGGCACTGGGGTTGGGCCATGCTTTCTGACTGCAGGGGCGCATGAAACCCTGACTCCTCACCGTGGCCAGTAAGACCCCGAGTGATCAGGCTCCAGCCTCATGCCGCACCACGGCGCCCCTTAGTGTGACTCACACGTTCGTTGTCCTTTCTGTTCCTCAGACAAGCCCATCGCTTTCCTGATTCCCTCTGCCTTGGAAAGCTGTTGACCCACTCTTTGCATGACTGGCTTCTTCAGGTGTCAGCTTAACTATCACCGCCTCCAAGAGGTCCTCCCTGACCCTCTGATCAGAAGTGGAGCCCCACCCCTCCGTTATTCTGTATGATAGCGTCCTGTTCATTCCGTTCTTTTTCAAGGCGTGAAGTAATTTTGTAATTAGGTAGTTTTCCATAAACTTCATAAGATCAGGGACCTCTTCTTTACAGCTTTCCCAAGTCCCCATCTGAGTTCCTGGAAAGTCTTAGGTTCTGAGCCCACCCCTTCTCCCTCCCGAGGATGTGTTTCTCACAGCAGCATTTACATATTTAAAGCCAGGACACAGCCCTAAATTGTGTAGGGAACCTAAAATCCAAGCCTGGAAGTGGTGTATCCGGTGAGGTCATTAGGGTTGATTTTCCGAGCTAAATAATAATAGGCCAGGTGCAGTGACTCACATCTGTAATCCCAACACTTTGGGAGGCCGAGGCAGGAGGATCGCTTGAGCCCAGGAGCTTGAGAGCAACCTGGGCAGCACAGTGAGACCTCTTCTCTACAAAATAAATAAATAAATTAGCTGGGCATGGTGGCACGCGCCTGTAGTCTAAGCTACCCAGGAAGCTGAGGAGGGAGGATCGCCTGAGCCCTGAAGGTGGAGGCTGCAGTGAGCCTTAATTGCACCGCTGCACTCTAGCTTGGGCAACAGAGTGAGACCCTGTCTCAGAATAATAATAGTAATAGTCATCATCATCATAAATATTACTAACTTAGCACTCATCCTGTGCCACGCCCTGTACTGGTCGTATAAATGTTAATTCAATTCATCCTCATATCAATCTCAGCTTATTTGTGCTTTTAAGCACTGCCAGATATGCCTCCGCCAGGAGGGAAGGATATGGTGTTCGCATTAAACGGGGATTGCTGACAGGGGTTATGGGGAGGCCCAAGAAGATGCAGGGCCAGCTGAGGGGCCTGCTACTTGGTGCCCAGCACTGGAGACTTGACCGAATTCAAGGCCAGGCTCCTCTTTTTATAATGTGTGTATCTTGGGAAAGTTACTTAACTTTCTCAAGCCTCAGTTTTTGCACCTTAAACGGGGTCAGCCTGGGGATCTCCCCTCCTGGCCTGATTGGGATTCAAGTCTAAACCAAGGGTAAGAAAACATCGTCCATGTGATGGTGACTGGCCTAAAAACAATTTGCTGCTGATGATTGCAGAACCCCCTCCCCAAACTGCAGTTTAGAAGCCACACAAGCAAGTAAGTAAAGATGCCTAATGAGTAATAAGAGCAAACACTTACCTGGTTCTCACTGTGTCTTACTGCTGTGCCAGGTGCTTCACTACATTGACTGATTCATACCTCAGAACACACTTGCCGGAAAGGCATTATTATCCTCATTTTGCAGAATAGGAAGCCGAAGCACAGAGAGGTTAAGTAACTGGCCTAAGGTCACCCTGGGGGGAGTGGCAGAACTGGACTGGAACCAGGCAGCTGGGCTTCATCATCCGTCCCTTCAACCTTTTGCTGCATATCAAAAGTTAGTGTTCACACTTTTAAGAGGGCAAACTAGATGACCCAGTGGTTGCAACTCCTTTGGGGTGAGTCCCCTCTCTTCACCGAGGCCTGATTTTTTTGTAGTAAAAATCTTCTAATTATGATGACAAAGCTGAATGTTTTCAGGCAAGATCTTGTTTACTGTCATCTCATATGATTGTGTTTTGTTTTGTTTTGTTTTGTTTTGAGACAGGATCTCACTCTGCTGTCCAGCCTAGAGTACAGAGGTGTGACCTTGGCTCACTGCAACCTCCCAGGCTCAAGTGATCCTCCCACCTTAGCCTCCTGAGTAGCTGGGACTATAGGAGCACTCCACTACACCCATGTAATTTTTAAAATTTTTTGTAGAGGTGGGATCTCGATACATTGCCCAGGCTGGCCTCCAACTCCTGGCCTCAAGTGATTCTTCCCCTTTGGCCTCCCAAAATGCTGGGATTACAAGAGTGACTGCCCAGCCTACAAACAAGCCATTGTTGGCAGGGAAAGGCACATTTTAAGGATTGACACGGTGGGACAGGAAGAGCCCTAAGCTCAGAGTCAAAAGGACCTGAGCACTAACGCTGGTTATGACATGGACTTGCATACATATCCTTGCACTCCTGGGTCTCCAAACACAACAACTGGCATCATTGCTCACAGTGTGCTAGGAACTATGACAAGCATTTTATATGCATCACAATAAGCCTTTGAAGCTTGGATTATCACCCTCACTTGGAGGATGAAGAAACTGAGGCTCGGGAGTGTGGACAGGGGGTGGTCCTTAGATCCAGGAAGGGAAGCCAACACTGCTCTCTAGGCAGGGAGGGAGAGGCGGGGCAGCCTGGTCTCTTTCACAGCTAAGAATAGTTAAAAGGCAATTACGATGCTAATTTCAGCACTAATGGCTACAGCAGCTGAGAGAGCGGGAGCTGAAAGGTGCTGTTAGCAGAGAGTTGCTAGCCAGGGCCTGCAGACAGTCCCCTCTCCCTGGAGACCCCTGGGCCGTGGCTGAGTCACAGCAGAGACACTGGCTCATTAGGCCCTAAATAAAGCAGCCACTGCTCCTGGACAAGGCTCAGCTCTTCCAGGTCCTTCCGCAGTGTCCCTCAGAGTGAAGGGAGAATAGCCAGCAGTCTGGGAGGGCACTGTGGACCTCATGGGTGATAAAGATGCTCAGGAAATCCCACTTTTCCCTCCCCCTTTCCCTCCCTTCCTGCAACAAGCACAAAAACAATAACAACAACAAAATGTGTTTGTCTATTGGAGGCAGGCTGCCTGTGGCTTACCAGCCATGTGGCTTTGAGCAGTGTATTTTATTTCCTGTGCCTCAGTCTCCTCATCTGTAAAATGGGGTTGACAACAATAGTACCCATTTCATAGGGCAGTTCTCAGGTTTAAATGACACAGCTCCGGTAAAGCCCGTGGCATGATGCTCACACTCAGTAAGTACTCAATCAAGAGTGAGCTGCTGGAATGGGGGTAACGTCAGGCAGTGTGCTGGGGATGTCATACCAAGATGTACAAGGTCCTGGCCTTGTGCTGGAAGGACAGCTAAGCCATTAGAGAACAGCTTGAGAGGTAATGGGGAGGGCTGAGGAGGCAGTGGGGTCACAGCGATGGAGAGTGGCTGGCAGGGAGAAGGCTTTACAGAGGAAGTGACATCTCAGCCAAGGTCACTAGTGAGTTTGAGTTCAAGGTGGAGGATGCTTTCAGGAGATTTCTTCTCCATAACTGTCCCATCAGCAAACCCATCGGTGCTCAGCAGAGCCCACTTGTCAGTCACACACATGCCGTTGTCTGTCTCTCAGAAATCAGGACTCAGTTGAGGTCAGGAGTTTGAGACCATCCTGGCCAACATGGTGAAACCCCGTCTCTACTAAAAATACAAAAATTAGCTGGACATGGTGGCGCACTCCTGTAGTCCCAGCTACTCGGGAGGCTGAGGCAGGAGAATCGTTTGAACCTGGGAGGCGGAGGTTGCAGTGAGCCGAGATTGCACCACTGCACTCCACCTGGGTGACAGATTGAGACTCAGTCTCAAAAAATAAAAATAAAAAATAAAAAATACAGATTCTAGTCCCACCTCCAGAATTTCTGATTCAGTAGATTTAGGAGGGGAGCCTCATAATTTGCATTTCACAAGAGTTTCCAGCACACAGATGCTGCTGGTCAGGTGACACTTTGGGAACCCACTTCTCTAGCCTCGTCTCCTCCCACTACACCCCATGCCCTCTCCACACCACTTTTTCCCCACTCTATACCTTTGTCCATACTCATCCCTCTCAACAATTCCTTTCCCCATTCTTACCTCTTATCTGTATGGAAAACTCCTACTCATCCTTTGAAACCCAATTCTTATGCCACTCTTCCTGGGAAGGTTTCTCTGACCCTTCTAGGTATGGTTATTTCCATCTGCTTTCTCTCTCTCTCTTTCTTTTCTTTCTTTCTTTTCTTTCTTTCTTTCTTTCATTCTTTCTTTCTTTCTTCCCTTCTTTCTTTCTTTCTTCCTTTTTCTTTCTTTCTTCCCTTCCTTCCCATCCTTCCCTTCCCTCCCTTTCTCTCTCTCTCTCTCTCTTTCTTTCTTTTCTTTCTTTCTACAGGGTCTCACTCTGTTGCCCACACTGAGGTACACTGCCACAATCATTGATCGTCACAGCCGCAAACTCCTGGGCTCAAGGGATCCTCCCACCTTAGCCTCCTGAGTAGCTGGGACTACAGGCACTCACCACCATGCCCAGCTAATTTTATTTTATTTTATTGTAGATACAGGTGTCTCAGTATGTTGTTGCCCAGGCTGGTCTTCAACTCTTGGCCTCATGTGATCCTCCCACCTTGGCCTCCCAGAGTGCTGGAATTACAGACATGAGCCACCATGCCATGTCAGGCCCCAGAAAAGGTTTTTACAGATCCATTTATTGGAGCAGAGTTTCTCAAACTTGGATGTGCTCATGAATCGCCTGGAGATCTGGTTAAAGCACAAATGCTGATACAGTTGATTTGGGGTGAACCTTAGCTTCTGCCTCTCTCACCAGCACCCATGTGGTGCCAAGGCTGCTGGTCTGATGCTGGTCCAGTGCAAAGTAACTGCAGCCCTTCTCACCCAGCGTTGTCATGAGCTGTGGATGTGCCTGCCTCTAGTATGTGGTGTGCCATTGTGCCTCTCATCCCAACCCAGCTTTCAGTTACATCACATTGGTGGCTTGAAATCGGCCATAGTGAAAGTATCTATATCACAAAAATCAGCAAATGCTAAAAATCAAGCCTTTTTTCCCTGGAACACAGAAACGTTTTCAGCACACAACTGCCTCCTACTTACCCCCGACTCCCCACCCCAAACCTAGACGTTTCTTGAGAACGAAGACTTTCCTTTTATCAGCTGTGTGTCTCCAAGGGTTAGGCGCTATTTTCTCAACCCTGGCTGCATGTTAGAATCAGCTGAGGAGTTGTAAAATAGTGACTCCCAAGCATGAAGCGGGTGGGTGGGTAGAGCCCAGACATCAGTATTAAAAAGAGGCCGGGCACGGTGGCTCATGCCTGTAATCCCAGCACTTTGGGAGGCCGAGGCGGGCGGATCACCTGAGGTCAGGCGTTCAAGACCAGCCTGGCCAACATGGTGAAACCCCATCTCTACTAAAAATACAAAAATTAGCCGGGTGTGATGGCGAGTGCCTGTAATCCCAGCTACTTGGTAGGCTGAGGCAGGAGAATCACTTGAACCCAGGAGGCGGAGGTTGCAGTGAGCTGAGACCACGCCATTGCCCTCCAGCCTGAGCAACAAGAGCAAAACTCTATCTCAAAAAAAAAAAAAAAAAAGAGCCAGGTGAAAGTCTGACCCAGGAATACAGAACAAGATGATGGAATTTTGAACTAAATTGACTAGAAGACATTTTAAAACAAAACTAAACTAAACTAAAAACTAACCCTCTGAAGCTGCCCTGCTGGTTTATAAGGAGGTCTATAACTCCAGTTTGAAAAGTATGAATGCATGCCTGGGGTCCTCTCTGCTCTAGCCCCCACAAAGCCTGCCTGAACAACCTGTTTTCCCGCCTCTCTCCTTGTCTAAGTAGGTGCAGAAGAGTTAGTCACAGAGGCCAGCGGACAGCATGGGCTCAAGAAGCACAGGCATGAGACAGGTACCTGCATTCTCCTCTCCCCAACTACTGTAGACACCATGAATCCATCACCCCGGAGCTCAGACTTCACCTCAGAATCCCTCCCATGTGGCCCAGGCACCTATTTCCAAATATGCAGAGTTGATACCTGAATTCAACACTGTGTGGTCTGAGTAGCAATGAAAATTGCCTTCCCCACCTTATTTTGTGACCCCTTTAATTATAGGTGGTTTCTATTTAATTGTCTGCTCTTATCTCTGGGCTCTTGGTTCTGCTCTCTGCCTCTGTGCCGTCTCCTGATGCCTCCAGTTCCCCAGCGTGAGTGGCATTTTGCTTTGGAACTGGGCACAGGGTCTAGCATACATCAGGTACTTAAACCACATGTGTTGGTATTTGAGAATCTATGAATGGAAAACTAAGCTCTCCTGGTGTTTTGGTTATCTATTATTTCATAACAAGCTACTTCAAAGCTTACTAGCTTAAAGGGAGAATAGTTTTATTTGCTCATGATTCTGTGGGTCAAGGACCTGGTCAGGGTTCAGCTGGAGGATTCTTCTGCTTCACATGGTATTATATGGCTTTACTCATGCAACTGGTAAATGATACAGACTTAAAGAGGGCCGCTCCACGTGGCTGCTTGGGCTTCTTCACATCATGGTGATGGTGTTCCAAGAAGGAGCATTTCAAGCCGCAAAGGTAGAATCTGCTAATTTCTTAGGGCTCAGTCTCAGAGTTATACGGTGTCACTACTGTCACATTCCACTGGCCAGACCAGCCACAGAGCCAGCCCCAATTTAAGAGGAAGGGAAATGGATTCCACTTCTTTTTCCTTTCTTTCTTTTTTTTTTTTTTTTGAGATGGAGTCTCGCTCTTTCGCCCAGGCCGGACTGCAGTGGCGCTATCTCGGCTCACTACAAGCTCCACCTCCTGGGTTCATTCCATTCTCCTGCCTCAGCCTCCCAAGTAGCTGGGACTACAGGCGCCCGCCACCACGCCTGGCTAATTTTTTGTATTTTTAGTAGAGACAGGGTTTCACTGTGTTAGCCAGGATGGTCTTGATCTCCTGACCTCGTGATCCGCCTGCCTCGGCCTCCCAAAGTGCTGGGATTACAGGTATGAGCCATCGCGCCCGGCCTGGATTCCACTTCTTCATGGAAGGAGTGGCAAAGAGTTGGCAGCCATCTTTAACTCACCAAATCTGGGGAGTTTACGGGTATGGGACCCAGTAGGTGCCCAATAAATATTTCTTAATGAATGAATAAGTAAACTGCATTGCCAGAACTGGCTGGGCTCCCCCAGTTCATGCCTTTTCACCCAGATCCCAGGCCTGTCCAGCATCCCCTTGGACAAACTGAGACTTCACTTCTGACCCAGCTTCACATTGCAGCAGTAGGGTGGTGGGTGAATTCCTACCCCCAGCCTGGCATGGGTGAGGCAAGACGGGGATGAAGGCCTTAAGAGTGGGGATCCCACAGCAGGGCATGGGTTGGAGCTTCCTACAAATGAGCCACACTTGGGGGCAGGGAGCCTGGGCTGCCCTGGGCCCAATTCCATTTCATGGAGTTGGAGAAAATGCTTTTTTTTTTTTTTTGGAACACTAGAGGCAGAGAGCAATCCGGGTTGCTATGCAACCAGAGCCTGTGCCCAGCTGATAACACCAGAGGAATTAACTGTCCTTGTCCTGCTCAGGCTCTGGAGGAGGGGCTGACGGCTTTCCAATGCCTCTGCCTCAGCCCTGCCAGCTGAACCTCTGGCCCTGTTATAAATGGGGGAGCCTGGAGCCAGGTCCCAGCCCCCTCTCCTTGCTTCACAAAGAGCAGCCAGGGAGATCCCCTTGTCTCCTGCCAAGGGGGCACCTTGTTACAGTGTGAGGATGGGGCTGCCTGAGGGTCCCTTAGACTCAGGGTGTCTCTGTCCTCTTTGATCTACTAATGAGCTGTGAATTAAAGACGAACCTGAACTCAGAGGGAGTCTTTAAGAAGGGGCGGGCTTGGAGTGAGGACAAGATGGGCAGAATGAGGGCAACTCCTGGGGCAACAGAGACACATAAGTACAGCTTCACCAGGGACCAGCCAGCACTGACCACACAACCCCCGAGGTCCGGGGAGAAGCAGGTCCGGAGAAGGCAAGATGTCCTGGTGGGCAGAGGAGCTGTTTGCAGGGCGGCAGGACTTTGGCATCATTGGAAGACCAAGAACACTCATGTCCAGTGTCTGAAAAGCTGAGGGCAGCCTGTTGGGGGGATTCAGGGGGTGAGTGGGCGAGACCCCGGGGGCCGTATTTAATGTGTTCATCCCTACACTAGACCGGTACTCCTTAAGGGCAAGGAACATGTAACATACGGGATTCAGAGTCAGACCTGTGTTCAAATCCAGCTACTCACAGCTGTGTGACCTTGGGCCAGGCACTTCACCTCTGTGAATTTCCATCTTCTCAGCCACAAAATGGAAATAATCATATCTACTCTCAGATTTGTCATAACAATGAAAGAGATCATGTATCAGGTTGAACCACAGTAAACTGGCATTTTGTGGGTAAAAACTGGTGGAATCTTGGCTCTTTCATTTGGTTCAGCCCAAAATGTCAAGCACTGAGCACATAAGATCATTCAGTAAACAGAAGCAGCTATTATTGTCTTTTGTTGTGCTAGGTGGTCCAATGTGCATGTTCAGTGAATGAATGAAAAAAAAAAAAAAAACAGGATCAGGGCTGAACAGGGGCTAAGTTGCAGTTGGCTGCCCCCAGGGCCCAAAAGATGCTGACAGGCATTATAGGAATCCTCGCCTGGGCCGGGAGAGTGACCCGATGACTCCAGGAGGCTGAGATCACAGCCCCTGCCTGTCTGCTCTGGGCATGGGAGAAGCATCACTCCCCACCCCTTGCCTTCTGTGTTTATTTCTCTTTCTTGCCCCACTTACTGGGCAAAAGTCTTGTTTTCAGGTTACCATGGTTACCATTTACTTGCACACTTACACCATGCCAGGCTCCAAGCTAAGCACTTTGCAGGCATTAACTCATTTACTCCTAACAACCACCTAACTTGAGTCTTATTTTTTTAACCCTTTGAGGTAGGGTTTTAAATTTTATTTTAGCAAGGTATAGTTTACATGCATACAATTTACACACTCATTTTCAGCATCCAGTTCAATGAGTTTTGACAAATGTATATTTCCATGCAACCATCACCACAATCAAGAGGCAACATTTTCATCAACCCCAGAAAGCCCCCTTGGAACCCTTTGGAGTCAGTTCTCCCACGGATTGTCCCAAGAATTCTCCCCTCCTGCAGCCCCAGGCAACCACAGCTGTGCTTTCTGTCACTGTAGATTCGTTCTGACTTTTCCAGCATTTCATATAAATGGAATCATACATGTCTACGTTTTGTGTCTGGCTTCTCTTGCTCATCAGTGGCTTGTTCCTTTTAATTGCTGAGTAGTTATGGACTGAATTGTGTCTTCCTCAATCCCTCAGAATTTGTAGGTTGAAGCCCTAACCCCCAAGGTGAGTGCATTTGGAGATAGGACCTTTAAGGAGGTAATTAGGTAAAAGGAACATCATAAGGGCTGGGCCCTGGTTCATAGGACGGGTGTCCTTATAAGAGGAGGAGGATGCCAGGAATGCAGGCACACAGAGAAAAAGCCATGTGAAGACACATCTGCAAGCCCAGGTAAGAGATCTCAGGAGAAACCAGCCCTACCGGCACTTTGACCTTGGACTTCCAGCCTCCACAACTGGAAGGAAATGCATTTCTGTTGCATAAGCCACTCAGGCTATGGTGTTTTGTTATGGCAGCCTGAGTTGGTGAATGCAGCAGTGTCCCACCAGGTGAGCACAGTTTCCTTATCAACCAGAGGGAGTGGTTTTATAGGTGAGGACAATGAGACTTAGAGAACCCCAGCTAAGGTCCCACAGATCAGCAAAGAACTAAGACCTGGTCTGTGTGACTGTGGGACCTGTGCTCCAACTGGACAGAAAACAACATAGGCAGAGAACTCTTTTGAAGGCTGGGGAAGTAAAGTGCCCTGGGGGGTTCCTGCCTGCACCTGCTGGAGCCCAGGGAACCCTGCCTGGTGGGAGGACACAGGTAAAAAGGAGATACCCTGGGAGAGTCCTGCCAGGCCTCTAGTCTTTGCCCTCAGACACGAGGATACATTGACTGGCACTCGGTAGGAGCCCAGCTGGAGGGGTGGCAGTGCCCCCAGGCTGGGGAGAGCAGATCCAGTGACTTAGTGAGGGACAGGGACCATCCTGGGAAAGATTCTGGTGAAGACTCTGCCCTGCCTCCCTGATCCTCAGTCTACTCATCTGCAAAATGGGGATGAGAATTTGCCTTTGCTGATCTCACAGAGGAGGGAGGAAAGAAGAGGGTGAGAGGAACAGAGAACCTCATCCTGCCACACCAAAAGGTTGGATGGGGAGAGTGATCACTCCCATTTCACAGATGAGAAAACCGAGCTCAGAAAAGTGATGGGACACTGGGATCTGGGCCAGCCCACCAAGCAGAATCCCCACTGCTGATTGAAATGCTGCCTCCCAGCATGGGCTGCTGGACCTTTAGTACCACAGGACAGAGATGCCATGATCAATGCCTGCCTCCCCTGTGGGCAGGAAGGGCATGAAGGCAGGGGTTCTGTCCAGTTTTGTTCATCTTCATATCATCTAGTAGAGTTCCTGGCACATGGCAGATAACCAGCCAATATTTGTGGAATGAATGAATGATAGCCAAAAATACAAAAAATTAGCTGGATGTGGTGGCACACACCTGTAATTCCAGCTACTCGGGAGGCTGAGGCAGGAGAATTGCTTGAACCCAGGAGGCGGAGGTTGCAGTGAGCCGAGATTGCACCACTGCACTCCAGCTTGGGCAATAGAACAAGACCCTGTCTCAAAAAAATAAAAAATAAAAATAGAGAAACAGAAAGTACAATGATGGCTCCCGGGGTGGGTGTAGGGAGGGATGCAGAATTCGTGTTTAATGGGTACAGAATTTCTGTTTGGGAAGAGGAAAAAGTTTTGGAGGTGGTCACGGTTGCACAACAATGTGAATGGACTTAATGCCACTGAATTGTGCACTCGAAAATGGTTAAAATTGTAAGATTTTTGTATGTATATTTTACCACAATAAAAATATACATACCAGCCGGGCACGGTGGCTCATGCCTGTAACCCAGCACTTTGAGAGGCCCAGGCAGACAGATCACCTGAGGTCGGGAGTTCGAGACCAGCCTGACCAACATGGAGAAATTCCGTCTCTACTAAAAATACAAAATTAGCTGGGCGTGGTGGCACACGCCTGTAATCCCAGCTACTTGGAGGCTGAGGCAGGAGAATCGCTTGAACCTGGGAGGTGCAGGTTGCGGTGAGCCGAGATCACACCATTGGACTCCAGCTTGGGCAACAAGAGCGAAACTCTGTCTAAAATACATATATATATATATATATATATACACACACACACATATATACATATCATAACATTTGCTGTTTTAGCCCTTTTGACTGTGCAATCCAGTAGTGGCATTAAGTCCATGCATATTGTTGTGAAAACATCATTTTAAAATTACAAAAACAAGCATGGCTACATTACAAAATAAAATGTAAAATTCATGTGAATATTTGAGAGGAAATCATAAAATTTCACAAAAGAGCAACTTGTGTGGCTGCCTTGGAAGCTTGGAATGGCAGCTAGTTCTGTCTCATTCATGGCAGTATCCCCAGGTCCCATCACAGGGCTGTAGACAGAGGACACCATGAGAACATTTGATTTTAAATGAAATGTCAACTCATATTTTAATTAATTAATTAATTAATTTTTGAGACAAGGTCTTGCTCTATAGCTCAGGCTGGAGTGCAGTAGCGCGATCATAGCTCACTGCAGCCTCAACCTCCTGGGCTCAAGTGATCCTCCCACATCAGCTTCCTAAGCAGCTGGGACTACTGGCACATGCTGCCACGCCTGGCTAATTTATTTTTATTTTTTATTTTTAGTAGAGACAGGGTCTTGTCCTGTTGCCCAGGCTGGTCTCAAACTCCTGGGTTCAAGCAATCCTCTCACCTTGGCCTCCCAAAGTGCTGAGATTACAGGCATGAGCCACGGCATCCAGCCTTCAACTTTTATTTCAGATACATTCAGGGAGTACATGTGCAGGTTTGTTATACGGGAGTATTATGTGATGCTGAGGTTTGGAGTATGGATCCTGTCACCCTGGTAGTGAGCATAGTACCCAATAGGTAGTTTTTAACCCACCCTCCCCCTCCCCCATAGTAGGCCACAGTGTCTACTGTTCCCATATTTATGCCCATGTGTGCTCAACGCTTAGCTCCCACTTATAAGTGAGAACATGAGGTATTTGGTCTTCCGTTCCTGGGTTAATTTGTTTAGGATTATAGCAAGAATAGTGTTTTGAATGGATGAATGAATAATTGAATGAGCCAATGGGTAGAGTTCATGTTTGCTCCAAGCTCACCTGCACTTTCCTCTTCCCTTAGGGCCCTTTTTTGGGAAAATGTCAGGGAATATTGTCCCACAGTGTTTCTGACTCAGGGGCATTTCCTGAGCCCAGGCCTTCTAGAGGGAGTGGCTCAGCCCCTGAGGATTGGCGCCAGCCTGGGTGATGGTCAAGGGCTCTCCTGCCCTTCTCTAGGCTCCACTGTACTCCAGCCTGGGCAACAGAGCAAGACCCTGTCTCAAAAAACAAAAAACAAAAAACAAAAAACCAGCATGACAATAAACATTCTATTGTAATTTCCCAGATTTCAAAGGAATCTTTTTACTCATTATTTTAAAAGCCTGCACAAAACTTCATCTATTCAGCCAGTCTCCCTATGTTTCGTTTCGTTTCTTTTCTTTTCTTTTTTGAGGTAGGGTTTCGTTCTGTCACCCAGGCTGGAGTGCAGTGGCACAATTATAGTTCACTGTATCCTCAAACTCATGGATTCAAGTGATCCTCCTTCCACTTCCTGAGTGCACACCACCATGCCAGACTAACTTTTTGATATTTGGATGAGACGAGGTCTTACTATGTTGCCCAGGCTGGTCTCAAACTCCTGAGCTCAAGCCATTCTCCCTACTAGCCTCCCAAAGTGCTAGGATTACAGGCATGAGCCACCACGCTGGCCCTTATGTTTTGACATTAAATTGTTTCACAATTTTCCATGTTAACCATATTAGTTATGATGAGTTAGGAAGCTATTTGGCCTGGACCCTGACATCCTAAATCTTGGAGCAACACCTACAAGCCCTGCAAAGTCACCTTGGAGATACAGGCACCAGGGACAAGCCAGGTCATACTTAAATTTTATAATTTGTGGGGGCTTTGGTCCCAATGACTTCTGTGGAAACCCAGATCTGCCTCCCAATTCTGGTCTAAGTCTACTTCAGCCAAGGGGATCTCTTTCTTCTATGCCTGGGGTCCTGCAGACATAACTCCTCCTGGCAATGGAGTACAGAGGCATCAGCAGCCTGGATCTTCTCTTAAAGTGAAATTGTGCAGCCAGCATAAACAATGCTGAAAGAATTAGCTTCACGATATAGCCTTTCCACAATTAGAGATTATTTCCTTAGGCTACAAATCCAGATCAACTGAGAGGAAGAATCTGAATGTTTTAACTACTCTTTGAATGTAGTAAAGTTCTAATAGAAATGAAAAGAGGGGACATGTCCTATAAGGTGCTTTTCCCAGTAGCCCACCTAATCTGCCAACCTTGTCCTTCACTTCCTTTACCAAGCATGGTGAGGAATACAGAAGCCAACCAGGCCCAGGGGCTGGTCTGCTCAGAACCCAGGCCAAGAGGAAATGTGGGCACCCACGTCTGTGAAGCAGGAGGAAACCCACTTCATGGGATTGAAAGGGAGGAAGCCTGAAAAGCTCTTCCCATAGTTCCTGGTCCATGCTGGGACCCAGGAGATGCTAGCCATTGCTCTCAACTCTTTACATTTTAGCTCTCATAAAAGGTCAAAGCGGGTCTAAGTCAGGTGGCCATAGAGTATAGGGTTCTTTTGTTTTTGTGTTTTTTTTAGAGACAGAGTCCTGTTCTGTCACCCAGGCTGGAGTGCAGTGGTGTGATCATAGCTCACTGCAGCTTTGAACTCCTGGGCTCTAGTGATCCTCTCACCTCAGCCTCCGGAGTAGCTGGGACTACAGGTACGCACCACCATGGCCGGCTGATTTTTAAATTTCTTGTAGAGGCGGGGTCTCCCTTTGTTGCCCAGGGTGGTCTCAAACTCCAGGCCTCAAGCCATCCTTCCATCTCGGCTTCCCAAAGTGCCAGGATTACTGGCGTGAGTCACAACGCCCACCCAAGGTGCAGGGTTCTGTGAAAGGAAAAGGCAGACAGAATTTGGGGTATTTTTTTTCTTTCCAATAGAGAAGAAAAATCTCACTGAAGGAGGAAAGTGGGGTCTTGGCTAATCATAATCTCTTTGCATTTCCCCATCCCCACCCCTGGTTTAACATCAGCTGCCGCCCCCACTCGCCTTCATCCCATGTGCTTTGTGCCCCCACCCCCGTGACTCATACTCCTCAGATCCATCAGGGCCCAATTGTTCTCCAGGCCTCCGGTCCAAAGCTCTTGATGGATTTAGTAATTGGGGTAATTACGGTAATTTTACCTTAAAGACAGGCAGCTGCAGATTTTCTATTGGGGAGCCCCCTCCCTGGGCCTCCTGCCAGCCAACGTACAGGAACAATGACAAGTGGCTCCCACTCCCCTGCCCCAGAATGCAAAGTGGTTGGGGATGGGGGTGGGGAGTTCTCAATAGAAGGCATCTCCCACCCTCTCAGCAGCCCTGGGAGGCAGGCACGGGACAGCAGCACGGGTTTGCCAGGAATCATTTTCCTTTCTACCACCCCAGCCTTGGAAAAACCAAGAAAAGGGGATGACCCCCTCCCCCAGCCCACCATCATTCCCTGCAAGTCTGTGGATGAAGTCCCTTATGGATCCCTAAAAGCTTCAATTCCACATATCCTGTGATCTCCAGGTGTGAGGAGCAGGCAGGAATGATGGGTCCTTGGAGGTGGTGGCCCACACCTGCCCACAGCCAGGTACCAGGCAGCATCGTCCACCGTCCCTGGAGCAAGAGCCTGGGCTGCCCTGCCCCAAGCGGCAGACTAAGGAATATTCACCCCTGTCCCAGTGCTCTCAGATGCCAAAGAGCCAAGAGCTAAGGAGGACTTCGGAGGTGGAGGACTTGGGAGGTGGGAGAAGCTCTCTAAGCTGAAATCAGCTTAGAGAGCTTCTCAGAGAGGAGCAACTTGAATTAGGCCTTGAAGAATGTATGAGACTCCTTTGGCGTGCCGGGGGCAGTGAGTCCCAAGCCTGTCTCTGGAACAGATTAGCAGCACAGTCTCCTAAAGGAGGATTTGGGGGCTGCATTTAGGGGAGCTGAGGGTAAGCCTAGGGCATTCTCAGAATTCCCAGGCAGGGCGGCTTGATAGATGTAAATGTTTCCTGTCTTCCTAAATCTCTCAGGATCCATTTGCAGCCCCTGCCCACTCTGCCCCCTGCCCGCTTGCCTTCTCTCAATTCCAGCCACACCAGCTATGCAGAGTCCATCTCAGGGCCTAACATGTTGTTCCTTCTGCCTGGGATGCTCCCTTCCACCTCTCACCCACTCACCTTTCAAGCCTCAGCTTGATATCACTGCCCCAGAAACCTCCTGGGAAACCCCAGATCCAGTCCAGCCACCACCCCCCAACCCTATATGTTTGTGTCTCCCTGTCCTTCTTCATTGCATTTACCGTATTGTGAGTATAGAAAAATGTGTGTGATGACTGATTTCTTTTTCCACCCGAGTGCAAACTCCAAAAGGAAGTTCTGTGTGGTGTTGAGTCAATGTTCCATTCCCAGTGCCTAACTCTCAATAGACATTTTTGTTGATTGCACGTTGAAACTTTTCAACAGGCAGAAACTGGAGTGGTGGGAATGCATTCTAAGAAAAGGGGCCAACGTATGCAGAGGCTGTGATGCAGGAGCAGACAGAGTGAGTTCAGAGGACACTGGGGCCAAAAAGGGGAGGGGAGAGGGAACAAGGAGGCAGGCAGAATAGCTGGGAGGGGCTCTCTCTGCTTCATGGGAGTTAGGGCTGGGCTTTTGGGTGGCCCCTGCTAGTGATGAGGAACCTTGGCGAGAGTGAATCTCCTTCCAAGGTGTCTCCTGGAGACACTGTGCCTTGGAGCAAAGGGATGCTTGAGTTGGGGAGCTAGGGGCTGGGAGAAGGGTGGAGGAATCAAAGGTCAGATAAGGGACATGGTACCCTACATTAGCCCCACGGGTTTGTAGAAATTACTGAGAACATAACTCTAGTTAATTGAATTTCCAAATAAGTGAAGTGATACTGTCGACCCAATCCAGATCTCTCAAGCTTGTGACTTCAGTGTGCTCCAACAAGTCCCGCGGATGGAGTCTTCCCTCCAACACACACAGGCTGGACGTTCAGGGGTATGACCACCCAAAGCAGCCTTGAGCAGTAACTGACCATGATGGGGGCTTTTTTTTTTTTTTTTTTTTTTGACAGGATCTCGCTCTGTCACCCAGGCTGGAGTACAGTGATGTGATCATGGCTCACTGCAACCACTGCGACCTTGACCTCCTGGACTCAAGTGATCCTCCCACCTCAGCCTCCTGAGTAACAGGGACCACAGGCATGTACTACCACATCCAGCTAATTTTTAATGTTTTTAAACTGTAGAGACAGGGTCTTCTTTGTTGCCCTGGCTGGTCTTGAACTCCTTGACTCAAGCGATCCTCTTGCCTCTGTCTCCCAAAGTGCTAGGATTATAGGTGTGAGCCACCGTGCCCAGCCCAGAGTGGGCTTTTCAATACTCCTGCTTCCTTGCTTCCCAGGGGTAACCAACCCTGAGAAGTGTCTCCATGGTCTCCCTGGGTTCCCCAGTGGGATTCAGCTCCAGTCACCCACACAGTAGCTGGTGCGATGCGGTAGCTGGTGTGATGCAGTAGCTGGTGTGATGCGGTAGCTGGTTTGATGATGCGCTGCTTATTGGCGCCTTCCCTTGCCTGTCTCATGTCTCCACTCCCCTGCTGCTGTTTCCTTCGCCTCCCACATAAATGACTTTCACTGGAGTCCTTGTCTCACTGCCTGCTTCTGGGGACCCACACTGAGACGCTGCCAAGCCAGGGGATGCCCGCAGGGCACTCTAGGGACTTCCTAATGGAACATCCAAGGCCTGGGCTCCACTACTACCTTGGCCACTACAGGCAGAGCACCCCTCTGTGTGGTCCACATGTGCCAATTGGCCTCACTGTGGTCTTTGTGGCACTAGGCCTTTGCGACACTAGGCCAGACTGGTGCTCCCTGTGTCCTGGGGCTACCTGCAGTTGTTGGGGGCAGGCCACTTCGGGCCACCAAGAGGCATGACCAGTGTGACATGGGAGCATCAATGAATGGCCAGAGGGCTCAGCCCTGTCCTCCAGCACTAGGGAAGTGGAGGGCATTCGTAGTTGCGGAATTTGTCAACTTGTCCTGCTTCTCACCTCCCTCCTTGGGGGTCCCATTTCTCCACCTCGCCCACCTCCCACAGGGGCCAATGAATGGCCCAGATCCTCCTAGGATTGGACCCCAAAGGCCCCGCCCACAGTTCTGGCCAGCCAATCACTGCCTCCGTTGAAGATGGGTACAAAGGGAGGGGTCTGGGTGGAAACAGAGAGAGAGAGAGAGAGAGAGAGAGAGAGGAGAAAGAAAAGAAGAAAGAAAGAGAAAGAAAGAAAGAAAGAAAGAAAGAAAGAAAGAAAGAAAGAAAGAGAAAGAAAGAGAGAGAAAGAAAGAAAGAGAGAGAGAGACTAGAGAGAGCTCCTGGGGAACCTGATTCAGCTCCTGGGGAACCTGATTCATCCCTTAGCCCAGGCTGTCCCAACAATCCCTCTGACCTGCACACAACGAAAGCGTCGACAAGGGCTTTGGCCGAGATCTTTCTCTTCCTTTTATCTGCAGAGCTCCTCTCCCAGCTCATCCCGTGGCTGGCCCCTTCTCATCATTTTGGTGTCGGTTCAAGGGTCGCCTCCTCAGACAGGTCACATCTGCCCCACCCCAGCACCCATGGCTCCTGTCCATGCTGATGGCTTTCTATTGCCAGAACCTAGGACTCTGCCTAGATCCTCCTCTGGCAGAGGAGGGTGCTGAGCCTGCCTGGGGGACCAGGTAGAAATGCCGGGGGGCAAACGCCCTGGGAGTAGTCCTCCACCAGTAAGTGGTGGGGGTTGGTGGTTAACACTCTCCCTTCTTTACTCCACGTGTCAGCGGCGTATTCTACGCGGCTTCCCGGGAACCCCTGCAGCGTGGAGTCCCAGTTGCCCGAAGCCGTAACCTGCTCTTTAGCACACCTTCACTGGCTTCTCCCCTCCCCGCCTCACTTCCCCATTCCTCCACTGCGTCTTTCTGGGATCACCTCCCAAATAAGCACCCTGCCCTCTGGTTCCTCGTTCAGGGTCTGATTCTGAGGGCACTCAATCTAAGACCCTTCCCTGGCCCCTCAAAGCAAAGATTCGCCCACATTCCCCACGTCCTCTCTCGTCTCTGTTTTACTTTTCTCAGCAGAATTGTATTACAATATAAAATCTTTTCATTTCTAGGTTAGTATATCTCTCGCTCGCTAGACTGTGAGCTCCACAAGGGCTGGGACCTTCCTTGATTTGCTCATCACTGTGGCCCCAGCCTAGCCCAGTGCCAGGCACACAGTAGGTGCTTGATATAATTGTTGCGTGACTGTAGGTTTCCTCATTTCATCCTCATCATCCTCTTTGGTGATCTAGAAAGAGCAAACTGAATCTCTAGGAGCATAGAGATTCAGTTTGCAAATTACCTGCAAATTTTGGTTTGGGCAAATTACCTGCAGCCCCATAGCAATAAATGCAGCCTCTCCCAGGAAAGCACACACCTGAGGGCCAGGTGAGAGTCCGCCCCTGCTGAGGCTCATTTCCACCCTTTGTCCAAGGAAACTCTCCTGGTTGAAGACATCTTTACAAATTCCATCCTCCTTCCTCTCAGAAGATGGAGGCAGCTAGGAGCTTCTATTAGCTTACTAAGACTCCTATAACAAACACCACAGGGTGGCTTAAACAACAGAAGTCTATTTTCTCACGGTTCTGGAGGTAGGAAACCCAAGATCAAGGTACCAGAAAATGTGGGTTTTGGTGAGGCTTCTCCTAGCTCGCAGACAGTTGCCACCTCACTGCGTCCTCGCGCCGCCTGTCCTCTCTGCTCTCGTGGGGAGAGAGAGGGGGCTCTGGTGTCTCTTCCTCTTCCTGTGAAGACACCAGCCCTATTGGATGAGGGTGCTACCCTTAGGACCTCATTTTACCTTCATTACTTCATTAAAGGCCTTATCACCAAACACAGTCACCTTGAGAATTAGGGATTCAACATATGAATTTTGGGAGGACACGATTCCATTCACAACAGAGCTCCTTAAGAGAAACATGATGCCACCCTATGCTGGCCCAGACCACAAAGAGCCCGGAGGAGCTGGGCACCCACTGTGAGCTATGCTAATATAGCTAACCCGGCGGTGGAGCTGGTGCAGGATCATCAATCATGACGATGCCACAGAGTAGAAAAAGATGAGCCCTCAGATAGCACCGAAGATGAATGGAGAAACTGACATGTGATTAAACTGGGACCCTCTGCTGGTGGCTGACAGCCCACTCTGAGTGCAAAGTTAGCACAGCAGGGCCTGGGCTCTCAGCACTCACAGAGGAACCTGCCTCACCTCCTGCCAAGGGTAAAGGATTTTCCCTCCAACCACACTGCATCCTGTCATCCAGACCCTGGGAATGAGTGAATGAGGTGTGCAAAGGGACCACCGCAGGTGCTGGGAAGCACAAGAGGATAGTACCATTAGTCACTATTTTAGGCTGTCTGGCCTTTGTTAATAATTAATAATAATAATGAGAGCACTGGCTGAGCACTTGCTATAAGTACTTCAGATGCATTTTCTCATTTTCATACATGAACCCAGGGAAGTGAGAGTTAAATAAGGTGATAAGGGCAACAGCTTCCAGAGCAAACAAAGGGACAGAGAGGGATTCATCCATCCATTCATTCATTCATTCATTCATTCATCCAGCCAATTTTTATTGAGCATCTGCTAGTACCATTATATCCACATCATATCCATCATATCCATAGAAGTGAGAAAAGCCCACATAGTCTCTGCCTTCATGGGGCTACATCCTAGTCAGGGAGACAGAAAATAAAAAACTGACTCAATAAGATAATTTAGGATAGTAATAAATGCTAGGAAGAAAATTCACCAAGGCAATTCCAGAGAGAGTGACAGAAGAAGCAACTTCAGATAGGGTAGTCAGAGATGGCCTCTCAAAGGAAGGGACATCTGACCTGAGATCCAAAGGCGAAAGGAGCTGGCCATGGAAGTAGCTGGGGGAAGAGTGTTGTGGACAGAGAGAACAGCAGGTGCAAAAGCCCAAAGCAGGAATGAACTTGGGATGTCTGAGGAGTTGGAAGGAGGCTCATGTGACTGACTGGCTCTGCAAAGTAAGGTGGGAGGGAGTATGAGTGAAGTGGTGTCACAGACATAGGGCTTCATAGGCCAGGGTAAAGAGTTGGGATATTTGTTTAATGGGATCCCTCTGGAAAGTTTTCAGCAGGAGGGCTTTCAGTAAGATTGAATTTATATTTTTAAAGGCCCACAGTAGCTGCTATATATGAATAGAGAGGAAAGCAAGAAGGGAGAGCAGTTAAGAGGCATGGAGGCCATCAAGGCCTTGCACCATCTGGTGTCAAGATGTAAACTCTTAACTATTTTAGATTATCATCATTCTCATCAGTCACCACCACCACCACCATCATCACCACCACCACCGCCACCATCATCACCACCACTGCCACCATGATTATCATCAGCAGCACCACCAACACCACCATCATAATCATCATCACCATCATCACCACCACCACCACCATCATCACAATCATTATCATTACCATCATCAACACCACAACTAACATCATCATCATTTCCATCACCACCACCACCATCATCACCACCACCACCACCACCATCATTATCATCACCAGCACCACCAACACCACCATCACAATCATTATCATTACCATCATCAACACCACAACTAACATCATCATTTCCATCACCACCACCACCATCATCACCATTACCATCACCATCATCAACGCCACTACCACCACCACCATCATGATCACTATTATCCAAGGCATCGAGATGGTAGTAGTTTGGATTAGGATGGTAGTAGGAACAAAGGAGTGAAGTGGATGGATTGGAGTATATTTTGGAGGGAGGTCCAAAAGGCTTGTAGGTAGACCATGGGAGGTAGAGAGGACATTGGTGAACAGAAGTAGCAACTCTGGCTGAATCCCTTGGTATCTCCCCAACTTAAATAATTTGTCCAATTTTCCTACTGCTGTTCTTGACTCTTCTTGCTGTCACCTATCAGGCACTTGATATTGCTTCAGGAAATCATGGTGTGACTGAAAAAGCCCTGGATTTGGAATCAGGCATCCAAGTTTCTCACCCTGCGTGTGACTTTGAATCCATGGTTTAACTTGTCTGAAACTCAGTTTCTTCATCTGTAAAGTGGAACTATGGTAACACTCACCTCATAGGATTGTGGGGCTAATGCTAGGCTAAATTCATGCTTCATCACATCTTGGCTCTTCAGATGGGGCTGCTAGGGAAACTGAGGCCGCTCAGAGGCTCTTAACCAGCTACAAGCTTCAAATGCTCTATTGAGGAATTCCAGGACAAATGTCAATCCCTCCTTACTAGGTCTCCTTGGTTTAAGAGAAATACCTTCTCTCATTCTGAGATTATTTGTATTGTGGGATGAGGGAGGGAAGAGGGGACATTGAGGAAGTGACCATTACCAAAACACTTTTAAATATGGGTATTTATGGCAAAACAGTTCATATTTATGGTCTAAAATAGTAGAGCTTGCATCTTGACACCAGATTAACCTGTCACTTATCAGCCATGCAGACAAGTAATGTTAACTTTCTGAGCCTTGGTTTTTCCTCTCCTATAAAAAGGGAATAATAACGTGTCACATAGGGTTGTTGTGAGAATCAAAGGAATTAATATCTGTAAAATGCCTGGTGCGTAGTAACTGCTTAGTGACAGCTGCCATCATCACCATCATTGCCCAAACTAAGATACTGGATTATTGTGAAGATCAAACTTGTCAAGCTCTTGGCATCATCACCATCATCAGTGGCAACAGCAGTAGCATCACCATCATTATCATCACCATCAGCATCATCGTTATTATCACCATCATCGCCATCACCATCATTACCATTATTACCCTCACCATCATCATCATTACCATCATCATCATCACCATCATCACCGTCAGCAGCATCACCATCATCATAACCATCAAAACCATCAGCAGGATCACCACCAGCAGCAGCAGCAGCATCACCATCGTAATCACCACCATCATCACCATCAGCAGCATCGCCATCAACACCATCAGCAGCATCACCATCATCATCACCACCATCACCATCGGCAGCATCACCATCATTATCCCCACCATCATCATCAGCAGCAGCATCACCATCACCACCATCAGCAGCATCACCATCACCATCAGCATCAGTATCTCACCATCATTGCCTCACAGGATGAAGCAGGTTCTGTTGATGCCCACCCATATCCCTTCAGCACTTGCCATCTGTGTACAGTGGCCAATGTCTACTTGCCAGTATCTGTATCTCTTCTTGAGGGCTTTCTCTGAGTATTGGAGCACACTGTGCCTGCACTCTGGCAGGCGGAAGTACCAGGAAACAAATACCTATACTCCTCAGGAGCAGCTGTCAACCAATGACTCACAGGAGTTGAATAAACACACTGGCTCCCTTGACCCTTGGGTAGGGTAACTCTGAAGGACATCTTCCATACTGTTTCTCAGAGTTCTCCAGTGGAATTAAGCTCGAGATGCCCCCAGTGGTAGCTTGCTTGTGATTGGGCACCCTTTTATAGACTGCCTCCCCCTCTTTCTCTCATATCCCCACTCTCTTGCATTTCTTAGGACCACTATTTGCATTTGAGTCTTTGCCTCACATTTTGCTTCTGGGGGAACCCAAACCGAAAACACTGGATTATTGTGAAGATTAAATTTGTGAACCTCTTGGCACATAATTAAATGCTCAGTAAACTCATTGTTAAGTGAACAAATAAGCGAAGCCTCACCTGGCCTGAGGATACAGACCCAGGGCAGAGGAGAAGAGGAAGGGTGAGACCTGGGACTGTAGGAGATGAGAGGATTCCCAGAGAGGCTGTCCCTGCAATGCCCCCACCCTTCAGCAATGGGTATCATTACTCCATGCCTCCCCATTCTGAGTTCTCTTCCTGCCCTCCCGCCCCCGGTGGTTGTGGGTTCAAGGCGTGGCTGGATCACATGGGCCAGAGCCCTTTGAGCAGCTCAGCAAGATGCTCTCGTCACCAAGCTCCCACGTCAACTCGCTGGAAGGACAACACCTACCGAGCACTGGACTGGAGAGAAAAACAGGCAAAGTAAATGTGACATTGAACTTGTTGTGCCTTTACTGTTTAAACAATTACGTTTACATATTATATCATATTACAAAATGACAAGATTGTACAAATCAACATGTAAAGCATGAGAGCTGTGAAGCAAAGTCTTCCTCTGTCCATTTCTCCCGGGGCTGGTCATGGCTACAATCTTGGCTTCCTCTCCCTGAGGCCCTAGCCCCTCATCCTGAAAGGATTCTGAGAGGGCAAGGGGCTTGTCCAAGGTCACAGAGCTCTCCTGGTTTTGTCTCTGGTGCTGCTGCTACTACACATTGTAGGGCCACTTTCGAAACAATTTTGCCTGGGGGGAAAAGACCCCAACTACCTCTTGATAAAGGTACTGCATTTTTAATTTTCCTCCAGTCTGGAAGCCACAGACAGAAGCCCATGGAGATCCAAGCGCCCCAAGTGGTGGCGTCATACAGCAAGCTTGGTGTAGGAAGCAACTCTCTGGAGGGCTGGAGGGTGGAGGGGAGTGAGGGCATTGTGTGCACGGTTAAAACATGAGAGCTGTGAAGGGAAGTTCTTCCTCTGTCCAGTTCTTCCAGGGCTGATCATGGCTACAGTGTTGGCCTCCCCTCCCTGAGGCCCTAGCCCCTCATCCCCTCTGAGTGGAGAGAGCACCACCCCTGAGTCTATTTCTGAGGGGTCTGAGAGGCATTTCAGAAAAGGAAGCCTTGGAATAAAACTCAGACCCTCCCCTGGAATAGCTTTGTTCTCATGCTGGGTACATGGACACAGAGCCAGCAGGGGAGAGGAGGAGGCATCCAGGCTGCTCCTGAGACTCGCAGGGTTTAGGTGGGGTTCTGTTTAAGGACCCACTCACCATGCGGGTTGGCACGGTACAGATCTAAGAGGTAGGCATCTGGGTCCAGGCGATGCTCATCTGTGGGAAGAAGGGGTGAAGGAGGTTGAGTGGGAGGCTGTAGGAGATGCTGTTCCCCTGCACAGAGCCCTTCACCAGGCAGTGCACTGTCCCCTGGCTGTATGCATCTTGACTGCTACAGCTCACAGCTACTTCTTTTGCTGGAGAACTGAGCTCCGCTGAGGGAAGATGCCTTGCCAGAAAAGTGACACCCCCTTTCCCCTGGGAAGCCCACGGTCGATGACTGACGGACACAGATGTACTGAAGACCAGTGCCCTTGCCTCAGAATGCAACAACTCTGATGTGATTTGTTCTCTAGAGCCACCTAGTGGATCAGGCCAAGCTCCAGGATGCGAACACTCCTGGCCCCTGCCCCTTCCCTATCCTCCTTCACTCTGTCCCTTGGAACCCTTTTCCTGAGGGGCACCCCCTCAATGCATCGTGTACTACTGAAGACATGTCTTAGCTTCTGCTTCTTGGCCAGTGGCCCTCAAAGTGTGGCCCCCCGACCAGCAGCATCTGCAACTCCTGGGAACTCATCAGAAACACACATTCTTAGGCCCCGCAATCTGTGTCTTAGCCCTCCAGGGGATCCTGAGGTTCTGGTAAAGTCTGAGGATCATTACTCTAGAGAATGCAAAGGGAAACAGCGGCCCATCCTTGGTTCCCACAGAGCCAGGGAACTCCCAGAGCTGGATATGTGTTTGCAGAATTCCTTAAGGACTCCTTGGCCCCTAGGCCAGGGATGAAGTCCATCCCAGCTAGGGTGTCCCAGAGGCGTCGGTTTCACTGGTGCTACTGTGAACCTTCACACTAAACAAATCTTCTGCATCTCTCTGCAAGCCTGAGGCCAGCTCTAGGCAAAATCCAAACTCCAGGATAGGCTCCTAAGACTTGCACAGGCTAACCTTTAACCTTACAGCAGGACTCCACCTGGTTTCATTGAAGACAGAGACCTGAAGGGAGGGCTCATCTGCAGGCCTACTCTGGCCTCCCACAGAAGGGCCCAGTGAGCCTTTGAGGTCGAAGAACTCCCAGGGACCCGGGCTCTGTTCCTGTTTCCCACAGTGGAACTTACTGATATTCCCTCCAACTTCATAGAGGAGGATGTTGGCTGACTCCATGGACCTATGGCTGTAAAACAGAGAGAGAGAAAAAAAAAACTACTGCCTTTTTCTTCTGGAAACATCAAGACCAACAACTGTGCATGGCCCCCAGCCCTGGAAAGGGCAGTCCTCACTGATTTTTGGTCCTGCTGGGGAGAAGCAGCATAAGGACCCTCCTGAGAGAGCTGGAGCCAGTGACAGAGTCCAGCACCCAGGGGCTGGGGAGAGGTAGCTGGAGGGCACGTGGTGAGGCTCAGCCAGGGGTGCACCCCGCTGCGAGGCCCCTTTCTTCTGGGCATCAGAATGGAGACTGCGAAGGCAAGGGAATGAGTGGTGACAGATGGGGACAGGAGCCTGCTGTGAGGGGAAGATTTTGAGTCAAGATGGATTATGGACATTGTATGATTACATATGATAATGATGCCTATCATGTAAGAATCACAATTATTATATGATAATTATGGGTATCCTGAGTTCAATTCCATGGCCTCTTTTCTGCCATGTGGCCTAAGGCAAGTCCCTTCTCTTTTCTGAGTCTTAGTGCTCCCATCTGTTCAAGGAGGAGCTGGATCAGATACTTGCTGAAGATGACAGTCTGAGGGTCCCTTGTGCCAATGCCAACAAGGAAGCTCTTGAGGTCTCAGGCTGTTTCCTGTACCCTAGGAATGATGGCTGCACATCAGCCCCCGACCTTCTTCCAGATCCTTGGCCAGGCTCTGCTCCTTGCTGCAGGACCTTTACTGTGCAGTTTTCTGTGCCTGGAAGCCTCACCTCGCTCCCAGATGACACCAGCTTCCTTGGCTTCCAGACACATTGTTCCCTGCATTTCTTATGAAACCTAATACAGTTTGTAACTTGATCTTTGATTCGTGACTATCTGCTTTATATCCAGGTCTTCCTCAGGACTGTGAGCTCTTAAGAGCAGGGCCTCTGTCTGTTCTTTTCATGGCTAGTCTATAATTCTCTTAATACATGGTGGGCCAGGTGCGGTGGCTCACGCCTGTAATCCCAGCGCTTTGAGAGGCTGAGGTGGGCAGATCACTTGAGGTCAGGAGTTTGACACCAGCCTGGCTAACATAGTAAAACCCTGTCTCTACTCAAAATACAAAAAAATTATCCAGGCATGGTGGCAGGTGCATGTAATCCCAGCTACTTGGGAGACTGAGGCAGGAAAATCGCTTGAACCTGGGAGAAGGAGGTTGCAGTGAGCCAAGATCGAGCCACTGCACTCCAGCCTGGGTGACAGAGCTAGACTCCATCTCAAAACAAACAAACAAACAAACAAACAAACCAACAGAAAAACATGGTGCCTGGTGGTAGGCATTCATTAAATACCTATTAAAGTGAATGAGTGAGTGGTGGTCATCATGATTATTACTTGGAGCCAAGAAACTCTCTAAGATTGGAGAACCCATCTGACCACCCCAGAAAGGGAAGGCCAGGTCAGGCCAACAGTATGTGTAACCCCCTGGTGGCCTTCAGCTCTGGGGTGCAGAGCCCTCCCTGCAGGGAAGAGGCTCCTGCCTCCAGGAGGTGCCTCTTACTGTAGAAGGAGGCTGTCCATGTCCTCACTGTCTTCTTGACCCTTGGAACCAGGGCTGAGGTGCTCTGTGAACTGCCTCAGGACGTGGGCCACTTTGGTGCTGGGGGTGAGAGGCACCTTCAAGGGGTCCTTGATAGGCCAGACCACCTGGATCTTTGCCACCTTGGGAGTCTGCAGAGAGAGAGAGAGAAAGATCCATATACATAAGAGTCAGCTTGCCTGGAGTTCCAACGTGGATGCATAAACACGCATACATGGCACTTACGCAAATGCCCACGCTGAAAATCACAAGATACACACACACGCATACCGGACACTTGGGCACAGATCACAGACATACACATTCCAGATGTGTGTTTGTGTTTCTATGCCTATGTTTGTGTTTCTATGCCTGTGTCGGTGCACTTGTACACACAGCAGGAGTACATGCAACGCACCCACAAACACAGACATGTAGGTTTGTATAAAGACCCATCACCCACACATCGTGCACGGTGCAGCCTCAACGCTCATCAATTTCTCTAATCGGGACTTTAATAAGGAACCGTGTTCAGGACCCCTCCTAGGAATACTCAGTATTTTTGGAAGGCTCTTCCCTTCTACTATCCCCCACCCAGCCCCAATCACCTCACACCCCGCAGAGCGACTCCCATTTTCCCAACCCTCGGCCAGGGGCTGCCGAAAAATGGGGCGGCGGTGACGGTTTCTAGGGGAAGTCTCCGAGTCACTCCATTTCCCCTCCCCAACCCGCTTCTAAGCCCTCGTTTCGCAGCCACGCCTCCTCGCTCCCCGTGACGGCGCCGCAACGCCCCCTGGTGGCCTCACTGGGCCGTTGCTGGCAGCCCGGTAGCGGGGACCTGGAGGAAGGGAAGCACCGCGCCCCAGGTGCCCTCCTGTCGCCTCGGCCCTTCTCCACCTGTCTGGGGTCGGGGGCACTCACCGCCTCGAGGCCGTCCCCCGCCTTGTCCCTGTCTGCGTGCATCCTCCGCAGCCAAGTCTTGAGGCCTGCGTCGCAGAGCTGGGGGCGCCTGCTGCTACTGTCGTTCAGTTTTCGCACCTGGGCGACCAGGAAAGAGGCGACCTGGCCAGAAAGGATCAAGTTTTGGCAGGGGGATAGGACTTCTGGGGGCGAGAGGCAGAGCCCTCTCCAGGGTCATCGTGGCCTCTTCCCTGGCCCAGCGTCCCACAGGGCTTGGAAATATGCATTTGTTGGACACGGGACGGAAGCACTGGTTTGGTGGAATGAGGAGGGGGCATTCAGCCCCTAAAGTGGACCTTGGAGTAGGGGACCCTGAGAGTGGAGCCCACCCTGAGGCTTAGTGGATAGTGGTCCCCTCGACAGAAGCTGGAGGGTCCTGCACCTGCTGAGGGATAGCTGCTCACTGGCACACTCAGGCAGGGGTGTCCCCAAAACACACCTGGAGCAGGCTCTGCTCTGAGAACCCCCAGAGAGCCCACACTGGGGGATTCCTACAGAGACCTCCAGATCAACCCATGCCTCTCTGTGGGATCCGAACCCAGCAGAGTCAGAGAACCCAGACTCCATGGACCCTGCTAATAACATGTTTCTGTCTCCCAGGGTCTGACGAAACTGGAGTCGATTCTGAATTCCCCTTTTTGCTGCTATGTGTGTGCTGTCTAAAGGTGACACACACGGGGAAGAGCGAGGGTGATGGGGGTTCTCCCCTTTCACTTTTTCTACATCTATGTTTTCTGAAGCTTTTCTAACAAGAAAACATTCAAGAATTTCTTGAATTTTTAAAGCATCCTCCAATAAAAAGAAGTATTACAATCCAATGTCTTTCAGTAGCAACATTATCTCAAAGGGCTGAGTGCAGAGAAGAAAGGAACTATGGGGGTATAAGGGGTGTATGAGGGAGGAGTAGGGGACTTTCGACAGAGGAGTTGACTTTTGAACTAGGAGGTCTTGAAGAATGAGCAGAGGACACCAGGCTTCTGCCCTTAGAAAAAAAAAAAAGGGAAGGGAATTCCAGGCAGAGTAAACTGCATAAGCAAAAATTCAGAAGTGTGAAGTACTAGATGAGTTTGGAGTGCCAGCTGGCGTTTGCTGTGTTTAGAACACAGACGAGTGCCCAGGCAGGGTAGGAAGAAAAGTGGGAACAGTCAGAGAGGGCTTCACTTGCTGGTTTCTGGAATAGGAAATCTAACCTAATGACCATGGAAGAAGGAAGGGATAGAGGGAAGGACTGTGGGTGGATGGATGGGTAGATAGTGGGATAGATGCATGGTTTGGTAGATGAGTGGATGGATGGATGGGTAGATAGTTGGATAGATGTGTGGTTTAGTTGGATAGATGCATGGTTGAGTGGATGGGTGAATGAGTGGGTGGATGGATGGATTGGTAGATGAGTGGAGAGATGCATGATTGGTGGATGGGTGAGTGGATGATAGATTGGCATATGGGTGGATGGGGGAGTTGGAGGAATTAATGGATTGATGGGTGGGTAAGTAGATGGGTGGGGGGGATAGGTGGGTGGGTGAGTGGGTGGGTGACGGGCAGTTGCATAAATGGATGGGTGGGTGGATGGATGGATGGGTAGGTGGGTGAGTGGGTGGATGGATGGGAGACTGAATGGAAGGATGAATGAACAGATGGAGGGAAGAGGCTACGCATCGCTAGGTGAGAAAGCAGCCTGGTCAGCAGTGGTAGATGGTGCTGCCTTGTGTTCACAGGAGTCTCAAGAGCTGGAGGGGTCTCAGTGCTAGGGGCACCATGCATGCTGACACCGCAGAGGGGCCTCTCTCCTGCTCTGGCTCCTCCCCTTGCTGTCACTTGTTACTCAGGGCAAAGCTCACGGTGGGGGCAGGAGGGCAGGGGTATCCCTGTTATCTGGTTCTGGGCTCTGTCTTAGGCAGGCCCTGTGATCCTGGGCCTCAGGGATGGGGCTTTCTCAGCAGCATAAAAGCTTTGATGTGAAGGAATTATTTGCAGGAGTTGGGGGAACTCCTGCAATCTGGGGTAGACCAGATGGCAGCAGACTGACTGAGAGGCATGGCAGTGGAGACAGAAAGTGAAGACACTTCTTCTTGGTTACTAAGGCAGGGGGAGGAAGAAAACACAGGCCTGTGCAGAGGCCAACAAAGGTCCTGGAAGGGACACACTAGGGAACTGAAAGGACAATGCCCAGGCTCCTGGAGAGCAGGGGCGGCACGGCAGCTGCACCCAGAGGGATACCCAGCGCCCAGCAGCACTCACCGTCCACAGCAGATCCTGGTAGTGCACCATTATCTGCACCACCTCGGCTGCCCCTTCTGCCAGCTGCTTCTCCTTGCCTTTGGGGAGCTTGGGGGGCCGCCCTTGGTGCAGAAAGAGGTTAGGGGCCATCACGGTGGAAACATTCCTCAGAGTCATCTTGTTGTGCTGTTCCCGGGCCACCACCTTCCTGAGGAATTCCAGCAGTGCCTAGGGAAGGGTGCAGAGCCTCCCTCAAATCTCAGCCCATCCCTGGCGCCTCCCCACCATCCCCAGGGCATTCTGATGAATGATAAGGGGGTGCTAGGAAGGAGCCAGGAGCTGGGAGGGCAGCAAGAGGGGCTCCCGTTCCAGCTGTGTCACCGGCCCACTCCATGACCTCTCTGTGTCTCCGTTTCCTGCTCTGCAGTGTGTCCAAGACTCTTTCCCTCCCCTGCTCCCTCAGAGACTAATGAGACAACTGGGTCAGACTTCAACTTCCAGGTAGAAAAGGGCCACAGGTCTGGAACATGGGTCATTTCCTGGTGAGGCCCAGGATAGCTCCTTCTTTCTGGAGTCTGGGTCTACCCAAAATGCAAAGGAAGGAATAGAGAAGCAGAGATGCTGGGAGAAGCAGAGACACTGAGAAGAGCAGCAGAAAGTGATGAGAGCTACCACTTACTATGTATTCTTTGTGTTCCTGGGCCTTTAATTGGTACATCTCATTTAATCCTCACAGAAACTTTATAAGGTAGGTTTTTTTTGTTTGTTTTTTGTTTTTTTTTTTTTGAGTCAGAGTCTCACTCTGTCTCCCAGGCTGGAATGCAGTGGTGTGATCTTGGCTCAGCTCACTGCAACCTCTGCCTCCCAGGTTCAAGTGACCCTCCCACCTCAGCCTCCCAAGTAGCTGGGATTACAAGTGTGCACCATCACACCCAGCTAATTTTTTTATTTGTAGTACAGACGGGGTTTCACCATATTGGCCAGGCTGATCTCGAACTCCTGACTTCAAGTGATCCTCCCGTCTTGGCCTCCCAAAGTGCAGGGATTACAGGAATGAGCCACTGTGCCTGGCCAAGGTAGCTCTTATTATTGCATGTGTTTTACAGATAAGGAAACAAGCTTGGAGAATGTGCCAAGAGTCATATAGCCAGTAAGGACAAAGGGACGGAGTGAAGAAGGGAGGGAGGGATGGATGGATGGAAGGATGGATGGATGGATGAATGGAGAAAGAAAAGATTAATAGATGGACGAATGAGAATAAATGGGTGGTGGAAGGAAGAATAAATGGAAGGGAGGTGGGAGGGAAGGAGGGAGGGAGGGAGGAAGAAAGGAAGGGAGAGAGGGAGGGAGAGAGGATAGGAAAAGAGGACACATATTGAGTACCCTGCAAAGCATCATCTTCTACCCCATGATTCCTCATGAGTTAGCTTTTATGATTTCCAAAACAATTAGACAAGATGCTATTAATGCTATTATCATCCTCAGTTTACTGAAAAGGAAGCAGAAACTCAAACAGGAAGACCCGGGGCCTCCTCAGGCTGATCCTGGAGGCACATCTTGAGTCTGACTGAAGGACAGTCAAGACGGTACAGGGAGCTGGGCCAAGGCCCTGCATCCATTCCCATACGACAAGGAGAATTTGCTAAGGGTCTGTTTCCCAAACTGGTTCTGCATGGAACACCAGTGCCATGCAATGCTTTCCACAACAAAAGAGGTCTGTGATCAACTGAGTTTGGAGAGTGCTGCATACTCTAATCCCACTTGGAGATTCTCTAAAGCCTCAATATACCAAAGGCTTTGAGAAGTCCTGGGGAGAAAAGTATTCTTAACCTTGTTTCATGAACTCTGTGTTTACCCATCCATGCTTGGCCACAAGGTGCTAACACCTGTTAGCACCACGTGGAACTGACGCTCTGCAGTGCCCACTCCGGGACTATCCCCTTTCAGGACTCATCTACTTTCTTTAAGAAAAAGTCTCAAGAGAGGTTTGTGTGGGTCATCACTGAACCCTAGCACCTGGCAGAGTTGTTGAATGAATGAATGAATGAATGAGCACATTTGAAGCCATGGCTGTGGCTGTGGGCTGAGATGGCAGAGTGGTGGTGGTGCATGGTAACTCTTACCTTTAAGGCATTTCTGTTGGGTTCTGGGAGGATGAGGATGAGCAGGTGAAGAACCTGCAGGCGCTGCTTCAGGTTGGGGATGTCTGCGGGAAGGGAGGGACCTCAGTCTCCATGGGAGGCTCAGGGACTCCCTCCCTCAGTCTGGTCTCTTCTTGGGGAAATTCCAGAGCTGGAAAGCCAGGGGACAGCCAGGAATCCCTTTTTTCATAAGGTGTGGGACTATTTCCTTGTCTAATGTTGGCTCAGACAGAGCCCTGACCAGTGCTCGTGGGAGGTTCACTCGCTATACTTTGTGTAACAAAATAAACACACGCATGCATGTGCAGGCAAGCACATGCCGCACAGACCTAGATGCAGTCCAGGCTGCAGCCCAGGGTCAGAAATGCAATGAACCAGCAAATCACCCTTAGGAAGGGAGACAGAGAGCTCAATGGGCCCAGATAGAAGGTTTTCATGAAACCCTCTGTGTTGTGAGGGTTGAAAAGGAAAAGCTGTCTCACACCTGGTGTCAGGATCTCCGGGGAGAGGAGGTAGGTAGGAGGAGGTAGTAGTTATAGATTCAAAGAAGGAGTTCATCAGAGCCAGACAAGACCCAGCAGCTGAGAGCTGGCTGGAACCTGGAGAAGAGCTGCGTAGGAGACAGAGGCTGAGCACCCTGGGCGCCAGGCCTGCGACCCCATATGACCTACCTACCTACCTTCCTTCCTTCCTCCCTCCCTCCCTCCCTCCTTCCCTTCTTTCCTTCTCTCACTTATCAACAAATATCTATCAAGTACCTGTCAGGTGCTGTGCTCAGTCTAGGAATCTTGGACACAATAGTAAAGGAGGAAAACAAAGTCACAGGCTCATGGAGCTTACATTTCAGAGAGGAGACATAATACACAAGCAAAGAATAAATCAGAGTATGATGGGCATCATTGCATCATTATAGAGGCTGGCAGGCAGCATGATGTGTGGGGTCACGGAAGGCCCCTCGCAGGCAATGACAGCCAGCTGGAACTTGAATGGCAGAAAGCAGCCAAATGAGGGTGGAGGGAGGTTCCATTCAGACACAGCAGCAAGTGCAGAGGCCCCAGGGAAGGAAAGAGGAGGGGGAACAGCAAAGCGAGAGAGCCTGGCCAGACAGTGGGGAAGGAGGGGCCCAGGAGGAAAGGGGGCCAGAAATAGGCAGGACCTGAGCCGGAGGAGGTGGGCCTAGTAAGAAGTGGAATCTTATTACAAGAGTGCTGTGGAGGGTGGGCAACAGCATAGGGAAGGAATCTGATTTATGTTTTGCAATGAGGTTGAGGCCAAGCCTGATGGTTCATGCCTGTAACCTCATCACTTTGGGAGGCCAAAGTGGGAGGATCGCTTGAGGCCAGGAGTTTGACACTAGCCTGGGCGACATAGCGAGACCCCCGTCACTACAAAAAAATGTTAAACAAGTATGCCAGGCGTGGTCTCATGTGCCTATATTCTTAGCTACTTGGGAGGCTGAGGCAGGAGAATCACTTGAACCCAAGAGTTCAAGGCTGCAGTGAGCTAGGATCATGCCACTGCACTCCAGCCTGGGTGACAGAGCAAGACCCCATCTCTAAAAAAAAAAAAAAAGAAAGAAAGAAGAAAGAAGAAAGAAGAAAAGAAGAAAAGAAGAAAGAAGAAGAAAGAAGAAAGAAGAGGAAGAAGAAAGAAGAAGAAAGAAGAGGAAGAAGAGGAAGAAGAGGAGGAAGAAGAAGAAGAACAACAACAACAACCAAAACGCTGCGGTCGTGAGAATCAAAGGTCAGAGAGGACCTCTCAGGATCCCTGTCCCTAGCTTGGGGGTAGAAATCAGACTGCCTGAGCCTTGGAGCTTTTTGGAGAATTCAGAGAGACAGGGAGAACCTCACGGTTGTGAGTGAGATCTCAGGAGAGCTGCTGTATTTTTTTGAGAAAAATAGAAGTGACTATCTTTGTTCATTGTGGATTGTGAAGAAGTCCAGACAGGAACATATATATGCAGACTATACATACAGCAAGGTCCGTGCAACACATGCTGATCTGCAGATGTGCACACAGATGGACATGCACACACATGTGTGCCCACAGATACACAGGTAATGATGCTGATAAGCTCAACCCCATGGATGTCAAGATGTGAAGGAAACTAGTCCACTCATCCATGTGAGAACTAATAGGGACTGTAGTGTGCAAAACCTTAGCCTCCTCTCCTCACACACCTGCACACATGCCATACAACACACGCAGGACACGCGTGCACATGTGTATGTGCACACATTGGGCTCACATGTTCACACTTGCTTCTTCCCCCATCAGTTGGACATTTCTGGAACAGACATTTCCAGGAACACGGAGTCCTGCCTTTGCATGGCTTCCCCTCTCCACCAAGGCCAGTGAGCCAACTCTCCATCCCTGCACAGGCTAAGGGCTTGGGCACACTCACTAGGCACCACGGCGAAGGCCGGGAGGTACTCAGCCGTGAGCAAAGGTGTCGGCAGCTTCCGGATGAACCTTTTGAGCAAATCAGAGGCGTCATTGTGATGAACCTCGTCCCAGCTAAAAAGGCCAGCATAGAAGTCTCTCTCCAGTTTCTGTTCCAGCCCCTACAGGAAGGCGGGGCATGAAAACACAGTTGGCCCAGGGCTCTGGTAGAAGTCGCTCTACCACTTCTCTGGGGCTTGGTTTCCTCATCTGCAAAGTGGGGACAACAAGAGCACCTCCCTCGTGGGGTTGAAGTAAGGACGAAATGGTCTAACGTGCGTGTCACTGAGCACAGAGCTCTGCTCATTAAACGTTGGTGGCCTGACTCCAGGGCCCACACTCTCTGCCACCATGCTCATCATGCCACCTTCAGCCTCTCAAACCCTCGACCCACACAGAGACCAAAGACAGATCACTGGCGAGTCAGGGACTGGTTTCCCTCCCGGCTTAACACACATGTGAGCATGGGGGAGATGCAGCCTCAGTGAAGCCAGGAAGCCAAACCATTACCTTGACCCTGGCCTGGGATCCGGGCACCCTGAGAATGCCTTCCATGTCCAGTCCTCTCTTTTCCAAACAGGACAGCAGCTGTCAGAAAGAGAAACCAGCATTTAAACCAGGAACCGCTGAAAAGCAGGATTCAAAATGGTGTGTTTGTCTCCCATGAAAATCAGAAAGAGGGGAGTACCAGGAGAAGGGTTTCCTTCGGAATAATATTAGTTTTTGTGACCACTTCCATGAGCCCAGCATTCTGAGAGCTTCATACACATTTTTCTCATTTAATCATTGATAAGAGGAGGATACTGTTATCATCATCCCAATTTACAGATGTTGAAAGGGAGGCTAATGAAAGTTCAAAAATCTACCCTTGACTTTAAGATTCAGAAGTTAAAAAGAAAAGAAAAGAAAATCCACCCCAAGGATCACTTGAGGCCAGGAGTTCGAGACCAGCTTGGGCAACATAGTGAGACCCTGTCTCTACAAAAAAAATTAAGACAAAAATTTACTTATTTATTTATTTACTTATGTATTTTTTGAGAGAGTCTCTCTCTGTTGCCCATGCTGGGGTGCAGTGGCGCGATCTCGGCTCACTGCAAGCTCCGCCTCCTGGGTTCACACCGTTCTCCTGCCTCAGCCTCCCAAGTAGCTGGGACTACAGGTGCCCGCCACTACACCCGGCTAATTTTTTTTTTTTGTATTTTTAGTAGAGATGGGGTTTCACCGTGTTAACCAGGATGGTCTTGATATCCTGACCTCATGATCCACCCGCTTCGGCCTCCCAAAGTGCTGGGATTACAGGTGTGAGCCACGGCGCCCAGCCAAGACAAAAATTTATAAAATAAAAACAACAACATCAACAACAACAACAACAGCAAAAATCCACCCCAGGTCTCTGAGCCAGCAAGTGCCAGAGCCAGAATTTGAACCCAAGTCTGCCTGATTCTAAAGCACATCCTTTCACCCCTTTGCTGGATGTCTCCTGACAATGGTCCCCTGAGCCAGCCTCTGAAGGATTAAATAAACCCAAGCTGGGGTAGGGGCGACTTACGGCTTGAAGGACCAGCGGGACCTGTGTGCTGGGGAGGACTTTGTGGTCAGCTTCTAGCAGGCTGTCAAGGGGCACACCAAAGAGGCGAGTTTCTGCAGAAAGTCAAAGAGCAGAGGCACATTTCACTTCTTGGAATGATCACTGGGCTCCGACCTACAGGATCTCCTGGGCAACTAGAATCAGACCCCTTTTCCTGTGGAAGGACTGAGCTCTCTAGAGAATGGTTGGACCCAAACCGCTCCTCTTGAGCAGAACATTAGGCCTCAGCAGTAATGTTTTCATTAAAACATTACTGCTGAGGAGATATGTCTCAGAGCAGAAAATCTTAGCTGGTTAAAGAAGTATTGAAAGGGCCGGGTGCAGTGGCTCAAGCCTGTAATCCCAGCACTTTGGGAGGCTGAGACAGGCGGATCACCTGAGGTCAGGAGGTCGAGACTAGCCTGGCCAACATGGCGAAACCCTGTCTCTACTAAAAACACACAAAAAATTAGCTGAGTGTGGTAGCGGGTGTCTGTAACCCCAGCTACTCGGGAGGCTGAGGCAGGAGAATCGCTTGAATCCAGGAGGCAGAGGTTGCAGTGAGCCAAGATTGCACCATGGCACTCCAGCCTGGGTGACAAGAGCAAAGTTCTGTCTCACAGAAAAAAAAAAAAAAGTATTGAAAGGGAAGCACGCTGCTGCTCCAGAAGGCACCAGGTATAAAAATGTAACAGCAGTCCTGGATAGAGCTCTGGCTCTGCAGGATGGGCCAGGTCCTAGAGAATGTATTCCCTGGGTCAATCTTAACCACCCTGGCTTGAGGTCTTCTCAGGCAAACTCCTCCTTCCACATTTTCTCCACACCTTCCTTCTTTCTCCCTTCTCTGGCCTACCCCACCTCTGCTAGATTCCTCCCCCTGGTCTTTTTTTATTCACCATCCTCTTGTCTTTAAAGAAACAAACCAAAAAACCAAACCAAAACAAACCAAAAAATCACAATGCATAATGTTGACAATGCTGCAGTGAAATGAACACTTTCATACACTGCTGAAGGGCAATATTATCTCAGGAACTTAACTCATAAGTATAATCTAAAGTAAGCTAAGATGCATTCAAAAGCATATATACAGCAGTAATGATTGTGTCTTATAATAGGAAAGACATGGGCATCAAAAATGTCCACTAATAGGGAAATGGTTAAATATATTAGAATACATCCACGAGGAGGAAAATAGTGCAGTGATTAAAAATCATGTTTTCACCAGGCAAGGTGACTCATGCCTGTAACCCCAGCACTTTGGGAGGCTGAGGTGGGAAGATCATTTGAGCCCAGGAGTTCGAGACCGGTCTGGGCAACATAAAAATACTGCATCTCTACAAAAAATACAAAAATTAGCAGGGCATGATGGCACATACCTGCAGTCCAAGCTACTCAGGCGGCTGAGGTGAGAGGGTCACCTGAGCCTGGGGAGATTGAGGCTGCAGTGAGCTGTGATCATGCCACTGCACTCCAGCCTGGGCAAGAGAGAGAGACTTTCTCTCAAAAAAAAAAAAAAATAAATAAATAAAAATCATGTTTTCAAGGAATATTTAATAGTTGTGGTAAATGTCACTATTGTTCTAAATTCATTACCCCTCTTTGTATCCACACCCTCTGCCATGTGAATTTGCAAATCTTCCCATTAGGGAAGCACAGCGTACTTCCTCACCCCTTGCTAGGCCATGTGACTAGTTTGGACCAATGGCATGGTAACCTACAAGATGCAAGCAGAGGCTTAAAATGCGGTACAGTTTGCCCTCTGAGCTTCTGCTGTCACCATAAGAACATCCTCCAGACAGCCAGCTGGTCCCAGGAGGATGAGAGACCTGTGAGCAGACCTACACTCAGCCAACAACTTGGAGCTAAGCCTAGATCAGCCAAGCTACGCCCAGTTTACTCATAAACATGTGAGCAAGAGTAAAGAATTCTTAAGTCATGAGTTTGGGGGTTGTTTGTTATGTAGCATTATCATGACAACCACTAAATGATACAATAACTGGAAAATGTCCATAATTCTATTATATATAATGTTCTATAATATAGATCTATAACTATAATATATTCTATTATATATAATGGAATTATGAAACAGGGTCTCATAGTTCTATATATATAGAATGAGACAGAGTCTGTCTCTGTCACCCAGGCTGGAGTGCAGTGGCATGATCAAGGCTCACTGCAGCCTTCACCTCCCGGGCTCAAGTGATCCTCCCACTTCAGCCTCCCAGGTAGGTGGGACTAGAGGTGTGCACCAGCACGCCTGGCTACTTTTTTATTTTTTGTAGAGACAGGGTCTCACTATGTCACCCATGCTGGTCTCAAACTCCCAGGCTCAAGTGAGCCTCCCACCTCGGCCTCCCAAATTGTTGGCATTACAGGTGTGAGCCACTGCTCCCAAACCATAATTATATAATATTAGGTGAAAAAAGGATACACACATATACACACAAAGGAAGATAATACACTAAAAGTGCTTTTCTGAATTATATTTTTTCCTTTTTGTATTTTACTCTATTTCACAAATTTCCCACAATGAGCAGGAATTGTTTACATATGCAGAAAAAAAAATGTAAACAGAAGGAATATAGAAGCTGAGCATGCTGGCCAGGCGTGGTGGCTCACACCTGTAATCCCAGCACTTTGGGAGGCTGAGGCAGGCAGATCACGAGGTCAAGAGACCAAGACCATCCTGGCCAACATGGTGAAACCCCGTCTGTACTAAAAATACAAAAATTAGCTGGGCATGGTGGTGCGCACCTGTAGTCTCAGCTACTCGGGTGGCTGAGGCAAAAGAATTGCTTGAACCCGGGAGGCGGAGGTTGCAGTGAGCCGAGATCACATCACTGCACTCCAGCCTGGTGACAGAGCGAGACTCCGTCTCAAAAAAAAAAAAAAGAAAGAAAGACAAAGCTGAGCATCTCTTGCTGGGAGAGTCCGTGTTCAGCTCCCTATGAGGACTGTGGCCACAGGGCTTTCCCTGGGCTGGGGCTGCTCACCTGCCGCTTTCCACTTCCCCGCCTTGCTCCTCTTCAGGTCCAAGCCGAGGATGTCACAGAGCGCGGTCAGCTCTATGAGGGCCAGAGAAGGTACCTTCCTCATATCCTGCAGGGACAAGTCTCCTATCCTCGTCACGCCAAGTCTGCCTTTGGGGACGGTAAACTTCTATTAATAGAGAGGGAAGTAAAGACAATTTGTCAGGCTATGAGTCTGATGTGTATTTTGGGGCTCCCCCTTCTCCCCAGGGCATTTAGGCAGAAGGAAGAGCAGCGTGGATAAGAGCAAGCACTCAAGAGGAGTCCATCCTCAAGTCAAGTCCAAGCTCCACCTCTTGCAAACGGAGTGACATTCTGAGGCTCTGATTCTCCATCCATAATCATAAAATAGAGCCTACCTCAGAAGGTTTTTGCACGTTTGTTTGTTTTTTTCTTTGGAAACACGGTCTTGCTCTGTTGCCCAAGCTGGCGTACAGTGGCATGAACACTGCTGACTGCAGCCCCGACCTCCTGGGCTCAACTGATCCTCCTGCCTCAGCCTCCTGAGTAGCTGGGACTACAGGTGTGCACCTCGACACCTGGCTAATCTTTGTATGTTTTGTAGAGACAGGGTTTCTCTATGTTGCCCAGGCTGGTCTCAGACACCTGGGCTCAAGCAATTCTCCCACCTCAGCCTCCCAAAGTGCTGGAATTACAAGCATGAGCCACGGCAACGACCTCATAAAATTTTAGCGGGAGCAAATGACCTAATGGATATAGAGTGCTTGGTACAGTCCCAAGCACATAGCGAAGCCCCAAGAAACAGAAACTGTTTTCACTGCCTGCCCTTCCACAAGAGGACCTGGAGAAGAGGGATCACCCCATGGGCTTCTTATTATTGCTTCTACTCTGGTCCTTTGTTCCTCTGCCTCACCGGCTCTGTCCCCAGCCTTGGCCATGCCACCGGCAGAAATAAAGAATGCTCAACCGTGCCATCTAGAGGCCACCTTGGGAATCTGCAGGCAGCTCCAGGCTTTCCTGCCGCCCAAGGTCAGAGAAGGCAAGCGGGAGGGCCAGGCTTGCTCAGCACTGCCTGGAGGGCGTGGCTGGACCACTTCCCAGTGCCCCTTTCGAGTGCTCAAAGGGAAAGAAATAGTAATTGATGCTTATAATACAGCCTAGTGCTTGCGGCATGGGCTATGGAGTCACATCCCCCGGGGTTCAAATCCTGACTTTACCTGTGAGTGCACGCAAATAATTTTACCTGTGTGTTCATCTGCAAAGTGGAAGTGATAACAGTATCTACTTCACAAGACTGTTGGTGGGATTAAATTCAATAAAGTGTATGAAACATGGTGCCCGACACATAGTGAGTACTCAATACTTACTACTACTTTTTAGTTTATTAACACAGTTATCACTAACTTAATAGAATGAAATTAAATCAAATATGTGAAGTACTTGGCATAATGCTTAGTGTGTGGTAAAAGATCAATATGTGATGTCTTTAGCATTATTATTATTATTCAGAGGAGAGTCTTGCTCTGTCACCCAGGTTGCAGTGCAGGGGCACAATCACAGCTCACTGTAACCTTGAACTCGGCTCAAGTGATCCTCCTGCCCCAGCCTCCTGAGTAGCTAAGATTACGGGCACACACCACCACATCCAACTATTTTTTTTTTTTTTGAGACGGAGTCTCACTCTGCCACACAGGCTGGAGTGCAGTGGCGTGATCTCTGCTCACTACAATCTCTGTCTCCCAGGTTCAAGCAATTCTCCTGCCTCAGCCTCCCAAGTAGCTGGGATTATAGTTGTGTACCACCACACCCAGCTAACTTTTGTATTTTTAGTAGGGATGGGGTTTCACCATGTTGGCCCAGCTGGTCGCAAACTCCTGACCTCAAGTGATCTGCCTGCCTCGGCCTCCCAAAGTGCTGGGATTACAGGCATGAGCCACCATGCCTGGCCCACACCCAATTATTTAAAAAAAATTTTTGTAGAGATGGGGTCTTGCTATGTTGCCCAGGCTGGTCTCGAATTTCTGGCCTCAAGTGATCCTCCCACCTTGGCCTTCCAAAGTGCTGGCATTACAGGTGTGCGCCACCATGCCTGGCCCTTTAGCGTGATTAATTATTATCATCATTCATAATTTAATGGAGAAACACTGTCAAAGAAAAAGACAAGATAATGTTGAATATTAATTATCTCTGATGTTTTAGAAATAGAAACTCATTATTAAAAAATTTTAGGCCAGGCGCGGTGGCTCACGCCTGTAATCCCAGCACTTTGGGAGGCCGAGGCTGGCGGATCACGAAGTCAGGAGATTGAGACCATCCTGGCTAACACGGTGAAACCCCATCTCTACTAAATATACAAAAAATTAGCCAGGCATGGTGGCGGGCGCCTGTAGTCCCAGCTACTCGGGGGCTGAGGCAGGAGAATGGCATGAACCCAGGGGGCGGAGCTTGCAGTGAACCAAGATTGCACCACTGCACTCCAGCCTGGGCAATAGAGCGAGACTCCGTCTCAAAAAAAAAAAAATTTAGGCCGGGTGCAGTGGCTCATACCTGTAATCCTAACACTTTGGGAGGCTGAGGCGGGCAGATCACCTGAGGTCAGGAGTTCGAGACCAGCCTGGCCAACATGGAGAAACCCTGTCTCTACTAAAAATACAAAAATTAGCTGGGTGTGGTAGCACATGCCTGTAGTCCCAGCTACTTGGGAGGCAGAGGCACAACAATCACTTGAACGTCGGGGGTGGAGGTTGTAGTGAGCCGAGGTTTTGCCACTGCACTCCAGCCTGGGCAACAGAGTGAGACTGTTTCAAAAAAGAAAAAATTAAATAAATAAATAAATAAATATAAATGTTATTTGATGTACTATGATTAATGGAAAATATTATCACTAAGAGAAACTAGGTGCAGAGTACGTGGGAGTTCTGTTTTTGCAACTTGCTGTGGACCTAAGAAAATTCCATTTGAATGAGTGAAAGTACTCTCACATTGGAATAGAGGCTACTGCAGGGGGTGGGGTTGGTTTCCTAAGCAGTAGAGAGTGGTGGTCAGTTGGGAAGGCTCCAGGGTCAGGCTGCCAGGTGTTCCTGTCCTGGCCTTTGTGGGAGCCAATTCTGTCACTTCTCCTCTCTGAGCACCATGATATGGTTTGGCTATGTCCCCCGCCAAATCTCATCTTGAATTTCCATGTGTTGTGGGAGGGGCCCTGTGGGAGGTAATTGAATCACGGGGGCAGGTCTTTCCCAGGCTGTTCTTGTGATAGTGAATAAGTCTCACGAGATCTGATGGTTTTAAAAAGGGGAGATTCCCTGCACAAGCTCTCTTCTCTTGTCTGCTGCCACATGAGACGTGCCTTTCACCTTCCACCATGATTGTGAGGCCTCCCCAGCCATGTGGAACTGTAAGTCCATTAAACCTCTTTCATGCCTTTATCAGCAGTGTAAAAACAGACTAACATATGCCACTTCTCTTTTTTTTTTTTTTTTTTTTTAGGTCTTGCTCTGTGGCCCAGGCTGGAGAGCAGTGGTGCAATCATAGCTCACTGCAGCTTCAACCTCCAGGTACAAGTGATCCTCCTGCCTCAGCCTCCCAAGTGGCTAAGACTACAGGCCTGCACCATCACACCTGGCTATTTCAAAAATTTTTTGTAGAGATGGGGTATTGTTATGTTGCCCAGGCTGGTTTCAAACTCCTAGACTCAAGCAATCCTCTCGCCTTGGCCTCCCAAATTGCTGGGATTACAGGCGTGAGCCACTGTGCCCGATCCTACTTCTCTTTCTTTCTATCATATAGTCAGGGAGCAATGAGGGCACTGGAAGCCTTGGGAACAATGCCCTGGGCCAGGGCAGCCCTCAGTAAAATGTTACCTAAGATTGCATCGACTGCATCATCACGTGGTCAAAGAAGAAACACTTCCTTTAGTAATAGAGGGACTGTGAAAGACTATATTTACTCCATGAGAGAAGTCAGAATAGTGGTTATTCTGCAGGGAAAGGAATTACCTGGGAAGGGCATGCGGGCACTGAGGGGGTGGTGGGGTAGGAAGTTTCTTTCTTTCTTTCTTTTTCCATATTACAAGCCATCAAGCAAGGGAGGAAGTTTCTGTACTCATTTGTTGGTATTTACACGGGCATACACACCAAGCTGTACCTGGTAAATATCTGTGCACTTAACAGCGAGTTATAGTTCAATCTTTAAAAACCTAACTATCAATGATTACATCCTATTTGGAAGGAACTATGCTGGGATAACTGAATATTTTGGGAAAAAAGAACGGCCAGGTGCAGTGGCTCACACCTGTAATCCCAGCACTTTGGGAGGCTGAGGCTGGAGGATTGCTTGAGCCCAGGAGTTTGAGACCAGCCTGGGCAATGTAGGAAGAACCTAACTCTAAAAAAAATTTTAAAAATTAGCTGGGCATGGTGGCATGCAACTGTAGTCCTAGCTACTTGAGAGACTGAGGTGTAAGGATAGCTTGAGCCTGGGAGGTTGAGGCTGCAGTGAGCTGGGATGGTACCACTGCACTCCCGCCTGGGTGACAGAGTGAGACCTTGTCTCAAAGAAAAAAAAAAGAAGGAAAGAAGGAAAGAAAGGAAGAAGAAAAGGAAGGAAGGAAAGAAGGAAGGAAGGAAGGGAGGGAGGGAGGGAAGGAGGGAGGAGAAAGAAAGGAAAGAAAGAGAAAGAAAAGAAAAACAAAGAAAGAAAGAAAGAAAAAGAAAGAAAGAAAGAAAGAAAAAAGAAGGAGGAGGAGGAGGGAAGGGAGGGAGGGAGAGAGGGAGGAAAGAACAGAACTAAAATATTGGGTCTCTCTCTGTCACTCCAGGCACTAAAATTAATTTTAAAAGTAACTAGAAAAACATGTTGATGGACAGTTATGAGCTTGCTGGAGGAGGGAGGGCTTTCTAAGGATAAAAACAAAGAGCATGGAGACAATACTGACAGGACTGTTAGACTGTAAGCATCCTGCTCCCCAGTCTTGATACCCAGCGGTCACTCAGTAAATATTTGTGGTACGAATTAAATGAATGAATGAATTAACAACTTTTGTGCTGGATGCCTGTCAGTGTGGAAGGTGTGAAGAGATGGGTGCTGGTGCCTGAGCACAGGGGGACCTAGCCAACCAGCCCTGTGGACAGCATCCTCACCGGCAGGGAACACTTGCCCCAGGCAGAGGTGCCTCCCCGGGATGGCCTGCTCCTCTGCAGGAGCACCGCAGCTTGTTCTGAGTAGGCAGAGTCCATGTTGAAGGCTTCTTCCCTCCCAGCCTGCTCCTGCAGCCCCCCAGGCTCTGCTGCTGCGGGGCGGGGGAAACAAAGCAGAGAAAGGCAGTGAGAACTGGCTGCCAGGAAGCAAGTGCTTGGGTTCGGGACTTAGGCCCTTAGTCCTAAGAAGTGAGCTCCCAAGCTCAAGTTCAAAGCCCCAGGATCAAATCATTAGGTTTAGGGCTCAGGCTCATTGCCCAGGAAGTGATTTCCTAGCTATGGCCCATTGCCCCCAGGAAATGATTTCCTAGCTAAGACCCTCACTGCCCCAGGAAGTGATTTCCCAGCTAAGGCCAATTGCCCAGGAAGAGAATTTTCCCATCTTGAGCCCCATGGGCCTGATGGCAACAGCTCACTTAAGGGCCCAACCTGTCCCCTCAGGGCTCCTCCCTACTGCCCTTGAGCAGGGAAGGCAGGGAGTCAGCAGGAAGCAGGAAATGCTGGGAGGTGTGCACATTCTCTTACTTCACAGAGCAGCCCTTTATGCAGCCTGGAGGATTCTCAGGGCCCTGGAGAATGAAGACCACTTACCTGGAGGAAACTTAGAGGCCCCGGAACTGAGCTGGGCCCCCTTCATACCGGAGTCGCCATTCTCTGACGACATTTTCTATGCAAATTACAGACAGTGCCCAATTACTCATGTGGGAAGCTGACAATGCTCACACAACCCTGGGAGACAGAAGCCACCCACAACCCCTTTTCACAGATGGAGCCACTGAAGCCCAGAGAGGCTGAGTTACTTGCCCAAAGTCCCACAGCTGCTAAGTCGGGGAATGGGCACTGGGGCCCAAGTCTGGCTGGCTCCAAAGCCTGTGGTTTTAATCACTGCTATGCCACTTCAGAGGTGCTCCAAGAAAGATGATGCCCACAACCTATCAGGCTTCAAGTGTCAGCAGGATACACAGTGACAATAAAAAAGTATTTTGTGCCAGCCGGGCGTGGTGGCTCACGCCTGTAATCCCAGCACTTTGGGAGGCCGAGGCTGGTGGATCACCAGGTCAGGAGATAGAGACCATCCTGGCTAACACAGTGAAACCCCGTCTCTACTAAAAATACAAAAAATTAGCCGGGCATGGTGGCGGGCGCCTGTAGTCCCAGCTACTCGGCAGGCTGAGGCAGGAGAACGGCGTGAACCCGGGAGGCGGAGCTTGCAGTGAGTCGAGATGTCGCCACTGCACTCTAGCCTGGGCGACAGAGCGAGGCTCAGTCTCAAAAAAAAAAAAAGGATTTTGTACTGATAATGAGGTAGGAGGTGGGACTTTGGCTGAAACAAGGAAGAGGCAAAAACACCTCTCCATAAGACATGCCCACAGTGCCATGACAGTTTACCATTGCCATGGCAACACCTGGAAATTACTGCCCCTTTTCTAGACATTTCTGAATAACTCACCCCTTAATTTGCATGTAATTAAAAGGCAGAACTGCTCCTGAGCTGTTGCTCTGGACACACAGCCTATAGGGTGGTCCTGCCCCTGGGCTGCTGTCCTGGACACGGCCTATCGGGTGGCCCCGCTCTGCAGCAGCAGTCACGCCACTGTATTACTGCTGCCTCCATAGTGTTGTTTTCTTCTACCACCAGCTCACTCTTGAATTCTTTCCTGAGTGAAACCAAAAGCTTCCAGAGCTAATCCCCAATTTAGGGGCTTGCCTGCCCTGCATCAATAACAATTATATAGAAAGAACCTAGGCTTTCAGGCTCACCCAAGGACACACAGTGGCAACAGGCATATATGCAGTGGCATGCATGGGAGATGAAGACCTACATGCAACATAGGGACATAGTGGAAGGCAGGGAGACATACGTGTGCAAGCCACTGCACTCTGAATACACACACACCAACACACACACAACACACACACCAACACACCCCCACACACACCAACACACCCCACACACACCCCAACACACACACACCAACACACACACACCAACGCACACCCCAACACACACAACACACACACTCAACACACATACCCCAACACACACCAACACACACACACATACCCCAACACACATACCAACACACAGACACCAACATGCACACACCAACATACACACACCCCAAAACACACACACCAACACACACACCCCCAACACAGACAACACACACACCCCCAACACACATACCCCAACACACACACACCCCAACACACACACCAACACACAGACACCAACACACATACCAACACCCACACACCAACACACACATACACACACCAACACAGCCCTTCAGCAGGATCACTGCATCTCTCAGGCTGTGGCGGCAGCACAGAGATCCCAGTCAGACGGGGCCTGCAATGACCCATATGCCACTTACCCCTGAATTGAAGACCCCAAAGACATCCCTGACATCTCTGACAGGTGTCTTGTGTTGTCTTCGCACTGAGCGAGCATAGATGTCCAGCCGGCGGCACACAGCGGCCACCTGGGTCTGTGTCAGGGTGGACAGGAGCTCCTGGTGATCACCATCCAAGCCCAGGCCACCAAGGAGGCCCGACAGGCCTGTGTCCTGCAGCCACTGGGATTCAGCTTCCCCTTCTGCCAACAGAAGTAGAACCCAGATGAACACACACAGCTCTGCACTCAGCCACTCGTGCTAACCAAAGTTCTGCATAGAAGCACACACTCACCTGGACACAGGAGTTTCTGCATATCTGATCGTGAGACCTATTAACACCAACCAGACTCTCCGGGGGAGAAGATCTAATGAGCCTTCTGAGAACTGGGGGCGGGGTGGGGGGTACTGATAGCATTAGCCAGTGTATGGATGTCAACCCATAACATAGCAATCCCTGGAAAACAGAGGTGGGTGAAGGGCCCTGCATGTTCAGATTTTGGACCCACTTCTCTCCAAAGTAATGAACCCACTTATCCAAAATCTGGCAGAGACCACTACAGGGTCACATGGTGTCCCCTTGGGAAGTTGGTGCTGGGTGTTGATGTCCCTTTGGGAAGTCCTCCATATTCAAGACCTTATTTGTGTTGGAATTGTCCCCTCTACTGTGCTTCCTAAGGAAACTCTCATAGTCCCATAGCAAAACCATTAACTGGAATGGGAGGGTGTGTTGAGATTTCAGGATCTCGGGTCTTACCTCCAGGGATTCTGTTCCAGGAGTTCAGGCCTCGGGCCTGAGAATCTGCACTTCGAATGTCTTCCTCAGATTATTCTAATGCAATAGGGTCTTCAGACCACACTTGAGAAACACTGGCCTTATCATGGGGGAAATGGACAAGAGCTCTTACTGGAAATTGAACACATGTGTGAGAGGATTGGTGGGGTGTACAGTTGTACCCAGTGTTGACCCAGTTAGTCAACAAGGTAATAAGTGTTTTAAAAACTCAAACAAAACTGCTTTTATGGCAGCCTGGGTTTTGCAAATAATCCAAGTCTTCCCCCAACACTTTCCCTGCACTTGGGAACCAGAACAGATGCCTCCAGGGCAGTTGCAATGTTGTGGGTCCATTCCTGACTTGTGCTGGCTGGTGGAGGTACTGATTCTATCATGATGCCAGACATTTTTTTGTTTGTACAGGATCCTTTCAATGAGCCACTGTTTCTTGAAATGTAGGCATTCACCAACCACCTTTATAATTTTTATCTGTATCTAATTGTCCCTGTAAAATTCCTTACCAAATATATCCCCTTAATCATGGGCTACATTTTTTACTAAAACACATCTATTTTAAAAGGAAACAAGATCCCCACCATAAATGGAGCATCCAACATCACCTGCCATGAGTAGACATTGATGGGAAAAATAAATTATTAACAATCCCTCTGGTTCAAGTTGGTGTCCGAATAAAAAGAAAAGATGACCAGGCATGGTGGCTCATGCCTGTAATCCCAGCACTTTGGGAGGCCAAGGTGGGCAGATCACCTGAGATCAGGATTTCAAGACCAGCCCGGCCAACATGGCGAAACCCCATCTCTACTAAAAATACGAAAATTAGACGGGTGTGGTGGTGAATGCCAGTAGTCCCAACTACTTGGGAGGCTGAGGCAGGAGAATCGCTTGAACCCAGGAGATGGAGGTTGCAGTGGGCTGAGATTGTGCCACTGCACCCCAGTCTGGGTGACAGAGTGAAACTCCGTTTCAAAAATTAAATAAATAAATAAAAAGAAAAGAAAGGAAAAAAAAAAACCAGTCTTGGCTCCATGCCACTCAGGATCCCTCAGCCCTGTGAGTCTAAAAAAGCTCCTGTGTTTATTTGGTTGCTCAAAGTGGCTTCTCTCTGACCCACTCTGACTCCACTCCCTGTGTATTGTGGGAAATTAGATTGCTGGCCACATCATGATTCCAGAGAGGCCACATGGAGGACCTCCTATGCAGGGCATCTCCTGAAACCACTTCTAGTGTAACCAGGGATGTTTTTACATTTACACTTGGAGGCACTGCATGAGACTATTAGGCCCTTAGGAGGTCTGCATCACCACGTGGTCTGTTTTGCCAACCAGGGGCAAGCCCAGCTGAATTACATGCCAAACCAGGAAGGGTTCCATGTGGAGCCCTTTCATTCCCTCATCTGCTGAACAAGTAAGGATGGAGGAGGGGAATGTGCTTGGCTCTGTTCTAGGCACTGTGGACACAGCAGTGAAAAGGGCCGATGATGTCCCTGGCCTCATGGAAGTTACATTCTAGTGGGGGTCACAGACACATGCACAGTGAAGTGCACTAGGTAAAGTCAGGCAGTGATCATTGCTGCAGCAACGAACAGAGTAGGGCAGGGGCTAGAGAGTGATGGGGCAGGGGTGCTATTTTGTGTAGGGAAGCTGGTGAAGACCTCTCTGAGGAGGTAACATTTGAGCCCAGTCCTGACTGGAGAGAACAAGCCATGCAGATGCCTGGGGCAAGAGCATTTGAGGCCAAGGGAGCAGAGAGAACCAAAGGACTTGAGGCAGGAAAGTGCTTTTAGGGTCAAGGACCAGCAAGGAGGCCCGAGGACAGAAGTAGAGTGACAGCCAGTCAGGGTGGGAGGAGAAGAGGCAGAGAGGAGGCACGAAGCCAATTATGTAAAGCCTGGTAAGTTATGATCTGGTGGCTTTATTACACGTCCCCAAATTCTTTGACTCTCACCCCATCAAGGGGTGGAGTCTAATTCCCCTCCCCTTGAACATAGCTGCATGCAGGGTAACAGAATGCAGCAGAAGCAATGTTGTCTTTCTTCTAAAGCTGGGTCATAAGCAGCAAGACAGCTTCTACCCAGCTCTCTCTCTTGGTCTTGTGCTTGGAACCCAGCCGCCATGCTGTGAGGAAGCCCAGGCCACATGTGGAGGCCTCATGCAGGTATTCCAGATGATAATCCCAGATGAGGCCCCCTGATGGTCACATCCACCACCAGGCACATAGATGAGAAATCTTTTGAGATGAGTCCAGCCCCAGCTACCATTTGATTGTAACTGCATGAGAGGCCCTGAGCAAGAACCACCTAGCTGAGCCCACTCAACCCCTCCAACAGTGAGGTATAGTAATAGTCATAATAATTGATTATTGCTGCATTATGCTTCTAAGCTTGAGGTGGTTTGTTACATAGTAGTAGATAATAGGGACACATAATTGTCTATTACTCTGAGATAGATGGAGAGATATTTGAGGATTTAGAGCAGAGGGCTTAGAATTTCCCTAGAACATTAGGTCTGTATATAGGAGACTGTTTTGTGTTCACTGTTGTATCCCCAGTGCCTAAACAGTGCCTGGCACATAATAGGCACTCAAAAAATATTTCCTGAAGGACTTACTCTAAGGAGGGACATAATCTAATTTACATTACTAAAAGATCGTCTTGACTATGGCATGGAGAACAGACAGTAAGGATCACGGGTGAAGCAGGGAGAGCAGTGAAGAGGATACTGCACCAGTCCAGGCAACAGAGAAAATGCTGTCATGTTCTGGTTCATATCTGGATCCTCTGACATTTCTCTGCCTGGAATCAAGCCCTCCCACCACCCCTATAGGCCCCCGCCAGGGTCTCTCACCCTCTGGAAGCTGGCCTTCATTCCCGCCACTGTCCTCTTCCCTCAGCTCATCTCTCTGTTGGATCTGTTCCACCTCCATCCAAAAGCCATCCATGCTGGAGCTCTCCACTCCAGTGGAACAGCCAGCAGAGCCAGCAGGGTGTAGTCGCAGGAGATTCTTCTGGGGAAGCTGATCCATTCGGCCTGAGGAGGGGCCAGAGCTGTAGCAAGTGGGGAAGGTGCAGGGAGGTCAGCAAGTCTCTGCTTATGATGGGGGTTGTGCTGAGGCTTGTGGCTCTCCAGAAATCAGCCTGGGCCCCTGGGGGCTAAGCAAGCTTCCTAGGCATGTTTCTCAGGGTGATCTCAGCAAATTGACTGGTGACCCATCACCCCTGCGGGATCCTTGGAAACCAGCAATGCTGCAGGGGACAGAGCAGGGCCAGACTGCTCTGCTTGCTTCCACCTTCTTGGTCAAGGCTAACAGTCTTGGACATACCTACGGTAAAGGCAGCATTCCCAAGAGGGGATTAAACACCAGGACAGGCGAGGAAATGACAGGGCAGTGTCTCGTGGATCTCACTGAATTTTTACCCAGAAAGTCTCCTGTCTCCTTCCCTCACACTTCCTCCTTTGTGAGTCTGGCTGCCAAGCCCTGGGTCTCCTGTTTGTATCACAGGAGCACCTCATCTCCTCCCCTCTCCCAGCCAGCTTTGAACAGAGCAGGTACCTGATCACAGAGGTGCTATACATCACTGAGCCAATCTCATTCTCTCAAGGTGTTGAACCAAGGGCAGAGGGGTCAGTATCAGGCACGTGAACTGGAAGCTGTGTGGGGCTGGAGTGGCCAGTCTTCCAAAAGAAGCAGAGAGGAGACCCTCTGCAGGCATGGAGGGATGTGGGGTAACCTAAGCTTGATTTTCCAGGTCCCAGTTGCAGCCTTTCATGATCCAGGCTATGTGGTTTACCCCTAGAGCCCTGACTCCCACATCCTTCCCTTTAATCCCCCTCTTCTTCCCAAGCTACACTCAATGAATTTCTGCTTCATGCAATCAAAGAATCTCAGGGTAAGACAGTGCAAGTCTCCTGGTCCATATAAATGAAGTCCAGGACTTCAGATGAGCTTAGGGACAAAATGTCCCTGTTGCTGGCCCAAATCCTTGAGAAATGGTAGGGTTGGTCATAATGGCAAAAATACTAGACTGGAATCACCTAGACCCTGACACATGCCAGCAAATAGACCATAAACTACCCCTGCCAGAAGAGAGGGAAGAAATCCATTTCCCCAGTTTCCTCAAGTGGGAAAAATGTATATTCTGCAAGTTCTATAGATATTTAAGCTCCCATGTGGAAACCAACAAAAGGCAAAGAAAACCAATAAACATAGGTGGTTTGAACTGCCCTATTAAAAAACAAGACTCATTTGGATTAAAAAGGAAAAGTCATCCACATGCTGCCTTTTTAAAAAAAAAATATATATATATGTGCTTTTCTGTTTTTGTTTGTTTGTTTGTTTGTTTTTGTTTTTTGAGGCAAGGTCTGGTTCTATGGCCCAGGCTGGAGTGCAGTGGTGCGATATGACTCACGGCAACCTCCGCCTCCCAGGCTCAAGCCATCCTCCCACCTCAGACTCCTGAGTAGCTGGGACTACAGGCACACATGACCATGCCTGGCTAATTTTTGCATTTTTTGTAGAGACAGGGTTTTTGCCATGTTACCCAGGCTGTTCTCGAACTCCTGGGCTCAAGCAATCCGCCTGCCTTGGCCTCCTAAAGTACTGGGATTACAGGAATGAGCCATTGAGCCCGGCCTTAAAACATTTTTGTTAGCTATATTTTCCCTTATAAAATCAATATGCAGTTATTGTAAAAATTCCCAGCAATGCAGAAGTGAGCAAAGTAGAATATCAATCATTCTCCTGTGGCTACGACCACGTTTTCCATGCTAACACTTTGGTGTGCAGACATCTCATGTTTCTCCCCAGGCATATTTAACCTAAAGGCAGGCACTCTCTTCTTCACTCAGGGGACATTGTTTTGGGCTCATGTCAGCCAAGACACAGAACTCAAGTCCTCCACCAGCCCCACAAGAGTCCCATGCATGCTAAGCATTTGATAGCTCTTTGCTGAGGAGCTGGATGCTCACAGGAAGGTCCCCCACACAGCGCATTTATTTGAAATATCCCCATTTCCTTTTGATGGAGATTTGGGTTGTTTCTATTCATCAATATCACAAATAATACCATCTGTTACCTTTGTTCCTTTGTACAGTAGAAGAGAATCCTAGAAGTAGAATTGCTGAATCAAAGGGTTTGTGAACTCTTATCACATTGCCTCTAAAAAAGGACTATTTTATTGGATGTTTGTTTGTTCTGATTTTACCCCTGCTGCCTGCTTAGCCCCCATCTTGTGGGATCCCATCCCCTGGAGTCCCTGAAGTTGTATTTTGCCCTCAGCCTATGACCTCACTCACTGTTGTCCCCCCAGTTTCTGGAGGTGTAATCCAGGACCTAGGGCCGGCTCCATGGATGTGCGACCTGTGCAGTCACACAGGGCCCAGGTTTGGAAGCAGCCCACACTTCGTTCAGAGAACTGCTGTCACCATCTCAAAATTCTTAACAATGTTTGAATGAGGGACCCATGTTCTTTCTGCACATGGCCTTTCCTGCCAGGATTTTACCGTAGACCCTGGCTTGTGGCTTCCTCTCAAGCGTCCTGCCCACACAGAGCTCAACTCCGAGTCCTAAACAATTCCATCCTGAAACAGACTCAAAATGTGGTAAAGCAAAGAAACCTCCAGTCGGCCAGAGCCTGAAGGAAGGGACAGGGCACAACCTCCTGGCAACGGCTCCGGCATTTGCACAGAGCAGAAGCTTCACTGGAGACCAAGTCCCAGTTAATTATAAAATTGGCTGTTCTGCTCTATTTATGCTTTTCAAGAAAACTGCCAGTCAGTGCCTCCTGCGAATCTGTTTGGCACCCCATGCTGGGGGCACAGCTCCGTTTCTTTGGTTGCTTTGCGATTCGCTTTGAAATTACCAGCATCTGTGTGTTTTCGTGACAATTTGAAAACTGCAGCGACTAAACCCAAGCAAAATTGTCAACACTATCACCATTTGATAGCTAAGCAGTGAGGGGGCAGCAATTATTTCTTTGGAAGAACATTCTGAGGAGGTCAGAGAGGGGAAAGAACAGAAACAAAATGAAACACCCGCAGTGCTAAAGGTGTCATTGTTCCAACATCACATTTTGCAGCATGGCGGTGAGTACCCCCTTCTAGGAAGAGAACGATAGGAAGAGAACGCATCCACAAAAGGTGTTCAGAACCTCACAAATATAGCTGATGTTTTGTTTGTTTTGTTTCCAGCGCTTTGTTGAGGTATAGCGCATGCAGAAAAGTACTCAGGTGCTAAGTATACAGCGTGGCCTCCAGTTGTAATTTGGTTTTCAAACCTTTACTGAATACCTACTACATGCCCAGGGGCAAACATGTTCAAGCATCAGTTTATTTCTTTTTATTTGGAAAGGGTCTTGCTCTGTCTCGAAGGCAATGGCGCGATCATAGCTCACTGCTGCCTCGAAGTCTTGGGCTCAAGCGATGCTCCCACCTCAGCCCCCCAAGTAGCTAGAATTATAGGCACATGCCACCATGCCCAGTTAATTTTTCATTTCAGTAGAGACGAGGTCTTGCTATGCTGCTCAGGCTGCCCTTAAATGCCTTGACTCCAGTGATCCTCCCAAAGTGCTGAGATTCCACATGTAAGCCATCAAGCCTGGCCAAACCTCAGTTTAATACATCAGTGCCATGTAGGGGTGCTATTGTTTCCAACTTACAGACAAGGAAACAGACCCAACGGGATTGGGGGACCCACCAAGACTTGTCCCATTGGCAAGTGACAAAGCCCGGATACGAACCCAGGTTGAAAGCCCCACTACCAGGGCACTTAACTGCCATACTAGATGATTTAGGGAGGCCCCAGGTGTAAATGAAGTAATCTGAATGCATTTTTCCTTCCCCACTGTAGACACTGTGCCCCTCTCAGAGTTCCCTGTCTCATCAGATGGTTCCATCAAGCACTCTGAGAGCCACTCCTCACACCCTTTTTGGTGTCTCCACATCCCATGAACCCCTAATGAATGTTACCTTTCATACAACATTTCTATCCACCAACTTCTGAACCACCACTCTGGTCCAAGCCACCATCACTTCTCGCCTGGACCACAGCCTCATCGCAGTCTTCCCATGTTTCGTCTAGATACCCTTCTCTGGTTCAGAAAGATCTTCCAAGCTCACAATACTGGCCTTTCACCGCATCTAGGAATCCTCATGGTATCCCAGGACCCTGAGGATAAAATCCAAATGCCTTACGAAGGCATTGGACTGACCTGCCCATGCTTCTAGCCTCGTCTCACGTACCTCCTTCTTCCCTCTGCCTGGAATGTCCTGTCTCAGACTTAAAGTCACTTCCTCAAATACAACCTTTCTCATCCCTAACCTGGATTACGTCTCTGCCATCTGCTTCTCCATAACACATTCATTTCTGCTGGAACTATTTCTTTCTTGGCTTCTCTATTCCCTGCTGTCTCCCCAGTGCCTAGAACACTGCCTAGAATACAGTAGTTGTGGTGGATATCACGTATGGTCCCAAAATTCTTTTACAGTCCTCCCATGGGGAGGTGGGGCCTATGTCTCCTCCCCTTGAATCTGTCAGGCTGTGACAGCTTCAGCTAAGAGGACACAGCAGAGGTCGAGCGATGAGACTTCTCTGTCTGGTCATAGTGACCAAGCTGATCCCACCTGGCTCTCTCACTCTCTGCTTGCTCCTTGGAAGGGGTTGCTATGTTGAGAAGCTCAGGCCAAGTGCCAGGTGACATGCAGGTGCCCCAGTCAACAGCCCTAGCCGAACCTCACCCTTGAATCATTTGAGTGTAGGTGTCAGACACATGAGTGGAGAAACTTCCAGACAGATGGCTCCAGTCCCCAGCATGAAGTCACCCGCAGCCATTCAGTCTTCCCAGGTGATACCCCAGACATCATGGAGCAGAGAGCAGGTATTCTTGCCCGCTCTGTCCCAATTCCTTACCCATCGAATCGCTAAGCGGAATAAAATGATGGTTGTTATGTGCCACTAAGCAATAGATAAACAGATTTGTAAATTTAGAAGTCAAGAACTTTGGGCTGGGTGCGGTGGCTCACACCTGTAATCCCAGCACTTTGGGAGGCTGAGGTGGGTGAATCACAAGGTCAGGAGTTCAAGAACAGCCTGGCCAACATGGTGAACCCCGTCTCTTTTGTATTTTGTAAAAAATACAAAAAATTAATGGGCGTGGTGGCGGGCGCCTGGAATCCCAGCTACTCAGGAGGCTGAGGCAGGAGAATCACTTGAACCTGGGAGGCAGAGATTACAGTGAACCAAGATCGCACCACTGCACTCCAGCCCAGGTGACAATGTGAGACTCCGTCTCAGAAAAAAAAAAAAAAAGTCAAGAAATTTGGCTCTAGTGTCAACTGGGTCTGAATTTGAATCCTAGATTTGTTGTTTATTAGCAACGTCACCTTGGGGAGTCCCCAAACCTGGCTGGACCTTAGCTTCCTCATTTTAATATGAAGCTAACAGAGACTACCTGGGGCAGTGTAGTGTAAGAGCCAATTCACTCATTCAGCAAATGTTTATCGAGCCCTTACTATGGCCAGTTACTAGGAAGCTAATACACCTAAGGTGCTTAGAATAGGAAGTCCTCAGTCAATGTTAGTTTGATCAATATATGTTGCTTCTGGACTCTTCCTATCTGAGATTCAGACACAGCAAGTGGCTCACCCAAGACTGCCCAGCCAGTGAGTGGCCTCTAGTTCCTGTCCTGCAGAGTGGGCAGGGGCTTACAAGCACAGAGCATGAAGAAATATATTCCTGCAGTGAGTCAGAGGGCCGGAGCCCTCACAGAGGCTTAGAGCCTTCCTGAATGCAAAGCCCTTCTCTCCACACACATGAACTTTCCCCCTAGGTGGCCTGAAAGATGAGGCAGGTCCTAGAAGTCCTCGGCTCCCATCCAAGCTCCCCTGCTCATGTTCTGTGCAGCTGTGGGCACGTCCCTTTTTCTCGATGGACCTCAGCTTCCAAGTCCATAAAATGGGAAGACAGGGGTAGAGAAGGGGGCTTTGCAAGGTGATCTTAGCGAGACCCTTGCCCGTGAGGTCATAGCAGGCAGTGAGAATAATATGACAGTGGAGCAAAGGCCTTTCCCAAGGGCAGGGCTGCAGAAACCCATGTAAAGCTGAGAGCCACAGAAGCAAGAGCCTGCTCAGCGAAGCCGAGAGCCTGTTCAGGGAAGCCGAAAGCCAGCATGACCGAGGGAGCAAGAATGCGGGCCATCGGGATGAGTCGGTGGAGGTGTGGCTGAGCCTCCTCTCCAGCAGCCAAACCAGGTCAGCTCAGCCTGGACCTGCTGGGGCAGGGAGCGTGGCCTGGCTTCAGCAACCCAGCCAAGGGCTTCCCCCAAAAGTGGTGAATAGGGCTTTGGGGGCAGCCTTCAGTTCCACCGAATCTAGGAAGTGGAGGTTGCAGTGAGCCGAGACTGTGCCACTGCACTCCAGCCTGGGCAACAGCGTGAGACTCCGTCTCAAAATAAATAAATAAATAAATAAATAAAGTTCCTCAAGCTCAGTACTAACAGCATGTCAGGAGGATGATTCTTTGCTGTGAAGGAGGGCTGTCCTGTGCACTGTAGTAAGTTAGCAGCATCCCTGCCCTCTACCCACTAGACGCCAAAGCATCCCTCTCAGTTTTAACAATGACAAGGTCTCCAGACCTTGCCAAATGTTCCCTGGGGAACACCATCATTCTGGCTGAGAAACACTGCTTAGCATGGATTAATTCATTTACTCTTCACAACTTCTTATCATCCCATTTCACAGATGGTCAAACAGAGGCACAGCGATAAAGTGACTTCTGCAAGGTTACCTGACTAGTAAATGGCAGAACTGCATTTGGCCCCAGGAAGTCTGGCTCTGTAGTCCATGTTCTCAACCACTGTGTAATAAGCCGCTTGTACAACGGTCTTTCCTCAATTGTGAATGTTTTCTTTTCTTTCACTGGCTGGATGCAGCCTGTGGTTGGTGAGGGAATACCACCAGCCCAGATGTAGCCCCAGCTCTGCCTCTGATCAGCTGAGCTCTTATCCCTATCACCTGAGCCACAGAGTTCCTGGACTCTTTTGAACGTATCTCTTGTCCCATAATTGTTGTTGGGTAATGATATGTTGTGGAGCAATGAATTGAGATTGTCCCCAGTGGGGAAGGCTGGAAGAGCAACAGCCGCTGTTGGGCAGTGCCAAGCTTTACTTTGCTGAGCAGGGAATCTGGGGGAAGGTGAGAAGCTTGGGGTGAAGGGAAAGGAGGGAGAGAGGTGGGTGAGAGAGCTAGCCACCATCAGGGAGTGGCTGTGTGGGATGCCATGTGCCTTTGGCTCTGGGCAAGCCCAGGTATGCAATGTGCCTGGGTGGTGGGGTGGCCCTCTCACACCGCTATCAACACCATGAGAAGAGCCGTCCCTGGACAGCTGCCGCCTGGGTCCCAGAATGAACACCTATGGCACAGACCACAGCCCAGTAAGCAGGGAGGAGTAAGTTCAGCCAGACCCATGGCTAGAAATGGAGCTGCCCAGCAGAGCCTAGGGTAGAGCAACTAATCCCCAGCCACCTTCAGACACAGGAGCGGGAGTACACAATCGTCGCTTAGGGAAATGATTGCTGCTGGGTTTGGGGATCATTTGTCACACAGTGATAGCTGACAGGGACAGCACGCTATCGCACAACCCCAGCAGCTCTGCCAGAGGTGCGGTGAGCCCACTCTCTGCCACTCACACCATTCCCAGGTGCCAGGTGCACACGCCACTGGCTGTGTGCACGCTCCATGTTCCACCCTATCTCCAACCCCCAGATAAAGAGACACATCCGGTTCTGAGTCAGGAATCAATAAAGGATAGAAATTGGACCTCTTAGAGCAGAGATTGAAAGGCAATCTCGGGGAAAACAGTGGCTGCGGCACCTCCTCCGGGACACTGAAGGGCCCAAGGAGACTGTGAGGCCCGAGCTGGCCACTCGCGCCGCCATGGACGTGGCCGAGGTCGAGTTCCTGGCTGAGAAGGAGCTGGTTACCATTATCCCCAACTTCAGTCTGGACAAGAGCTACCTCATTGGGGTGGGTACCTGGGGCCTTTTAACCCTGGTTTACCAGTGGAAGTACCCCCGTGGCTGGCAATTAACCTGAAACAAAAGCAGAAATGTCGACTGCTCCCTCCGGAGTGGATGAACATAGAAAAGTTGGAGAAGATGAGGGATCATGAATGAAAGGAAGAAACTTTTTTACCTCAATGCCCACCAGCCTTTACTACATGGAACTTACCAAGCTCCCATTAAATCATGCTTCAGACAACATCCCGAAGGCAGACGAAATCCGGACCCTGGTCAAGGATATATGGGACACTCGTATAGCCAAACTCCGAGTGTCTGCTGACAGCTTTGTGAGGCAACAGGAGGCACATGCCAAGCCGGATAACTTGACCTTGATGGAGATCAACCCCAGCGGGACTTTCCTCACACAAGCGCTCAACCACACGTACAAACTCGCACAAACCTCCAGCCTTCGGAGAGTACTCAGTCTCAGGACTTCTAGAGAAAGGCCTGGTGCAGGCAGCTTGCTGGGGGATGTGACGCTCAGGACGTGATGAGGTACTCATGGTTCTGGAGCTCTAGAGACACTTTTGAATGCATGAAAAACGTGCGATGGTGCAAGGAATGGATTCATGACATTGTTGGAGAAGCAACAAGTTTGTGGCTAGTCCTTAAAACTTAGCTCCCTGGGACATTCTTCAATTCCACATCTACTTCTAGAAATCAGCCTTCTCTGCCCCCTCTTTTGAGAAAGAAAAAAGCTTTAGGCAAATAAGTTATTGTCCCTAGCAGAGCCGCTTGGGTCTCCTGCATGGAAACCGTCACCTTGGGTAAGTGTTCAGTGACTGGTAGGTGTAGATATAGCAGGAGTGGCCATGTGGCCAATGGTTTTTTTTCCCCCTTCTTGATCCTGATTTCTTGGGCTAAATTTAGACGCTCCTATAGAGATGGGTCACAGAGAAGGATGGTAGATGGTGCAGCTAATGATGCTGACCAGTGCTTATGCTCTAAGCCCCGATCCACAATAAAAATGGACCCAACTCAAAAAAAAAGAAAGAAAGAAAGAAAGGCAATCTCAGGGCACAGCCATGTGTGTATGGGTACGCCAGGGAATCGTGGGTGCACAGTCACTCATGAATGTGTACATAGCCATGTGTGCCTATGAAGAGGGTCTCTCCTCTGTTGCCTCAGGACTTGCCAGGAGGTCTGGATTCTTCATGCCTACCCATATCACTCACATAACTTAGTACATGATGACTACGTAAATGGTGCCCCTCTGAGTGTAACACTCACATGCAGTGCACAACCTGAACATCGGGACACAGCAACACTCACATCTACGAAGCAACCCCTGTGGCAACAGGGTTGGGATGGGTGGGAATGAGATGTTATAAAAGGTAAATCTTACCTTTACATTTTTGAGTATCATCTTAACTGAGCTCCTAAAATCCCTCTATGGCTACAACTTTCCCATTAAGACAAAGAAGACTGGCTCATTCTGGACAGTGTGACCATTCTTTGAATTATTAAACGATGCTCGCCATATCTCTTTCACACAGCATTTCTGCTAGAGCCGATCTGTGGGTTATGAAAGTCACAAGCATGGCTATTTTGTGTTATAGACAACAAGAATAAAACATTCTGAAATGTAATTAATATAATTTAGCTTCCTGAATCACACAGGAGCCTGGGCTGAGAGACAGGGAAGGCACAGCTATGGGTGCCCCCTTTAGCTGTTCAAGTTGGGCACAAATCAGAACAGAGGACCCACGCTGGGCCCAAGAAGCTGCATCCTAGGTGTGGAGACCTGGCCCAGAGACCTTCTCCAGGGCAGGGTGCTTCTCCACCCTGCCCATGGGCTGGAATCTCCCAGTAAGCTTTGCCAGGCCATTATGCCCAAGCAATGCCCCAGCCAGACCAATGACACCCAAACTGCTGGGAATGGGACCTGGGCACCTATTGTTGATTCCATTGTGCAACCAGGGTTGGAAAGCCAGGAGTATCATTATGTTGCTGGGGTTCAGAGAATTGCATAGGTTTCAAGAGTTGGGTGGGAACTGATGGATTGCATCAGAATTCTCACATAGCACTCTGGGAGGGGCAGCCTGCATTTTTTAGATGGATGGGGGAGATTAAGGTACTGCCCATGACCTCTGAGACGACAAATATTCCCAACAGAAGATCAGGATCTACCAATCTCCATCTGAGATAGCAAACTGCATCCCCCCACCACGTCCCCAACACACACAATGGATTTTCACACCTTTTAAATAGCTTGCCATCATTTGAAAATGAGGAGGTCTCACATTTTTAAGTCCTCTAATTTCCAATTTCCCTTGGGAAAAAATAATCAGTAGAGATGATAATCCTGGGTCTGTGTCTCTAAGTGACAATTGGCTGAAGCCAAGTGGTGGCTGCCTCTTAAAACAGGCCTCCAGCCAGCAGCGCAGCCCTGTGGTGCTTGCCAGAGAAGCTTCGAAAGTCCTTAAGTTGTGTAGGCTTTCCCTGATCCTTCCTTCGAACAAGATTATAGACATTTGTGTGTCCCTTCCTGAGTCACTTAGATTGTCATCTTGATTTGTACTGGCCAATATTGTAGCCACTAGCCACCTGAGCCCTTGAAATATGGTATTTAGTATGAATGAGGAGCTGAATTTTTAACTCCTTCCTTCCTTCCTTCTTTCTTTTCTTTTCTTTCCTTTCCTTTTCTTTTCTTATCTCTTTTCTTTTCTTTTCTTTCATTTTCAGACAGAATCCCACTCTTTCGCCCAGGTTGGAGTGCAGTGGTGCAATCTCAGCTCACAGAAACCTCTGCCTCTTGGGTTTAAGCGATTCTTCTGCCTCAGCCTCCCGGCTGGAATTACAGGCACCTTCCACCATGCCCAGCTAATTTTTGTATTTTTAGTACAGACAGGGTTTCTCCACGTTGGCCAGGCTGGTCTCAAGCTCCCAACCTCAAGTGATCTGCCCTCCTCAGCCTCCCAAAGTGCTGGGATTACAGGTGTGAGCCACCGTGCCCAGCCAACTTTATTTAATTTTAACCAATTTAAATTTAAAACTACATACTTGTTTCAGTTACTGGAAAAGGCCTAAATATGTTTAGAACAACTTGGGTACACAAATCTACTTTTCTGGCTGTATATTTTATGAAATCTAAATATATATTAAGGATTTCTGATGAAAATTTAGCATCCTATCAGAGATTGCTGGAAATGAAAAATACACACTGGATTTTGAAGACTTCATATTTGAAAATGTAAAATATCTCATTAATGTTTCATATTGATTACATGTGAAAATATTCTGGACATATTGGGTTACATAAAATGTTGTTTTTATTAAAATAACATTAAGTATTAATGTTGTTAATTTGATCATATTAGAAGTTTTAGACCAGGCACAGTGGCTCATGCCTGTAGTCCCAGCGTTTTGGGAGGCTGAGGCAGGAGGATCATCTGAGCCCAGGAGTTGGAAATCAGCCTGGGCAACACAGCAAGACCCTATCCCTACAAAAAAAAAATTACAAAAATTAGCCGGGTGTGGCCAGGCACGGTGGCTCGTGCCTGTAATCCCAGCACTTTGGGAGGCCGAGGTGGGAGGATCACGGGGTCAGGAGATCGAGATCATCCTGGCTAACACAGTGAAACCCTATCTCTACTAAAAACACACAAAAAAATTAGCTGGGCATGGTGGCGGGCGCCTGTAGTCCCAGCTACTTGGGAGGCTGAGGCAGGAGAATGGCGTGAACCCGGGAGCTTGCAGAGAGCCAAGATGGTGCCACTGCACTCCAGCCTGGGCGACAGAGCAAGACTCCGTCTGAAAAAAAAAAATTAGCCAAGTGTGGTTGTGCATAACTGGAGTCCCAGCCGTTCAGGAGGCGTGGGCAGGAGGATTGCTTGAGCCCAGGAGTTTGAGGTTGCAGTGAGCTATGATTGTGTTACTGCACTCCAGCTTGGGTAAAAGAGTGAGACCCTGTTTCTAAAAAAAAAAAAAAAAAAAAAGTTTTAAATAGGCTTAGTGCCCTCCATAAACCAAAAATAAAATCCTAAGCCCCCCAGCCAATTGAACAGATCCACTCTCTTGGCCAAGAGAATCGCAGGGAAACCTGCAAAACTGAATTCGTAGCCATGATGGGTTGGGAAGTTGGACACACCTCATTATACGCTCCTCCCTTTTGTAGTTTAGGCACAGCATCTGACCAGCATTAATGTTAAAATAGACATCACAATGGCCAGGCATGGTGGCTCACGCCTTGCCTCCACTTTGGGAGGCTGAGGCAGGTGAATCACTTGAGACCAGGAGTTCGAGACTAGCCTGGCCAACATGGTGAAACCCCATCTCTACTAAAAATACAAAAATTATCCAGGTGTGGTGGTGGGTGCCTGTAATCCCAGCTACTCGGAAGGCTGAGGCAGGAGAATCGCTTAAACCCCGGAGGTGGAGGTTGCAGTGAGCTGAGATTTTGCCACTGCACTCCAGCCTGGGTGACAGAGCAAGACTCTGTCAAAAAAAAAAAAAAGAAAAAAAAAAAGAAAAGACATCACAAGATTGACAAAACAGACTTTTTGTGACAATAAGATAACCAATTATAAACAGGACCTATGGCTGTGCCAGACAAAGGTGAACTCACACACCCCTACGAGCAACTCTGAACTGGTATATTGGTTAACAGACTTCCTTCTCTTAAACATTCCTTTCTGCTGACTCCAAATTTTTAGACGAAGCTTCACTCCTCTAACCAATTGCAAATTAAAGAATCTGAATCCACGTATAATCTGTAAGCCCCGGCTTCAAGATATGCCGCCTTTTCCAGCCAAACCATTATACAGCTTCTATGCTTTGAGTTATGTCTTTGCCTATAACTCCTGTCTCCCCTAAAATGCATAAAACCAAACTGTAATCTGACTGCCATGGAGACACCTTCTCAGACCTCTTGAGACTGTGTTCCCCAGGCCAGGGTCTCTTACATTGGCTCAGAATAAACCTTAAAATATATTACAGAGCTTGGTTTTCCCATTCACACCTTGGTTCCACAATCCTCACCATGCCCTGAGATGTTACACTCTGCCACGTGACTCCCTGAGGGTCCCACTTAACCCTTGTAGGCACCAGAGTTTACAACTCCTGGTCTATAACATCTTCCTAGCTGGTTTGGGGTAGGGGGGTGGCACAGTGGGGGGAGCTTTTTAAAATCTTATGTAAGTTGTGGATCCTCTCTCCGGAGAACCACACACACACACAGAGATGCATAACATTTACCAAATAATTTTAGTGGTTCTCGGATCTTTGAAGGTCCATCCTTGAGCCCCAGATTAAGAACATCTGGTCTTTAAAGCCTTCAAAAAAGACCAGCAGGAAGAGCATCAGGCTGGTTGCCATGGTTACACCTCCTCTTAGGCTGGCCTAGGGGTGAGGCATGGCCTCATTATCCCTGTCTTTGCTGCACATCTTCACAGGGAGGTCCTCATTGCTCACTCTTCCATTACGCACTCAAGGGCTTAAGAGCCAGATTGTCATCCTACCTTCAGGTCTCCTGGCCCTGGGGTTGCAGCCGGGCTCAGGGCTTGAAAGCAAACTGCAATCCCATCTCTCCTCTGCCCCACTCTCTGCTCCAGCCAGTGTGAGCTACGTGTACCTCTCAGAGGCACCAGGCTCCCTCTTGCCCTGGAGTTTTGCCCAGTTGGCAGCTACTGCCAGGAACACCCTTCTCCTTCCCATCCTTGGCCTGCTCAGTGCCTACTTTGGGACTCAGCTCAGGCATCACCTCCTCCAGGAAGCCTTCTCTGCAGCCCTCCTAGAGGCGTTGGGCTCATTGATGTCCTGGCACTTACCGCCCTCCATGGTCATTGCCTGTTTGTTTTCTCCTTTAGTCTGGGATCTCTTTGAGACCAGAGACATTCTTTTTATTATTGTATAAGCCCAGCTCCCAAAACAGAGCAGATATTGATAAATATTTGAAGGATTAATAAACTTAACCCAGTGGTTCTCAAAGTGTGGGCCCCAGACCTTCAGTATCAGCATCAGTTGGGAGCCTGTTAGGAGTGCACATTTTCAGCCCTCGCCTCAGAACTACAGAATTAGAAACTCTGGGGGTGGGGTGCAGCAATCTGTGTTTGCACAAGCCTTCCAGGTGACTCCAAGGCACTGATCTAAGCCCCAGGTTGGAGGGAGGCAGGATGACTCCTGAGGGTGGAGGCAGGGGACTGAAGTTTGGAAAAGCAATATGGAAGGGTGACTGCGGGTAGGCAGAATAACCCCCCCACTACCCACTACTCCCTGGAATCTGTAAATGTGTGTGTTACATGGCAAAGGTGGGATGAAGGTTGCAGATGGAATTACAGTTGCTAATCAGCTGATTTTGGGGAGATTATTCTGGGTTGCCTGAGTGGGCCCAATGAAACCACTAAGGTCCTTAAATGGGGAAGAGGGAGGCAGAAGAGTGAAAACCAGAGAGATGGTAGCATGAGAAGGACTCAGCCGGCCACTCTTGCCTTTGCAGATGCAGGTGGACCGCAACTTAAGGAAGGCAGGTGGCTTCTTGAAGCTAGAAAATTGATTGTCCCCGAGAGCCTCCAGAAAGGATCACAGTCCTACCGACACCTTGATTTTTAGACCAGTAAGACCCATTTTGGACTTCTGACCTCCAGAACTCTAAGATAATACCTTTGTATTGTTTCAGCCACTAAATTTGTGGCCCTTTTTCACCGCCCCAACGGCCCAAATTAGGGCCACTAAATTTGTGGCCCTAAGTCACCTTAGCCACTATAGTGGCTAAGGACCAAGGCCCTGAAGTCACACTGTCTGGGCCTAGGTCTGTCCTCTTGATGTGCGGCCTATAAAATCAGGGTGATTGTGTGATAGTATACAGAAGGCAGTGAGGATGAAATAAAGTAAGGCCTGTAAAACATTCAGCCCATAGTAAGTACTCCAAAAACATGAAAACACAAGGCTGCCTTCCGACCAACGAGCAGCCAGCAGCCAACAGTCCTCTTAAGATGGGGCAAACAGCCCGAGGGGACAGAGTAGTAACTAGAGAACAAAAGGGGGAGTGGGCTGAGAAGAGGCTTCCTGGAGGAGGTGGTGTTGAAACTCAGTTTTAAAGAAACAAGTCAGTGAATGTCTGGGAGGAAATGAGATATGCAAATCTCCCAGGAAGGGGAGCAGGTCTTTATGCTGGGAAGTGCAAAGTTTTCCCTGGGTGGATAGAAGTCTGTATTAGGGTTTAATGAGAACAAAGTCAGTAAGAAATAAATGGTAGTGCAGAACAACTCTCCAAACAAATTAAAATCCAGAAGCCATAACAGAAGAAAGCTGAGTTGATTACATCAAGACTTAAAACTTTTGTATGACAAAAGACACTATAAAAAATGTCATAGGACCTTTTTCCTCAACTGAGAGGAAATATCTGCAACAAATGATAAAGTGTTACTATTCAGTCTATATATATAAAGAGTTCCTGGAAAGCAACAAGAAAAAAAATACCCAAAAAATCTACTGGGAAAGTTGGCAGCAGATAGAAATCCACAAGTCACAGGAGATAAAATGCAAATGCCCTATGTGAAAAGATGTGGAGCCTCGCAAGTAATCAGGGCAATGCGAAATAAAACAAGGATGAACTCTATCAGATTGGCAAACACAGAAAAGATTGCCAACACTCAGTACTGGCAAGTATCGAGAAAAGACCTTCTCACACTTGGATGAGCATCTGCTGGTCAATTTGGGAAGAGTCGGTGACGCCTGACAGGAGGGGAGGTGGAGAAGCGGCCTCCACATTGCAGGCAGGGTGAGGACCCCAGGGTTGTGAAGGGCGGCAGCCTAACTGCTTGGTGTAATTAACACCTTCACCTCTGCTTCATTGTGAGAAAAGAGGGAAAATAGGAAGCTCCATCCGAAGGGACCTGCCCTTCGCTGGTTTGTAAGCAGGATCTGAGGAGGCCCCTCCTGCTGGAGAGCCCTGGAGGAAAGTGGTTTGCAAGGACTTTTTCCTGCAAAGCTGGTCAGAAGCCCCCAGCGGCAGCCTGGTCCCCTGAGCTGCGGATCTGAGGTGGCCGTTCCGGGTTTCGAACCAGGAGGATGTGTGAGTGTGAACGGCAGCCACTATCTGAATGGCACTGATTCCACAAATGAAGGATCAGGCCCAGAGAAATGAAGGAACTTTCCCAATGATGAGTGGAGGATTTAGGACTCAAATGCAAATTTTTCTGCTATGCCAAGGAGTCAGGAGTCCCGAATGTACTTGTCCCATGAAAACAAGCCTGTGCTATTTGGAGTCAGCTCCAAGAACTTGCCCTTTGACCACTGATATCTGACACAAATTGTCCCATTTCTAAATGGTGGGCACTGTACTAAGCCCTCACATGCATTAATGTCATTTTATCCTCACAACAAGTCTATGAAGCAGGTACCGCTGTTCACAACCATTTTACAGAAAAGGAACCAAGGCTCAGAAAGGTTAAGTAACTTCCCCAGAGGTCCACAGCTGATAAGTGGTGAAGCTGGGCTTTCAGATTCAGGCTGTCCTTCTACCCCTGACATATTTAAACCATGTGTAGGTGATTTATTCAGTGGTTGCGTTCACATACAAGGGGGTGTGTCTGGAGAGATCAGTTGACATTGACCCCAGTGGCAGAGACTTGAGCTACACATGAGCAAAATATGAGTGAAGGTGAACCTTGTAAAGGTGATTGATTCTACAAGCTATCTGTGTGCAATCAGCCAAGTCATTTAACCCATTATTGATTAAGGAAATCTGGCTGGTGCACTAGACTCAAAATGGGTCTTTCTGCCTCTCTGATCTGCCTTTGAACTCTGCCAGACACTGAGCATGTGAAAAGATGCTCAGCCTCACTAATAATAATAAAAAGGGCAAATTAAAACAAGAGACAGGTTTCTCCCAATCCAATTAGCCAAGACTAAAAATGAACAATAATGTCTGGTCAAGAATGTCATGTATATTAGGAAACAAGCTCACACCCACTTGGTGAGTCTAATTGGGTACAACCTTCCTGGAAAACCACCCAGAATATGTTTCAGAATTTTAAATGTATACACCTTTGGACTCCATGATTCCTATTCTGAAAATGTATCATAAGTACACAAAGATATATGTCCAAGAACATTGCAGTATAGTTTATAATAGCAACCAAAAGAGAAAAAGAAGCAACCTAAAATTCCATCAACAGGAGGCTAGTTAACAAAAGTACTGTCCAGTCATAAAATGAAACATCACACAGTCTTTAAAGAGGATAACGTAAGGGCAGGTGTGGTGGCACATGCCTGTAGTCCCACCTACTTGGGAGGCTGAGGCAGGAGGATTGCTTGAGTCCAGGAGTTTGAGACAAGCCTGAGCAACATAGGGAGACCCTGTCTCTACAAAAATGAAAAAAATAGCTAGGCGTGGTGGTGCATGCCTGTGGTCCCAGGATCACTTGAGCCTGGGAGGTTGAGGCTGCAGTGATTCCACCACTGCACTCCAGCCTCAGCCTGGTCAATAGAGCAAGACTCTGTCTCCAAAAGAAAAAAAAAGAATAATGTTGATTTCTATGTCTTTCCAGGAAAAGATATTATAAAGATGGAAATGTCATTTATAAAATAGTATACATAATACAAACCAATTCACGTATGTAAGTACAATTATGTGCATGGATTGGATCATAGATACATTTTACGTATACATGTATGTAAATATTTATGAAGCACAAAATCCTATAGGATGTACACTTAACTTCTCACAATTGCTGTTCTTGTGGGTTGGAGGTGGGAGGGGCAGGTGGATTTCACTTGCTACTTTTTTTGCATTTTTATACCAATCATGAATTAACAGAAAATATATTTCTACAGGGAGCAAGGATAAGGGGAATCCCAACAGAGTCACCTCACTCCAACTGGGTCTTTGAGGCACCTCCCAAGGCCAATATTGCATGGTTTTAAGATGAAGTCCACATAGACAGTGAATTCGGTGTCCCCCTCACATTATGGGATGTTCTGTTTGATGACAACATTGACTCTATTCATCCCTGCTCAGGCCTTTCAGGTCAGCATTTAGTGTATTATGTGGTAGTGACCAGTGTTATGTCTTCCTCCTGGACCAGCCTGTGGACATCTTAAGGGCTGAGAGAGCATCTTATTCATGCCCACACCCTCATATCCATCACAGGACTTCATGTAGAGGCAGTGAGCATTTCATTCATCAGGGAAATATTTCATGAACACCTACAACAAGCCAGCCCTGTGCCAGTGCTGGAGAGCTGTGGGTAAACAGAACAGATCCGGGCTTACATCCTGAAGGTTGCCGTCCTGCTGGAATTTGTTGAATAACTAAATGACTCACAAGCAAGGGACCAGTGAGATGAACAGACTCAAAGGATTGGGGGAGCTGACCTAGTGACCTTGTGAGCCAATACACAAGAACATTAGCCTGGAGCAAACAGACCAACCTTGTTCCAGGGAAGTAGTTTTCGCTTTTTTTTTTTTCTTTGGCAGTGGAATGTCTTCTCAATAAACAAAAGAGGTAACGGTGATATTATTATAAGCTGATTTTATAAGTTTAATTTAAAGCATTTACTGATCATACAATCAAGATAATTTTAGTTGACAAAAAACATTTGGGATACCTGAGTGGAGGTAGTATTTTTACTAGATGTTTAATACTTGAAAGATATAATAAAAATTAAATTCAAATAAAATGTTTGCAGAACCCTGGTTTAAAAACCACTGTTCTGGGCCAGGCGCATTGGCTCACGCTTGTAATCCCAGCACTTTGGGAGGCTAAGGCGGGTGGATCATGAGCTCAGGAGTTCGAGACCAGCCTGACCAACATGATGAAACCCCATCTCTACTGAAAATACAAAAATTAGCCAGGCGTGGTGGCGCACGCCTGTAATCCTAGCTACTCAAGAGGCTAAGGCAGGAGAATCACTTGAACCCGGGAGGCGGAGGTTGCAGTGAGCCGAGATCGTGCCATTGTACTCCAGCCTGGGCAACGGAGTGAGACTCCATCTCAAAAAAAAAAAAAAAACACCACTGTTCTGGAAGTAAAAATGTTGCTTTTGTTGTTTTGTTTTCAGTAATAAACAGAATGGTTCAAATTTTAAACTCTCTTAAGTATTTTTCATCTGTTCATTCAACCAGTAGCTATTAAGCACATTCAATGGGTCACGAGCTCTTATAGTGAATTCAATATTAATTGCCTCAAAGATCACAAGGAACCAGGAGATTAAGGGAGGGTGGTGGTGGAGTCAGGGGAACAGCCATAATAGGTAGGTAGATAGGTAGATAGATGGATGGACGGACGACGCATGGTTGGATAGATGGTGTGATCAGCTGAATAACAGCTCCCCAAGATGTCCACATCCTAATCCTCAGTATTTGTGAATATATGTTATCAGGCAAAGGGACTCTGCATATGTGATTAAGCTAAGGATCTTGAGTTGGGGGGACGATCCTGGATTAGCCAGTGGGCCCAATGTCATCACAAGGATCCTTATCAATGAAAGAGGGAGGCAGGAGAGTCAGAGAAGGAGACATGGGGATGACTGTGGAGGTCAGAGTCAGAGAGATGTGTGAAGATGTTACAGAGCTGCCTTTGAAGACGGAAGAGGACCATCAGCCAAGGAATGTGGGCAGCTGCAGAAGCTGGAAAAGGCAAGGAAACAGATTGCTAGAGCCCCCAGACAGAATGCACCCCTACAGACTCCTCGATTTGGGGATTTCCAGCATTCAGAACTGTCAGATAACACATTTGTGTCGTTTTAAGCTACTAAGTTTATGTGATTTGTTATAGCAGCAATAGAAAACTAATATAAATGAGAGAGAGAGACAGAGAGAGAGATGATAGATAAGCTTATGTGATTTGTTATAGCAGCAATAGGAAACATAGATAGATGAATAGATAGATGGATAGATAGATTAGATACAGAATAGATAGATAGATGGATAGATTAGATATAGAATAGATAGATAGATAGATAGATAGATAGATAGATAGATAGATAGATAGATAGATAGACAGATAAACAAACTTGTCTTTGGCTTCTTAAAATTGATTCTTATTAAAATCCTATCCTGAGTAATTTTTGCCTGTGATGGGGCAGAGCCCCACGCACATAGGAGCTCAGCGAACATGCTGTATGAATGAAATGGTCTCACTAAGCTCCCCCTCCCTTTCCTGAGCCTAGAAGTTGTTCCCTTAAGGGAATTCTAGGACTCAGTTGTCCTACGATCAGGATCACCTGCTCCCTGAATCTGCTTTCTGAGTACAGACCACGTCTAGTCTTCAGGTCCTTGGGTGGCAAATGAATGGGGCAATGGGGGTCTCCTGCTGCAGGTGTGTTCCAAGCTAGAACACTTTTGGAGGGCAGGGTCTATTCAGATTCTAACATTCCTTTTAAACTTGCAACTACAAGTCTAGGATGTGAATTTTACCCATGCAAGTCCCCAGAGATGTTCATTGCTGTATTGCTTAGAATCGTTAAAAATTGGAACCAACCTAAATGTCCATTAGCCAGGAACTGATTCAAATTAACCAAAGATATCCATAAAGTTGGATCCTGGCAGGCCACTAAAGTGAATGAATTGGATCTTTATGTTACTGACATGTAAATATGTCCATAACATTAATTGAGGGGTTGCAGGGGAAAACCTTACAAGCACATGTAACACAAGAGCCTATTTGTGTAAAACTATACAAGTTTAGGTTTACATATGTCAAAAAGTTCTCCCAAGGTATATGTCAAAACTTTAACAGTAGTAAGTTTTCAAGAATGAACATATGTATTCCTGTACAGTATTCCTGCACTGTTTGACTTTCTATAATAATCAAATTGTAATATGATGTAATCAGAGTGGGGGAAATGACTATTTGAAAATTCTGGTCTGGCTGTCAGTGGCAGGCTGAGCAGGAATAAGGGGTGACCAGTTCTCAGCCGAGGTGACCACACGGCCACACTGACCCAGAAACTTGACCCAGAGACTCCTGAATCTTGAGCCCCTGGGCCCCCTAAGACTCTACACCCAGAGGAAGAGGAAATGGCACATACTGGCGTCACTCACGGTCTCTAAGAATCTGAAAATCAGTGACCCCTGCAGGAGGCCAGTAGCCTGAACCCAGGGCAATGCTGTGTCCCAGGAAGGCTCTGGGTTTGGAGTCCCATGGACTAGGGCTAAAAGCCATCTCCACCACTTGACAGCCAGGTGACCGGGCTCTCCAAGCCTCTGTTTCCTCATCTGTACGATGGAGGAAGATTCTTGCCTCACAGGGATGTTGTGAAGACAGACCGCACATGCCCCTGGTGCATAGTAGGGCCAACTTCCCTCCCGCTCCCGTGACCCCTGTACCTGCAGCCCAGGTCGGCCCAGCGCTGGGCGCAGCGCCTGGCAATGCGGGCCCGCGGGATCCGAGGACACGGTGAGGCTAGGGGCCCTGGGGCCAGCCTCTCCATCTGGGCGGCGGGGAGGAGGGCAGGCTCGGCCATGGGCTGGCACCTCGAGGATCCCGGTCGGTCGTGGTGCTGCCGCCGTGGGGCTGACTCGATCGGCAATGTGAGAGGGAGGAGTGAGGTAGGGCCCCCGTGGCGCACCCAGTTCCCAGACACCCTCATGCAGGACTAATGTTCAGCCTCCTCCTGGGGCGGGGCTGGCTTGGCCGGGGCCACCTACAGGCAGGCACTCGCCGCACACACACACACCACTGAGTCCCACCCGCCTGCACTGGAACTGCGAGGTGGAAACGGCGCCTTTCAAAAACTGTCATGAAATATGATTTGCATGGCCACTATTATTACCTACAGCCATCCCGATTTCAGAGTAAAACCACATGAATAAAGCACCTGGCTACTATGGGTGGAAGAACGTGCTCACGACCCAGGGGTTTTTATCTGGCTGGGCTATTCCCTCTGAGGCTTCTCTGAGCCTCGGTTTCCTCCTCTGTGAAATGGGGATGGTGACATTTGCCAGGAGACAGGAAAAAAGCAAGCAGGAAGATGTCAGGGTGTAAAGAGAGCAGGACCTGGGCACGGGGGCGGGAGGATAGGAAGGGAGCAGGAAATGGGAGTGGCAAAGTGAGGGGGCGTCCGGAGAGCCTCCCGGGATTGGTCTTTTGGCTGGGATGTAAAGGAGGAGGAACTAGCTGGGGAAAGGCTGGGTAAGGGGAAAACCCAGGGAATTTAACCCCCTCTTCTGTAAAATGAGAACTCATTCATTCACTTAGCAAATCTTTATGGAGCTCTGTAGGGGCCCTGGGGGAAGGCGACCAGAGTGTCTGAAAGCAAAGAGCAGGAGAGTGTGGACTCAGCTGAGAGGAGAGCAGAGGCTGAGTGTCAGGGTGGGGAGTGGGAAGGGGTTTCCAGGTGCCAACAAGGACACAAGCCAAGGTGTTGCAGTAGGGCATTTGGGGAACGTATGAGAAGCGCTCCTGCCAGCTTCCCTGGCGGTGTCCTATTCCCTGCATCCATTTTGGACCATGAGCCCCTTCTCTTGCCCTCTGGCCAGGACTGAATGCCATAGACTTCCCCAGATTGCCCGGGCCCGCCCTGCCCTCCTCTAAGCCTCCGGGTGTCAGTGAATCTTTCCAGGAAGCATATTCACCTGTACTCCAAGAAGAGAGGCCCCAGAGTCCTCATCAAGGAGGGCCCCCAAGTCTATGGGTCCCCACAGTCTGAAGCTCTGTTCTGGCCTTAGGGAGGCAAGAAATGGGCCCCAAGAAACTGAAAACAGGGCCCCACGGGAGCCATAGAGCCCAGGAGCATGCATGGTTCTGGCATTAAAGACGGGAAAGGCCTCGCAACACAAAGGGTCCTGAAAAACCCCAAGTTTCAGGTGGCTGTCACTGGCTGGAACCTGCAGACCAGGGCTGTGCAGAAGACCACCCATCCACTTCTCCTGAGCCTCCTCCTGAGGAGGAGACAAGGGAACCATGCCACTGTGAGGCCAAGGAGCTGGGGTCCAATATGTAGGTGAATTGTCAGCCGAAGTGGGTGCAGAACTACTTTGGGAGCCATAGGGAGTTTTGGGTGGGAAACATGGTAGGTGCTTAATAAAGGTTGGGTGGATGGATGGATAGATGGATGCATAGATAGATGGAAGAAAGAATGAAAGATTGGTTGGGAAAATGGGGGATGAGAGAAGGGATGAATGGGAAGGCAATTGAATAAGAGGTTGATGGTTGGTTTGATGGGTGGATGGATGGATGGATGGATGGATGGATGGATGGGTAGGTGGATGGGTAGGTGGAAGAGTGAATGGCTGTGGGCATGAATATGTGAGAGCATGAGTGAATGAATGAATCAGTGAGCCATTAGGTGAATGGGGGGAAGAGTAAATGAGTGAATGAATGAATAAATGCTTGAGTGAGTAAACAAGTTAGTACCTGGGTAAATGAACTTCTAGTCCAGACTGAAAACATAGTTCATTGTTACCTTCCTTAGGTGCAAGGAACCTTTCAGAAGAAAGCAGGAAGGAAGAGAGAGTGGCCTGAATCTTGGATGACCACACTTTCAAGCCTCTGTAAGGAAGTGCCCTCTTCGCTTCCGGGAGAGCCGCGCGTATACTCAGAATGAAGCCTGGAGAAGTGAGTGTACCCACGCTCAGGGCAACATTCCTCACCCCCGGCTGAGCCCTGTCCCAGCCCCCCACCTGCAGTATCGGCCAGGCCGGTTAGGTCACAGTGGAGTGGCTCAGACCTGTTGGCCCTGCACCCTGGCAGCTCGCCAGCACCTCCCCAGGCAGCCTGCCATCAGCTAGGCCTCTCACTATCGCAGAGACTCATTCCAGGTCCCTCAGACCCAGAAAGCCCCCCAGGGCCTGTGTGCTGTGTGCTCAGCATTTCCTCCCTGGCTTTCTGCCCCTCCAAGCAGCCCCCACTCCACACTACAGCACAGTCCTATGTAGTGTGATGAGGTGGAGCCTCATAGGCTTCAGGCTGATCCTCAGCTCTGCCACTTAGGCTGTGTGACTTCAGGCAAATGCCTTAACCTCTCTCAGTCACAGCTTCCACATCATTTAAATGAAAACCTTGCCTGGCTTGAGGGGTGGTTGTGAGGATTTGGTGGGATAATACACATCAAGCACTTAAATGGGGCCTGGCACACAATGTACATAGAGCATCTAATTTCCAGGTGCTCAGCTTCTTCCTTTTTCTTTTCTGAGACTGGCTCTCACTGTATCACCCAGGCTGGTGTGCAGTGGTGTGATCACAGCTCACTGCAGCCTTGACCTCCTAGGCTCAAGCGATCCTCCAGCCTCAGTCTCTGGATGGAGCTAGGATTTACTAGGCGTGTGCCACCACACTCAGCCATTTTTATTTATTGTTTTGTAGAGACAGGGGTCTCACTATGTTGCCCAGGCTGGTCTCAAACTCCTGGCTTCAAGTGATGCTTCCACCTCCGCTTCCTAAAGTGCTGGGATTACAGGCATGAGCTACCATGCCCAGCCAATTTTTTCTTTCAAAAGTAATTTATGGAATGAAGTGCCAGCCAAGCACTGTGATCACAGCTTTACATGCATTACCACATTCAATCCTCATGATAAACTCTCAAGAGAGTGTTATGGGTTCAAGTGTCCTACCAAAAACATATGAAAAACATGTGAATGCCTAAGCCCCAGTAGCTCTGAATGTGACTGTCAGGCCTCTGAGCCCAAGCTTAGCCATCATATCCCCTGTGACCTGCACGTACACATCCAGATGGCTGGTTCCTGCCTTAACTGATGACATTCCACCACAAAAGAAGTGAAAATGGCCTGTTCCTGCCTTAACTGATGATATTATCTTGTGAAATTCCTTCTCCGGGCTCATCCTGGCTCAAAAGCTCCCCTACTGAGCACCTTGTGACTCCCACTCCTGCCCGCCAGAGAACAACCCCCCTTTGACTGTAATTTTCCTTTACCTACCCAAATCTTATAAAACGGCCCCACCCCTATCTCCCTTTGCTGACTCTCTTTTCGGATTCAGCCTGCCTGCATCCAGGTGAAATAAACAGCCTTGTTGCTCACACAAAGCCTGTTTGGTGGTCTCTTCACATGGATGCACATGAAATTTGGTGCCATGACTAGGATCAGGGGACCTCCCTTGGGAGATCAATCCCCTTTCCTCCTGCTCTTTGCTCCGTGAAAAAGATCCACCTATGACCTCGGGTCCTCAGACCCACCAGCCCAAGGAACATCTCACCAATTTTAAATCCGCTAAGCAGCCTGTTTTTACTCTCTTCTCCAACCTCCCTCACTATCCCTCAACCTCTTTCTCCATTCAATCTTGGCACCACACTTCAATCTCTCCCTTCTCTTAATTTCAATTCCTTTCATTTTCTGGTAGAGACAAAGGAGACACGTTTTATCCATGGACCCAAAATCCCGGCACCGGTCATGGACTCGGGAAGGCAGCCTTCCTTTGGTGTTTAATCATTGCAGGGATGCCTCTCTGATCATTCACCCACATTTCAGAGGTGTCTGACCACACAGGGACACCTGCCTTGGTCCTTCACTCTTAGCAGCAAGTACCACTTTTCTGGGGTACAAGAATCCCCCAACTCCCTCTCTCCGTGTTCTACCCCTTCTTTGCTTTTCTGGGGGGCAAGAACCCCCCGATCCCTTATTTCCACGCCCTGACCTCTTATCTCTGTGCCCCGATCCCTTATTTCCATACCCCGACCTCTTATCTCTGTGCCCCGATCCCTTATTTCCATGCCCCAATCCCTTATTTCTGTGCCCCAACCTCTTGTCTCTGTGCCCCAACCCCTTATTTCTGCGCGCTGACCCCTTTCCCGCTTTTCTGGAAGGTAAGAACCCCCGAACCCCTTCCCTCCATGTCTCTACTCTCTCTTTTCTCTAGGCTTGCCTCCTTCACTATAGGCAAACTTCCACCCTCCATTCCTCCTTCTTCTCCCTTAGCCTGTGTTCTTAAAAACCTAAAACCTCTTCAACTCACACCTGACCTAAAACCTAAATGCCTTATCTTCTTCTGCAACACTGCTTGGCCCCGATACAAACTTGACAATAGCTCTAAATGGCCAGAAAATGGCACTTTCAATTTCTCCATCCTACAAGACCTAAATAATTTTTGTTGAAAAATAGGCAAATGGTCCCAGGTGCCTTACATCCAGACATTTTTCACACTTCGTTCCCTCCCTAGTCTCTGTTCCCAATGCGATTCCTCCCAAATCCTCCTTCTTTCCCTCCCGCCTGTCCCCTCAGTCCCAACCCCAAGTGTCGCTGAGTCTTTCCAGTCTTCCTTTTCTACAGATTCATCTGACTCTTCCCCTCCTCCCCAGGCTGCTCGTCGCCAGGCCGAGCTAAGTCCCAATTCTTCCTCAGCCTCCACTCCTCCACCCTATAATCCTTCTACCACCTCCCTTCCTCATACCCGGTCCGGCTTACAGTTTAGTTCCGCTCTTCCCCACCTACCCACAATTTCCTCTTAGAGAGATGGCTGGAGCTGAAGGCATAGTCAGGGTACATGTACCTTTTTCTCTGTCAGACCTCTCTCAGATCAGCCAGCATTTAGGCTCTTTCTCATCAGACCCCACTAAACATATACAGGAATTCCAATATCTAACTCTGTCCTACAGTTTAACCTGGAGTGACTGAAATGTCATCCTGACTTCTACCCTCTCCCCAGATGAACGGGAAAGAGTTTTTTCTCTAGCCCAATCTCACGCTGATAACCGCCGGCTTCATGAACTTGACCTCCAGGAAGGCAGTAGAGCAGTTCCCCGAGAGGACCCCCAATGGAACTATCAGGCAGATTCCCCAGGTACAGCTAGGCGAGATTACATGATTTCCTGCCTAGTTGAAGGGCTTAAAAAGGCAGCTTACAAAGCTGGTAATTCTGACAAACTTAGAGAAACTACCCGAGGTAAAGACGAAAACCCAGCCCAGGTCATGGCCCGCTTGGCAGCGACCCTTACACGCTTTACCGCCCTAGACCCAGAGGGGCCAGAAGGCCGCCTTATTCTTAATATGCATTTTATCACCCAATCCACTCCTGACATTAGGAAAAAACTTCAAAAATTAGAATCTGGCCCTCAAACCCCACAACAGGAATTCATCAACCTCGCCTTCAAGGTGTACAGTAATAGAGAGGAAGCAGCCAGACGGCAACGCATGTCTGAGTTACAATTACTTGCCTCTGCTGTGAGACAAAACCCAGCCACACCTCCAGCACACAAGAACTTCAAAATGCCTAAGCCGCACACACCTAAGCCGCAGCAGTCAAGCATTCCTACAAGACTTCCTCCATCAGGATCTTGCTTCAAGTGCCAGAAATCCGGCCACTGGGCCAAGGAATGCCCGCAGCCCAGGATTTCTCCCAAGCCATGTCCCATCTGTGGAAGGACCCACTGGAAGGCAGACTGCCCAGCTCGCCCGGCAGCCACTCCTAGAGCCCCTAAAGCTCTAGCCCAAGGCTGTCTGACTGACTCCTTCTCAGATCTGCTCGGCTTAGCGACTGAAGATTGACGCTGCCCGATCGCCTCGGAAGCCCCCCGGACCATCATGGACGCCGAGCTTCAGGTAACTCTCACAGTGGAGGGTAAGTCCATCCCCTGTTTAATCGATACGGGGGCTACCCACTCCACGTTACCTTCTTTTCAAGGGCCTGTTTCCCTTGCCCTGATAACTGCTGTAACTATTGACGGCCAAGCTTCAAAACCCCTGAAAACTCTCCCACTCTGGTGCCAACTTAGACAACACTCTTTTATGCATTCTTTTTTAGTTATCCCCACCTGCCCAGTTCCCTTATTAGGCCGAGATATTTTAACCAAATTATCTGCTTCCCTGACTATTCCTGGACTACAGCCACATCTCATTGCTGCCCTTCTCCCCAACCCAAAGCCTCCTTTGTGTCTTCCTCTCGTATGCCCCCACCTTAGCCCACAAGTATAGGACATCTCTACTCCTTCCCTGGCAACCAATCACATGCCCATTACTCTCCCATTAAAACCTAATCATCCTTACCCCGCTCAACGCCAATATCCCATCCCACAGCACGCTTTAAAAGGATTAAAGCCTGTTATCACTCGCCTGCTACAGCATGGGCTTCTAAAACCTATAAACTCTCCTTACAATTCCCCCATTTTACCTGTCCAAAAACCACACAAGCCTTACAGATTAGTTCAGGATCTGAGCCTTATCAACCAAATTGTTTTGCCTATCCGCCCTGTGGTGCCCAACCTGTACACTCTTTTGTTCTCAATACCTTCCTCCACAACTCACTATTCTGTTCTTGATCTTAAAGATGCTTTTTTCACTATTCCCCTACACCCCTCATCCCAGCCTCTCTTTGCTTTCACCTGGACTGACCCTGACACCCATCAGTCCCAGCAGCTTACCTGGGCTGTGCTGCCGCAAGGTTTCAGGGATAGCCCTCATTACTTCAGCCAAGCTTTCTCATGATTTACTTTCTTTCCACCCCTCCGCTTCTCACCTTATTCAATATATTGATGAGCTTCTTCTTTGTTGCCCCTCTTTTGAATCTTCTCAACAAGACACACTTCTGCTCCTTCAGCATTTATTCTCCAAAGGATACCAAGTATCCCCCTTCAAAGCTCAAATTTCTTCTCCATCCGTTACCTACCTCAGCATAATTCTTCATAAAAACACATGTGCTCTCCCTGCCGATCGTGTCTGACTGATCTCTCAAACCCCAACCCCTTCTACAAAACAACAACTCCTTTCCTTCCTGGGCATGGTTAGATACTTTCGCCTTTGGATACCTGGTTTTGCCATCCTAAAAAAACCATTATATAAACTCACAAAAGGAAACCTAGCTGACTCCATAAATCCTAAATCCTTTCCCCACACCTCTTTCCATTCCTTGAAGACAGCTTTAGAGACTGCCCCCACCCTAGCTCTCCCTGACTTATCCCAGCCCTTTTCATTACACACAGCCGAAGTGCAAGGCTGTGCAGTCAGAATTCTTACACAACGACCGGGATCGCGCCCTGTAGCCCTTTTGTCCAAACAACTTGACCTTACTGTTTTAGGCTGGCCATCACGTCTCCGTGCAGCGGCTGCTGCCGCCCTAATACTTTTAGAGGCCCTTAAAATACAAACTATGCTCAACTCACTCTCTACAGCTCTCATAATTTCCAAAATCTGTTTTCTTCCTCACACCTGACGCATATACTGTCTGCTCCGCGGCTCCTTCAGCTGTACTCACTCTTTGTTGAGTCTCCCACAATTACCATTGTTCCTGGCCCGGACTTCAATCTGGCCTCCCACATTATTACTGATACCACACCTGACCCTCATGACTGCATCTCTCTGATCCACCTGACGTTCACCCCATTTCCCCACATTTCCTTCTTCCCTGTTTCTCACCCTGATCATACTTGGTTTATTGATGGCAGTTCCACCAGGCCTAATCGCCACACACCAGCGAAGGCAGGCTATGCTATAGTACAAGCCACTAGCCCGCCTCTTAGAACCTCTCATTTCCTTTCCATCGTGGAAATCTATCCTCAAGGAAATAACTTCTCAGTGTTCCATCTGCTATTCTACTACTCCTCAGGGATTATTCAGGCCCCCTCCCTTCCCTACACATCAAGCTCAGGGATTTGCCCCAAGTCAGAAAACTAAAATACCTCTTAGTCTAGGTAGACACTTTCACTGGATAGGTAGAGGCCTTTCCCACAGGGTCTGAGAAGGTCACTGCGGTCATTTCTTCCCTTCTGTCAGACATAATTCCTCTGTTTGGCCTTCCCACCTGTATACAGTCCGATAGCAGACCGGCCTTTATTAGTCAAATCAGCCAAGCATTTTTTCAGGCTCTTAGTATTCAGTGAAACCTTTATATCCCTTAAGGTCCTCAGTCTTCAGGAAAAGTAGAACGGACTAATAGTCTTAAAAACACACCTCACCAAGCTCAGCCACCAACTTAAAAAGGACTGGACAATACTTTTACCACTTTCCCTTCTCAGAATTCAGGCCTGTCCTCGGAATGCTACAGGGTACAGCCCATTTGAGCTTCTGCATGGACGCTCCTTTTTATTAGGCCCCAGTCTCATTCCAGACACCAGACCAACTTGGACTGTGCCCCAAAAAACTTGTCATCCCTACTATCTAGTCATACTCCTATTCACTGTTCTCAACTACTCATACATGCCCTGCTCTTGTTTACACTGCCAGTTTACACTGTTTCTTCAAGCCATCACAGCTGATATCTCCTGGTGCTATCCCCAAACCGCCACTCTTAACTCTTAAAGTAAATAAATAATCTTTGCTGGCAAGGCTATACTGAACCTCCTTAGGCACTCTCTAATTAGATGTCCTAGGTCCTCCCAATTCTTAGTCCTTTAATACCTGTTTTTTTCCTTCTCTTATTCCGTTTAGTTTTTCAATTCATGCAATAATTCTAAATGACAATTCAGGCCATCATCAATAATTCTAAATGACAAATGTTTCTTCTAACAACCCCACAATATCACCCCTTACCACAAAATCTTTCTTCAGCTTAATCTCTCTCACTCTAGGTTCCCACGCCGCCCCTAATCCCGCTCGAAGCAGCCCTGAGAAACATCACCCATTATTATCTCTCCATACCACCCCCCAAAAATTTTCACCGTCCCAACACTATACCACTATTTCCTTTTATTTTTCTTATTAATATAAGAAGACAGGAATGTCAGGCCTCTGAGCCCAAGCTAAGCCATCATATCCCCTGTGACCTGCATGTACACATCCAGATGGCCTGTTCCTGCCTTAACTGATGACATTCCACCACAAAAGAAGTGAAAATGGCCTGTTCCTGCCTTAACTGATGACATTATCTTGTGAAATTCCTTCTGACTCATCCTGGCTCAAAAATTCCCCTACTGAGCACCTTGTGACCCCCACTCCTGCCCGCCAGAGAACAACCCCCCTTTGACTGTAATTTTCCTTTACCTACCCAAATCTTATAAAACGGCCCCACCCCCATCTCCCTTTGCTGACTCTCCTTTCGGACTCAGCCCACCTGCACCCAGGTGAAATAAACAGCCCTGTTGCTCACACAAAGGCTGTTTGGTGGTCTCTTCACATGGACGCGCATGAAAGTGACTTTATTTGGAAATAGGGTTTTGACAGAGATAATCAAGTTAAAATGTGGTTGGTAGGGTGGGCCCTAACCCAATAAGACTGGTGTCCCTCTGAAAGGGGAAAATCGGTCCCCGACACAGGTGTGCATATCAAGAAGATGATGGGAAGACACACAGTGGGGACACTATGTGAGGGCAGAGGCCGCAGCTGGGTGATGCTGCCACAAGCTGAGGCACATTGGAGCCACCAGAACCTGTGAAAGGCAAGGAAGGCTCCTTCCTCTGCAGGGTTTGGAGGGAGCCTGGCAATGCCAGTACCATAACTGTGGACTTCTAGCCCCCAGAAGTAAGAGCCCACACGCTTCTGTTGTTCTAAACCACCCAGCTTGTGACACTCTGTCATGGGAGCTCCTGGAAGCAAATGCAGAGGGGATTGGCCGTTTTGCAGACGATGACACTGAGGCTGAATGGGATGGTGATGGGCTTGCACTCGGGAGTCCAGGCCTGTGGCCCCAGGGTTAGGGGTAGAAAATAAGCCTGTGCCTAGAAGATATGCTGTGACAAGGGGTGTGGCTTTCAATGAGATGCACCGACAGTCAGATACACCCTGCTTTGCTGATGCCCCTGCGGTGCTCCCATGTCATGCTGGTGACTGTCCTCGCAGGGTCCCTGCGCCCCTCAGCCTGGGGAGACAGGTTTGCGGTCCCGAGTGCACCTGAGTTTCCTACAAACATCAACCGCACAGCCTTAAGCTCCATCATTCAGCTCTAGGAAGAGCCAGGGGCATCCCCGTGGATCTGGAGACACACATCCCAGTTAAGAGTCAGAAAAATGAGCCACTTCATGGCTGTGTGACTTTGGGCGAGTTGCTTAACCTCTCTGAATCTCAGTTTCCTCGTCTGAAAATGGAACCATGACGCGACTGAGAGGGCTGTTGTGAGGATCCAGTGGGATAATGCATGGGCACTCAGCCGTGGCTGCTACGTGGGGATGATGTCTCTCGGGAGCCTGTGACTAGAGTGTCATGGGATGTGTTTACCAGTCACATGCCCATCTCCTCTGTATGAGTGTGCATGTGTGCGTGTGTGTGTCTGTGTGTGCCAGAATGGGGACCTCGTCCACATCCGTAGAGGCCCGGGGTCTCAGCCCTCACCAAAGCAGGGAAGGCGTCTCCCCACACTCCCCACAATTGTTCTCCAGAGCTGTCACCTGCCCGGGGCCCTGAGGAGCGGCCTCATCTGCCTTCTGCCTCAAAGGTTCCAGGGGCATGGCAGATGCTCTCCCCAGACCCCAGTGCAGGGCCCACTGCACTCACTCTCCTCGGGGTTGCCTCCTCAGCAGGTGGGGCAAGAGGGCTGGGGGGCTCTGCTGGCTTTTCTAGGCCAGAAGGGAGGCTGAACAATGGCCCAGCAGCCCCTCACAGCACAGTGGGGCAGGGCCGAGTAAGCAATGCACAGAGACTCCACAGAACGGGGCATCTGGCAAAAATGCAGACAATGCCAGGCAGAGCTTCCACCACAGGGAGGAGTTGCCAACAGGGTTCATTCAACGCCACCCCTGCAGCTCCCAGGAAAACCCCGTGGTGACAAAAGCTCATCAGCTGGAGCAAGGCTTGTGTGGAGAAGGGAGGGTTGTGGGTGTGTGTGCGTGTGTGTGAGTGCGCGTGTCTATGGATGTGTGTCTAGCCCAGGTTTCCTTCTCATTCTCATTTCAAAGCCACAGCCTGATGGAAAACAAAATATTTAAATGTGTGAGAATACGTGTGTGCATGTGTGTCTGTGAGAGTGTGTGATAGTGTGTCTGTGTGTATAAGGTGGTGTGTGTATGTGTGTCTGTATGAGTGAGTGTATATGTGTGTGTGGGTATGAGTGTGACTGTGTGACAGTGTGTATATGTGAGTGTATGAGTGTGTGTGTGTGTCTGTGTGTGATAGTGTGCCTGTACGTGTGAGGGTGTTTGTGTCAGTGGATATGTGTGAGCATGTGTGTGAGTGTATGAGAGTGTGTGTGTCTGTGTGTGATAGCGTGTATGTGTGAGGGTGTCTGAGAGCATATGTGTGTGTATGCATGTGGATGTGGGTGTAGTGAGTGTATGTGTGAGGGTGTGAGTGTATATGTATGTGTGAGTGTATGAGTGTGTATGTGTGAGGGTGTGTGTGAGTGTATATGTATGTGAGTGTATGAGTGTGTGTGAGGGTTTGTGTCTGTGTGTGTGTATGTGTGTGTCTGTATGAGGGTGTGTGTCTGTGTATGTGTGTCTGTGTGACAGTGTGTGTCTATGAGGGTGTGTCTGTGTGACAGTGTGTGTATGTGTGTCTGTATGAGGGTGTGTGTCTGTGTGCATATGTGTGTCTGTATGAGGGTGTGTGTGTGTATGTGTGTCTGTATGAGGGTGTGTGTCTGTGTGTGTCTATGAGAGTGTGTGTATGAGGGTGTGTGTGAGTGTGTGATAATGCGTGTGTGTGTCTGTATGTAAGAGAGCATGTTGGGATTGCACAGCGGGGCAAAGGACTGGGGAAACAGGTACTTCTAATGTACCCTTGGGGCCACTTTTTGGTCGAGCAACTTAGTTTCTGCAAAATGTAAATGCATGTCTTATATTCAACAATTTCTCCTTTCAGAATGTGTTCTCTGGATAGAAGCACACTTGTGGGCAAGGATTTAGGTTCAAGAGTGTTCATTGTAGCCTGTGGGTAAGAATAGAAACCTCATCCAGCAAATTCAGTGGGGCTCAAATCCCAAAAGGTGGCTTTCTGCACCTGATGAGGAGCTCAGACTTTAGCCCACGGACAACGGAAAGCATGGAAGACGTGAAGCCAGGAAGGGACATGTCCCAATTTGTGCTTTGGGTGGATCACTCCAACAGGGCAGAAAGAGCAGAGACCAAGGCCAGGAGACCAAAGGCCAGGAGACAAGCTAAGATTTCAGGCTCAATTCTCTCTCCTTGGACATTTAGAAGTCGTGGTGGCTGGTGGGGTGTGGAGTGAGAGAGAAAGAAGGGATAAAGATGATGCCCAGTTGGTACCTTGGAGGGCCTGTCCCTTTATCCCCCCACCCCCATCATCCTGCAGCCTCTGGAAACTTACGCCTCCCACCATACCTCCCCCAGCACCCCACCTGGGGAAGAACTGGCACAGTGGAGTGGGACCTGGTTCTGGAGTCATGGAACCTGGGTTCAAATGCCAACTCTCCCAGTGTGACTCTGAGCAACTTACTAACTGCTCTGTGCCTGTTTCCCCATGTGTAAAACAGAGGTAACCAACCTACCTTGCAGAATTCTTACAAGGGCTAAAAGCAATCGTATGTATTTGTTTTTGTTTTTGTTTCTTTGAGACCGAGTCTCATTCTGTTGCCCAGGCTGGAGTGCAGTGGCACGATCTCAGCTCACTGCAACCTTCACCTCCCTGGTTCAAGCGATTCTTGTGCCTCAGTCTCCCGAGTAGCTGGGACTACGTGAGCCATCACACCTGGCTAATTTTTGTATTTTTAGTAGAGATGGGGTTTTTGTCATGTTGGCCAGGGTGGTTTCGAATTCCTGACCTCAAGTGATCCACCCGCTTTGGCCTCCCAAAGTACTGGGATTACAGGTGTGAGCCACCGTGCTCGGCCAGCAATCGTATGTATAAAGCACATAGAAAAGTGCCTGACGTGTAGTAAGCATTCACTAAATGTTGAGCTACTCCTATAGCTATTCCTGCTCCTACCAAACTAGGCACTTGGTAGACACTCTGCAGCTATTTATCAAATATTTGTTATTAAGATCAGCCTGAAGTCCAATCAAGGAGCGAATTTGAAATCAGAGAATGGAAGTTCAGAGCAAGCCCCCCATCCCCATTGAACAGATGGAAGAGGGTTGGGCATTCCCAAGAAGGTCCTAGATGGCTTGAATCAGGGCCAGGGCTGAGTCTCGGACCTACGCTGGTTGAATGAATGACTTGGTCAGGCCTGGTAGGTTTGTCAGGGGTCCCCCGGGTATGGGAAGACCCTTGCTTCTTTAATATGGACCCACACCCTCCGGCCCAGCCCTGCTTTAAGACCCCTCTGAATTAAATTGGCCAATTTCTCCCCATGGGCCTGCTCACTGCTCCCATGCCCTCCCAGACTTGAGCGGCTCCCTGCAGGGCTGGAGGTCATCTGTGATGCTGGAGAAGGGCTGGGACCTCTGGAGGCTTTCACATGTCGGTCTGAAGAGGAGATGAGTTGGGGGTTCCAGGGAGGCACCACAGTTGCCAAAGTCCTCTTGCCTCCCTGGCAAGTCTCTCCCATCCACTTCTGCCATTGCCACTGCCCTGCTGACTCCAGGAAAACCAAACTAGAAACAAAAGGAAGGTTGGGACTAGGGATGCCATTGGGATGAGAAAAAAGAGGTGGGTAAGGCCAGACGTGGTGGTTCATGCCTGTAATCCCAGCACTTTGGGAAGCCGAGGCAGGTGGATCATCTAAGGTCAGGAGTTCAAGACCAGCCTGACCAATATGGTGAAACCTTGTCTCTACTACAAATAGAAAAATTAGCCGGGCGTGATGGCATGTGCCTGTAATCCCAGCTACTCGGGAGGATAAGACAGGAGAATTGCTTGAACTGGGGAGGAAGAAGTTGCAGTAAACTGAGATTGCGCTACTGCACTCCAGCCTGGGGAACAGAGAAAGACTCCGTCTCAAAAAAAAAAAAAAAGGGAAAAAAGAAAGAAAGAGGTGGGTAAGTGATGGGGGTGGGAAGGGAAGGGCTATGCATAAATGGGATAGGGTTCTTGTGCAGCGTCCGAAAATCTTTTCTCATGCCACAAATTATATAAAAACAGATCAAGCTACATAATTCGCAGGGCCCAATAGCAAATTAACACGTGGGGCCCCTTGTTCAAAAATTAAGAATTTCAAGACAGCAATAGCCAAGCATGAAACCAAGCCTGGGACCTTGTGGGACTGCAGGTTACACACCTGTGGAGCTGGCCCCGTACACAAATCTCTGAGGGCATTCATAGGAGGAGTTTTCCTGGGAAAAGGGCCCTCAGTGGTCAAGGTGGGACCCAAAAGGCTAAAAAATCATTACAACTTAGGTTAAGTGAGGGGCCCTCCTTTTCACCACCTCCTCCCTCCACTCAGACAGGGTCGGGGGCTAGTGAACACACTGCATGAACCAACTTCAGAGTAGGGCAGAGAAAGGCGGACACGTGAGAGATGGAGATTAGAGTTGGGAGAGAGAGGCGAGAGGCTGGCTCCCGGGTTCGTGACTCGGGCAACAGAATCAATCCACAGTGGTGCTATTCATGGAGATGAAGAAAAGCTAGCAGAAGATCAGGGTGCTGTTTTGCTTGGCTGGGTGACAATGGGAATCAAGATTCCTATTCTAGGCATGAGAGGGTGTCAAGCAGACAGATAATAAAGCTTGGGAGGAGATTAGATGAGACACACACATTTTGGGGCCATTGGTATAGAGATGGCATCTAACCCCACTGGAATGGCTGAGGTCTCCTAGGAATTCAATGGGTGCAAGGGCCTTTGGGTACAGCATCTGATTGCCCTGACACCTCACATGAGAGTATGTGTGTGTGCCTCATTTGTAAATGGAGGTGAGAATCATATCCTCATCATAGGATTTCATAAGTAAGCTTGTGGAAGGGGAACGGTTCAGACAGGCCTTGGTACCTATTGAGCCCCCAAGGATACCAGCCATTGTAATAATAATAATAATAATATCATGTCATCCTTCCACAAACATGTATTGAGCCTCTAGCATGTGTCTGGCAGTATTTTGGGGCTTTGGATGCAGCCACGATCAAACGTGTTAGAAGGCGGTAAGTACTACAGTGAAAGGAAAGCAGAGCAGGGTAAGCAGCACGATGCGGAGGATAGGGTGGGGGCTTCAATATCGAATAGGGTGGCCAGTGGGACTCTGCTGAAAAAGTGACATTAGAGCAAGCCCTCAGAGGGGAGGGAGTGCCCCACGCAGACGTCTGAGGGAACAGCTGGCCAAAGACCATCAGGAAAGTGGTGGGGGGTGAGGCCCTAGGGTAAAGGGTAGGGGACCTTTGTAAAGGCTCCTTGTGGCACAGGGGGCTGGCCCTTTAACAGGGCAACACCAGGTCTCCCCCACAATGAAGCAGAAGGCTCTCACATGCTGGAGAGAACCCGTCATCCAGCATGGCCAGGGAGCATACCTCTAATATGGTGGAGGCAGCCTCTTGCCCACATAGCAGCTGCCCAAGGCTTTGGGTGGGCCTTGAGGCTCCCCCTGGCCCCTGGAAGGGCCTCACCTGGCACAGCAGGCTCACCAGCAGGGCCTCTCCTTCTCTTGGCCGTGGAGTGTCCCCTTCCAGCAAAACTCAGCTGGGCCTTTGCTCCAGGGCTCCCAATCCAAGCACACACTGGAGTCATTTTCCTCTGAATCTGTGGAGATACGAGGCAAGGCCTCTTGGATGGTCACATCCTGTCTCCTACCCCTGACCCAGGAAGGAGTCCCCTGCCAGGCCTGGGTATCCCTGCAGCCTTGCCTGAGGCTAGGGCCAAGGCAGAATCCTATGAGCCAGCCTTGAGGCCTCAGGAAGACTTCAGGGCCTTAAAGGGTGACCAGGGACCAAGAAAGAAGGCTGCTCCTGTGACTTGGAAAATGGCCGTATCTAGAGGGGAGGACACAGAGGTGAGCAAATGACATACTGTACTGGACATGGTCCAGGAAGAGGCAGTGAAGAGACACAGTTATTGACCCATCCAGGCCACTAGTCCACTAGTTCATTCATTAACAAACATCTGAGTACAAAGGCACAATGATCTCCACTGTAGCCCTGTTTTGTGATGAAACACGCACACACGAACAATAAAACACCTGGAAACTGTGTCCACGTCCACAGATCACGAGAGATCTGGGTGACTAAGCTGTGGGAGAGTCACACCACATGGAGACCCGGACCCTCCGTCTGATGGCTTGTCATGAAGCTGTTAAAATGTTTGCATCATATCTGTATCTTCTGACTTGCAGAATATCTACGGTATATTATAAGCAAATTAAAAAGAAATGTAGGATCTTTTTGTTTTGAAAAGCAAATGCTGCACCATTCCCCAATTTGTTTTGAAAACCTGCACACGTTAATGAGTTTGCTAACAGACTCATCTTGGGGAGGTAGGGTGAGAAAAAAAGAGGGATGGGGAAGATTATTTTTCTTACTAAACTCTTGCATTGTTTCACTAGTTGCAGAGAAGTAACAAAGGTTTTTGTACAATGGGCATAATATCAGCATCTTCTAGGATGAGGGTTAACCGAAGGCAGACATGTAAAACTCAGCACAGGACTTAGCACAGGCCTTCAACAGTGTTGGCAGTTAGTATGTCTTAAAAGTCAGTAGGGGCCGGGCACAGTGGCTCACGCCTGTAATCCCAGCACTTTGGGAGGCCAAGGCGGGTGACCATGAGATCAAGAGATCGAGACCATCCTGGCCAACATGGCGAAACCCCGTCTCTACTAAAAGTACAAAAATTAGCTGGGCGTGGTGGTGCGCACCTGTAGTCCCAGCTGCTCAGGAGGTTGAGGCAGGAGAATCGCTTGAACCAGGGAGTCGGAGGTTGCAGTGAGCCGAGATCGCGCCACTGCACTCCAACCTGGTGACAGAGCGAGACTCCGTCTCAAAAAAAAAAAAAGTCAGTAGGATAGCGTGAAGTGACTGTTCTTCACTAGAGAGAGTATTTTTTGAACATAGAGTATGTGCAAAGTGTTGTTACATTCATTTTCTCATCTGATCCTCTTAACACCTTCCTGAAGTCAATTACTAGTATTTTTTGTACTTTACAGATGAGGATGGTGAAATCACTTGTCCAGGCTCACAGCCAGGGAGTGGTGCTACTGGATGCAAATTCAGCCTCCCCACTCCACGGTTCCATTGGGTGTGTTTGGACTCAGAGGATTTAAAGGCAGCTTTGAATTGAACATCTTGCTCCAAGACCCACCATGAGGGGTTGTTGCGCCACTCTTCTGTTTCAGCCCCAAACCCATCTCTTTGGAGGTTTCCCTTCATCCTTCTGCAAACTCCTTTCAAATCGCAAAAGGAAAATGCCGGCAGCAGGGCATCTTCCCCTTGAAGGGTGTGTGTGGCTTCCTCCACCTTATGGCCATGTCATGGCCAGACAGTAGCACTGTCCCCACTGACCAGCTTCTGCAGGAGTTGAGCTGCCCATTATCATTTTTGCCTCAGTGCCAGTTTCATCAGGCAGCTCTCCTTTCCTCCCCATTTGCTCCTCCTTCGACTTGGGAAAGTGCATCCTGTCGGGTATTCCACGCTTAACCCTCTGTATTCTGAGGCCTGAAACTGCCCTGAGGAGCCAGCAGGAGTGTTGGGGGGTGGTGGGGAGGAGGCGGCAGAGCTACTCCTGTCTGCTTTTCAAACTGGATTTCAGGCAAACTGATTCCAATAAAGGGATCTGCAGCAGAATAGAAAACTGCAGGTCTGGGTGTCCTGACCCCTTAGCCCCCCAAACCCTGACATTGGGTCAGTTCCCAGCACAAGGGCAAAACACGCACAATAATACTGGGAGTTTTAGAAGACGGAGAACCTGAGGGAGGAATGCCCACCTCACTTTAAGGACGGTTTCTCTTCGTTGCAAAATTAACAAATGACTTATTTCAAAACGCCACATGACACCAGTAAACAGCCTCTCAGGAGAAAGTCTGCGGAGGGGTTGGAGTGGGGTAGGTTGTGGATGGTTTTGGAGTTGGGCCTCCAAGCAGAGTGAATGCTGGAGGAGACTCATGCTGCAGGCCTTGGCCTGGGTGGTAGGAGAAATGTCTCCTCTCTGGAGAAGGCATCCAAAGCCACACCACCTGCATTTCCTCCCACATTGACAAAACCAGCATTGGCTGGACTATTTTCTCAGCCTACAGGAACCTACGATGTGCCAGGTGTGTATGCGTACTGTGTGCCCTGCCCTGTAAGTACCCGATATGCATCGACCACTGAAGCCTGTCACAACCCCAAGGGGCAGGTACTAGTGTTGTCTCCATTTTGTAGATGAGAAAAGCAAGGCTCAGAGAGGTGTCCACAGTCATGCAGCTGGTAGGTGGCAGAGTCAGGATTTGAAGGCAGACAATTGGCTCTCTTAAGTAGTTCACAGATGTATGACCTTGGACAGGTTGCTTCTCCTCTCCTAGCCTCAGTTTCCCCAATTGTGATATTATTAAGTATTATTAAGCAGGGTTATTATGAGGATTACATAAGATTATGCAAGTCCAGTGTTTAGCACAAGGTCTGGTATATAGTCAGTGTTCCAAACAGGTTCACTATTATTAGGAACTATTAAGAAGCAAGGATGAGGCTGGGTGCGGTGGCTCATGCCTGTAATCCCATCACTTTGAGAGGCTGAGGCGGGTGGATCACCTGAGCTCAGGAGTTCGAGACCAGCCTGGCTAACATGGTGAAACCCCATCTCTACTAAAAATACAAAAATTAGACAGGTGTGATGGCGGGCACCTGTAATCCCCGCTACTTGGGAGGCTGAGGCAGGAGAATCGCTTGAAGCCAGGAGGCAGAGGTTGCAGTGAGCCGAGATTGTGCCACTGCACTCCAGCCTGGCTGACAAGAGTAAGACTCTGTTTCAAAAAATAAAAATAAAAAAAAAAGGATGATATCTGAACTCATATCTTCCAGACTCCAGAGAGACAACTTTTATCGCCAGTATGCAAACAAGGCTGACTCCCTACCAGCTGTGGGGCCCAATGCCTAAACCGTGCCCCTCAGGGAGGGCTGTGGTCTACCCTAGGACTATGAGGAGAATATACTTTAAATAAACACTTTCTAGAAACAAAAGGACATCCCAAGTTCTTGCCAGGAACTCCCAATAATTACATAATTATAAGCCCCTACATTTGAGATCATGGGGCTAGCAGGGGTGTGGGGAGGGACTTCTCACCCTGCCTCAACAACATCTGACCATTGCTGGCGGCATGTGCTGCGCCCTCCCTGCCTAGCTTGCCAAAGGTCATGGCACTCAGCAGCAGGAGGTAGGAGGTCAAGTGGTCCCCACGAAGAGGCCTTTTTTTGACACAGGGTCTCACTCTGTCTGCTGGAATACAGTGGTGTGATCTCGGCTCACTGCAGCCTCGACCTCCCAGGCTCAAGCAATTCTCCCACCTCAGCCTCCTCAGTAGCTGGGACCACAGATGCATGCCACCACACCTGGCTAATTTTTGTATTCCTTGTAGGGACGTTGCCCAGCCTGGTCTCAAACTCCTGGGCTCAAGCAACCTGGCCACCTTGGCTTCCCAAAGTGCTGGGATTACAGGTGTGAGCCACTGTGTCCAGCAGGAAGAGACCTCTTGCTGAAGGGGATGCTCAGGGAGACACATGCCAGAGGAGCAGAAGTCCCACTCCTGCCACACAGCCAGGCCATATCCTGATCCAGCCACCCCCAGCTTCCTCCACAGCCAGCTTCGTCCCACCTCTTGCTCCTCTTGGTGGCATGCTGAGGTCAGGGTGAATGTCAGCTGGCTTCCATGAGCCTGTCTCCCAAAGCAGCCAGATCCTTTCTGATACATGGCTTAGGCAGAAACAGTGAGTGGTCTGCAGGTATCTGAAAAATGCCTAAGGCTGCTGTATCCCATCGTGCAAGCTGTTTACTGCACAAAAGCAGCCAATTGAGAGGGTGAGCGGGGCTGAAATCCAGCCCACGCTCTGCTCACAGAGCCTTGCACCCCAGCTGAAAGGGGCACCTGGAAGTTCATCTGCCTGGAGCGATAACCTCTGATTTGTTCAAAAGATCACTCTCGAACTCTAGGTTCAAACTCTAGGACTCACTCTCAAACTCTAGGTTCAAACTCTAGGACTCACTCTCGAACTCTAGGTTCAAACTCTAGGACTCACTCTCGAACTCTAGGTTAAGAAACCCTAAACAACCAAACCAATCCTTTCCACTTAAGAGTTGACTGCTTGTATCTAAGCGAGCACTTAAAATGACTGAAGGAAGCCCCTTCTGCAGTTGTTTCAGGACACACTGGCCTATTTGGCCCCCTGCCTAGCTCCAGGATTAGGGTCCTGCCTGGACGGGGTAAGAAGCTCACCTTGGCTAAGTAAGAAGCGTAGCCAGATGATCAATAACAACAGCAAACCCACAGGGAGGCAGAACCAGAAAACCAGGAAAGAAAATGTGAGGTCGTTCACCAGCGGCATCAAAGGGTACTTCATGGCGCATGTGTGGCTAAGCTGGGCCAGCCTGGGCTGGGCTGGCAGGGCTGCCCCATGGGACCTGGCAGGCTGGGCCATGCTCTGCTCTCAGCCCAACTGTGACTAAGCTGTGACATAACAAAGAAGTCACAGTGTACTTCAGGCAAAGCATGCAGGGGACACTTTGAGGGAGAGCTGTTCTGGATGAAAGGGTGGGAAGTGAGGCAGTGAGACAGACAGTCTGGCTGAGAATTAAAAAGCCCAGGTTTCCAGGCAGGCCTGGGCTTGAATCTCAGTCCAGTAGCTATTGGGTTCATGACACCCCTCTGACCCTTTTTCTTGTAAGATGGAGATAATTCTGTTAAGTTAGAAAAATAGATGGGACAAAAATTACCCCCAGGATCGGTGTTCATATATCTGAAGTCACAGACCCCCTCCAGGAGCCAGCTGGGTCCCCAGGTCCTGTAATACCAGCTGTGGGTGCCCACGTCCACACTTGGTGGGGGTGCTGGGGACTGCGGCAAACTGGATGCAGCTTACTGCATCCTAAGCATGCAGTGATGGCAGCTCCAACCAATAACTGCTACAAGTGAAATGCAGGTCCATTATTGCAGGACTCCTAACTTTCCCAAGACAGGCAAAAAGTCTGGATTTCTGTGAAATCTCCCAAGTTTAAAATGTCGGATCAGACCTTGTCAAAGCACTGTTGGCTAAACAAAACGTCTGCCAGGCTGGATTGGTCACTGGGCTGCCACTGAAAACTTTTAAAATCTAACACATAGTAGATTATTCTAATTATTACTAGATTAAATGACTATAAATGATTATTACTTAATCTGAAAGCTTGTGCCTCTCCTTATTAGGGTTTTCAGTGAGGGGCTTCTAACGACTTGAATCTTGTTCCTTTATCTCCTGAGTGGCCAGAACACTTCCACATGTCATCCTCATCTTCTCCTATCTGTCATCCGTTCACTCATCAAGTATTCAGTAAACCTCCATGTGCCAGACCATGGCAGAAAGGAGGCTTCGGGCTTCCCACTGGAGTGGCTGCTGCATGGTATTCTCCAAGAGGACCCTTGGACCACCTGCCTGTGACTGCCAGCAGGTGGGTGGGTGCTGGAGTGTATTTATTAAACATGCCAATTCCCAGGCTCACCTTCGTCTCCTCAGACCTCTTGGGGGTGGGGGTGTGGCTTGGGATTCAACACACTGATAAGCAACTAGAATGATTCTGATGCAGGCTTGATTTTGAGACTACAGCATCTCATGACTTAAAAGCACCTGTTGAAAAGGCAAACCAGGTCCAGGCGGGGGAGCAGCTGCAGGAAGGGGGTGGTAAACTTAGGGAAAAACATGGAGTAGAAAACCCCCTTATAGGAAAAGACACCGATTCAAGGAGAAGGGCGCATGGGGCCAGCAACAGGAAAAAATAAGAGCATGGGAGGGGCTGGGAGAGCTGGGGCATGGTTTCAAGAGTCCTAGCCCAGCTGTGGGAAGGCCAGAATTCCTACAAGAGGAAGTCTGGGAAAATGGACTAGAATGAGTGTCCAAGAGGAGCAGTGCTCTGGCAGGGTGCTCCTGATGCAGGGCCCAGAGGCCAAGAGAAGGAGGAGCAGGTGGTCTGGGTTGGGGGTGATTCCCTGGAACTGGGTCCTGAAGGGGCTGCGGTCAGAGAGAGAGCTGAGCAGCATAGCTGGGAAAGGCTTGAGCACACATTTTTTTTCTGGCTACAAAACCTTTCCAGACACCAAAACAGGGCTACTGTGCAGTCAGCGTCTCTGGCCACTAGGCCCAGCTGGAGGTCCTGTTGTGCGTGGGCAGAGCAGGCAGAACACACAGTGCAAGGTAGGCAGCTCCCAGGCACAGTTCAGAGGGCACACGTCAGCAGCTCTTGGCAGAGGCATGGCCACAATGGTTCTCATGATTGTTTCAAGTGGTCCATTCACTCCACTATGTGTGATCCAGGCCTGAAGGCACTCATCTGGCTCCAAGATGCCCTTCACAAAGGGGGCAGTGGGCGGCAGGGGATGATCTCTGCACCTCCCCCCTTTCCTGACTGTCTAGTCCTACTAGGGCTCAAATTTTCTGCAAGCAGAGGGCACAGCTGGCACTTTCTTGCTCCCGTAACATAAGCATCTATCTCCTCAGCAATTCGCAGCCCCTGAAAGGTGAGCCTCTATTGGCAGTGTTTTAATTATACAAGCTCCTTCCAGCAGAGAAGGCCAAATACTTTTCTTAAAATTAATCAAACTTTGAGTATTTCATGAAATACTCATTTAATGTTCATTTAAACTACAGATCTAAATTATAAAGGGCAGCCAAAGCCGAGCAGACATCCCCTGAAAGGGTAAAATTAACAGCACCAGTGTAGGAGTAAAGCCTCAGCCTGTATCCAAAAGCACACACAAAGTTATTAGATAAGAATCTCCTTAAAATTTAATTGACTAAATGTATTACATTCAATATTCCATGGGCTTCTTCTGGACAAAGGATCGGCATAAATACAAACAAACCTCTGGACCTTCTTCCCTAACCGACGAAGATGAAACACAGGAGGCAAGGGGCACGGGCACGCCTTCATATTTACACTTTGCCTTTACTTTACAGTTCAGTGCCAGAAATATTTACAGAAAATACAATAAGAAAAAATCATGTCTTGGCAACATACTGAAATTCATACAAACTGTATATATGATTTCAAGCAAATAATGATACTGCTTATTTTTTAGCCACAACTGCCAAGCCCTTCAGAGGAGAAAGATGTCTTGGTCACTATAAGAGATGAGGACTTGGGAAACTTGGTTTGCTTCAACAAGTATTTACTGGGCGCCTACTATATGCAAGGCACTGTGGAATCCCAAATTATACCTTTTCCCTCACCATTAAAAAAAGAAAAGCATCTGAAGAACATGAGTTGATATTCTGAGAAACACACTAGAAGTACATGGCTTCTTTAGCTACTAAGAAACCCACCGTTTGATTCCACATCGTACGGATAGACCACCTCCAATCTCTCCAACTCAGGAAAAGAGGCTGTCATGGAAATCTTTAAAACAGACCATCTGACTCCAATGTCATTTCATGTAAACACAGCAATCAGTTCTTTTCAGGAAGAGAGAACCTGAATGGGCTTTAAAATGGTGAATAGAGAACTACTGCCAGCAGCAGTGTCAAATTACCTCCAATACATGTTTCTTTTTTTATTATTTATTTATTTATTTATTTTTACCACCTACCACAAAACACATCTTTGAGCAAGGCTAACTTCCACTTTGGGTAAAGCTCCACCTTCCAGAAGAAATGAATACTCTTAAAGACTCTGCCTCTCTAGAACCCAGTCTGCAGAGTCTGACAAATGCTTCCCTAGTGTATGGAGAAGGTAACCGTTCATGAAGGCCTCATACACAGAACCTGCAGCAGGTAACTGACATTACTGGCCAAAGGTGTGGGTACTTGTATTCATCAATGAATCCAGAGGAAAATGGGCTGCTCTGAAATAAAGGATCTGGAAATGAAGGAAAATGTGCATGAGTATGCGAGTGTGTGTGTGTGTGTGTGTGTGTGTGTGTGTGTCTGATTAGTCCTTTCAAAGGCCCAATGGATGGAAGAGGGTCTCAAGAGGAAGCCCTAGACAAAAAGGAAAGCTAGCTAAATAAGGAAAGGATTAACAAGGTAAAAGCCCTCCTCACTGTCCTCAGTGCTCCCAACCAGAGGGGAGGAGAAAAGCTCCCTCCTGCAACTTAAGAAGGCAGTAGAAGGGAAACCTTACTTACCACCTTCCTCTTCACGGAATGCCACACTCATCCACCCCCGGCATACCCAACAGATATAGCAACTGAACTGTTTAAGCCACAGACAAAAGTGGTCCTGGTTTCCCCCCAGAGGCTAGAACATATGCTGGCAAATTTATCAATGGACTACTAAATATTAATATTAGGTGCTAAATATGTTCCTCCAGTGCTATTCTACTCAAAGTGATTTTTAACAAAGGCAGGTGGGTAAAAATAGTGACCATGAACTCAAATCCATACTAGTGAAAGAGCTAAGCGTTCTTCCCACTCCCTCTTTGGGCAGATGTTATTGTGAGCAGAAGGAACCAGCGCCTGGTAAGGTATGGGTATCCCATATTCCACTGGCTCCGTACACACTGGGAGTTTCATGCCTTCAGGGGCTGCACATCCTTCCTTCCCTGGAAGACGAGGAAGTCTCCCAGATCACAAATGCATTCAACATGATTGTTCATGTATCAAATACATTGGAATTACAAGGAGTTGCCAGAATTTAGAGCTAACTGAAGGATCAGCAAGACCAACCCTCATACACACACACATACAGCACATTTTTCTGAAATTAACTATGCCAAAAGTAAAAGTTTGATCTGAAGAATCACACTGAAGAAGTACATCTGCATCAGTTATTTTTAACCTCTGGAATGCTGTAAGTTACATATTAATTTATAGCCTTCTCTGCTCACTTCAACTAGAACAAGAGCCCATTTTCCCCTCAAAATGTCAATCTAGAATTACCTTGAAAGTTATTAAACCTCATCTTCTTCCTGTGAACTACTAGAACATTTTTAGGGTAGAATTTGCTCATCTTTATCCTATATGCCCTCTCCCATGTTACCATCTGGAAACATCAATTTATTGCCCAGCTTAAAAAGAAAATCAACTATTGAATAATACTATAACCTGAATGGAAACTGGAGTCATAGAAAGAGGAGGTTATCTTTACCTGAGCTTAAAACAAACATGAACAGGTTATGGCAAACTTTAAACCAAGAGCTGCTATGCCCATATTTCTTGCTTATAGATGACAAAATGCACATTTCTGGAATAAGAGACATTTGCACAGGGAATTAGGTCTCACACTATCCCCACTCCGTAAGTAAACCACCAAAACATCAAACCAAACAGATGGTTGTAGCTCTGACCCACAGTCGACTGACATCAGAGTTCAAGTGGGAAAACACCCCTTATACAACTGTGATCATTCCTCTTTGGACTTTAAATATCACTTATTTTCTTAAAATAATCTTACTAAAGAAGAAAGCACATGAGAATAGGATAAATGAGCAGTGTATACTGTAGCACTGTAACAGGAATCCTTGGATGTTCTGGGTCTGGCCACCTCAAAAGTTTTATCCCTGCAGAAAAGTAGCAGCGAGGTAATAGAAGTATTTCCAAAACCTGGCAGGGATCTGTTGGCTGGCAAAGTCCAGAAAACATGACAACAGCCATTTCTAACAGTAGCCACCCAAAGAGGTGGTCACTCATGTTTGTCAATTATGAGGAAATCCAGTAGTTCTCTGGGAGAGATCTGAATTAGTAGCGTTGAGAGGCTATTCCTGAACCCCATATTAGAATCCTTCACAAACTACTGCAGTTTGCTGCTTGGTCCTGAAATAAGAGACAATGGATGAAACCAAATAATTTTCAACCCTTATTGTGAATTTACATTTCTTTAAATAATATTTAATCAATGAATCACAAATATTTAACCTGTCATTATGTCACCCCGCTGGACAATAATGGAGAGAGTGGGGTATCACTGCTGTCTTATAACTTTTAACCCCACAAACTTTATTTGCATCCCCATTAAAGGACAAGGCCATGCTCCATTTCTGATCTGTTCCTGGGTCACTCAGAAACTGAGGCTTTCAGACAGATCTGTGCAGTGATGAGAAGGACAACTTTTTGAAATGTGGAGAAAAAAATATGACATCTTTTAATGTCAGGCTTCTTATCTGAGCAAAAAACATGTATCATCTTTTCTTTTTGTCAGTGTGACAGCTGGATGACAAGAAGACCTACAACTGAGTAGAAGGCTGTGACTTCTTTCCTTCTCCTCCATGCTATCAACATGAGTCTTTAAATGTCCTGTAAGATTCTGAGATTTTAATTTTGAATACAACCTCCTAAAAAGTGAGGTAAAAAACTATCTTCAACTTCTATATTGCAAATTTGTTGATACTACCAATGCACGTGTTTAACTGAGATGCATAAAAGCCTTTCTCCTCAAAAGGCTTATGTTTAACTAAAATTGTCACTTTTAAAAGAAAGTTTATGGCTAAAATGTATATCATCATTATCAGCAGGAGTGTGATTGTGTCTGGGAGCCCATTTCACTAGATAGCCCAAAGTCTTCTATCAAATGGGTTATAATGTGTTTCTTCTATTCTGGTGATTAAACAGTAAGCTCTTGGGAGTGATTTGTTTTTATTTTTACAGTGATCACCTATCAAACTGTTCTGCTGTGTTATAGTTCCCAAACTGGAGTTCAACAGTCTTAGAAATTCAGTGGTCTAAGAACTGCAGTTCTTGAGTCCAACCTCCTGGAAAAGTGAAGTATAAAACTCTGGCTCCAGCTGCTTGTTCCGGTACTTGTTGACAATGTCGGTGATTTTCTGTTTCCGGCGGACATGGGGGGGACTGTAGGAGTCACTTTCCAGTCTCTTTCTTCTACAAATGTTAATTACAGTCTGCCTCACCAGAAAGCCTTGAAAATAGAGAGTTTTAAAATAAACGTTAGAAACTAGTCACTTACGTAGGTGAACTGTAAGTATTCAGGTGAACTATTCTCCGCATACTCAAAACTATTTCATTCAATTTGCAAACTTCCCATCCCCAGAGAGATAGACATAGTGCTAAGATAAAACTGTCAGAAGAAACACACAATGACAAGGAAAAGGAGAATCAAAATCTATTCTAAAAACCTATTTTCTGTCCTGGATTACAAACAGCTATCTTCAATATTTTAATACTAGAAGTTAGTGAGGTTTTACTTACACTTACTAGATTAAGGACAGATTTAAAAAGAACGAAACATGCTCCCTTTTTAACAAGAGCCATACCATTTCCTACATGTGGAAGCTATTAATTATCACCATTTCCTTATTTTTACTTCTTTTTGGTTTATAAAAATGATAAAGAAAAAGAAAATTTAACTCTTCGGCCACATATGAAGACCTTACCAAGAGCTCGCCTGCTGACAATCATCCCATCCACAAGAGGGATGACCATATTAAATTTTCCAGTGGCTCCTTGAATTTTTATCCGGAATAATCCAGTGTTTAAAGGGTGGATGAAGATGACAGGAACTTCTTTTTCAAGAGTTGTAGATCTTAAGAAAAGAAAATTGTTATCTCAGACACCCAAGAGTTGAAGTCCCCGAGACACCCAAGAGTTGAAGTCCCCCACATATAGCCTAAGATTAGTAAAGGGACCTGTTGCTTGGCAGTGGTCTGAGAAAAGCCAAGGGGTCAGTGTGCTCAGAATCTGCTTTCTGGGAATCTATGCTGCTACCCCCTATAACATCTGGTCCTAAAGGTCCATTACTGGGTCAAGCTTTCTAAGCTAACAGAAAGGAGCTGAAAAAATATATATGCTTGGAAAACCAATAGGGACACTGGGTGGAAGGAGAGGCCAAGAGTACTCTGCTGCATGGAGTTAAGAATTTAGCAACCAGCTATGGGACTTTCACTTTAGTTCCTCTTCTTATAGGGAACAAAAGTGTGGCCGGCCAGAGTACAAGGAATTTCAGCATAGTCAAGGCTGATAATCCCAGAGGAGAAGCAGGAACACAGCTTCGGCCCATGACAGGAATCCCCGATATAATTTTTTTTCAGGGTGGGGAAGGACGTTGGGAGAGCCATTAATCTAAGCCAGCTGCAAATGTCCTTCTCGGCTATGGTGATAAATGGCCGCACTGTGGCAGGGCCAAAGCCCTCACAGCCTCTGGCAAGGCAGCAGATGCTAAAGTTGGCAACTGCTCCTATGGAGGGGCGAGTTACTCATTACACACCAGGGATAGGCCAACCCATCTAATATTACATGTTATTTGTGATGCTACATGTTGGGGTCTTTTTGCAACCCAATGAATTTTCTTTCTATATAGGTAAGGTGATTTTGGCCAAAGCAACACTGAATCAATCTTTCAAGACATTAAAAAAAAAAAGAAAAATCAATCCTTGAGTAATTCTGTCCCCAAGACAAATTATAAACTTTGCTAATCTACCAATAAAATATACATTTTACTGTCAAATTGTATTACAACCTTTGACCTAAAAAGATGAAAACTTGAGAGGCCGAGGCAGGAGGATCACTTGAGCCCAGGAGTTCGAGACCAGCCTGGGTAACATGGTGATACCTTGTGCCCAGTTTTGTTTTGTTTTTTTAAATTAAAAAAAAAAAAAGATGAAAACAACAAAGACAGTAAATGATAAGTAAGTCTCTTCTAATTAGTTCCAGAAAAGTCTACTCATGACTATTCTATAGTCTCTTCTTTAGCAAGTTAGTGTCATAAAGAAAAAAGGACTGTTCCAGATTAAAAGAGACTGAAGGAATTAAAACCAGATATATAGTCCTGGAGTGAATTCTTTACCAATTGTGAAGAATATTTTAGTAAAAATGAAGAAATTTGAATGTTGGCTATTAGATAATATTAAGAAAGTATTACTAACTTTATTATTGCGATGTTGTTTAGCTATCTGAAAAGTTTCTTACTTTTCAGATGCATACTGATGTATTTGGAACGTTAAGATATCTGTGATTTGTTTTAAAACACCAAAGCATATAAAACCTGGAAGTTTTAAGAATGACTTGCCCTCTTTTAGAAGTTTAAAATGATAATGCTAAAATAAATCATCTTTACTGACTTCAACAACAATCACCTAACAATATTAGAATAAATTCATCTTATATGCAATTTGAATCAGCTCACATAACTAAAAGGAACTTAAAATATCAAGTTTCAGGGTAGCTCTGTGATGAGAGAGATGCAGGGTCAATGCATTTGGGGTCAAAGGCCTAGATTCAGGTAGCTTTCTCCTGCATTTACTGGATGTGTGATACTAAGGAATAACCTCTTTGAGCCTATTTTATCCCACTAGTAAAACAGAAAATAACTGTTGAACTCTTAGAGTTATAAACCAAAAACAAGTAAGCAAACCTTGAAAACTACAAAGCCTATACAAATACATTGTTACCATTCTTAGAATCAGATTATTCTCTTTTTATCCTTCTTGTGTATGGGCAGGTAAAACAAATTTTAACCCAATTATAAAGTATTACATTTTGCTTAGAAACATATTTCCGTTAATTAGCTCATATGATTTAGGATATTTTAACTGCTATTTGGCCACACTGTTTTGGCCAATTTAACTCCATTATTTCAATCTAATATTGCTGCCCTACTATTACGGTCTTTATTAATATTTAATTGCCTCTACTTCTCCATTTTTCTTTTTGCTCTAGATAAATGTAAAATAGCAATTAATTATACTATTAAAACTCCTGCTAAAGCACCCAACATCACCAGTCATCAGGGAAATGCAAATCAAAATCATAATGAGATAGCACCTCATTCCAGGTAGGATGGTTATTTTCAAAAAAACCAAAAGAAAACAAGTGTTGGCGAGAATGTGGAGAAAAGGGAATCCCCTTGTATGCTGTTGGTGGAAATGTAAACTGGTACAGCCACTGTGGAAAACAGTATGGTTCCTCAACAAATTAAAAATAGAATGTTCATATGATCCAGCAATCCCACTTCAGGGTGTATATCCAGAGGAACTGAAACCAGGATCTCAAAGAGATAGCAGCACTCCCATTTTCACTGCAGCATTCTTCACAATAGCTAAGATATGGAGGCAACCTAAATATCCATCAATGGACGAATAGACAAGGAAAATGTGGTGTACACATACAATGAAATATTATTCAGTCTTAAAATGGAAATCCTGCCATCTGCAACAACATGGGTGAATCTAGAGTACATTACGCTAAGGCAGGCACAAAAAGACAAATTCCACATGATATTACTTATATGACAAATCTAAAATAAACTCAGAGAAGCAGAGAGTGGAATTCTAGTTGTCAGGAACTGCAGGGAGGGAAAAATGTGGAGGTATTAGCCAAAAGGTGGTATAAAGTTTCAGTTATGCAGGATAAGTCCTAAAGATCAACAGTATAGTACAGTGGCTACAGCTAATAATACAGTATTGTATACTTAAAAATTTGCTAAGAGGGTAGATCTTATGTTAAGTGGTTCTTATTACAAAATAATAATAATAATGAATTAAGTGGGCAGGAGAAAACTTCTGGAGATGGTAGAAGTGTTCAGGAATAGATTGCTGTGATGGTTTCATGCATATATACTTATCTCCAAGCTCATCAAGTTGTATACATTAAATACGTATAGCTTTTAACAAGTCAATCAGTTATACTTCAATAAAGTGGTTTTAAAAAAATCCATGCTATAATAATTTGATAACCTTGTACATTGTATACAAACTTCTTTCTTTGATCTTTTTTGTTTTTATTTCTAGTTGTCTACAACTCTTTCGTTTCATAATTCCTTATTTATTAAGCTGCAATCAATATGTTAAAAAAAGACACGCTGATGAACTTCAAGCAAATAGAGTGTACCTCAGTGAAGTGCTACTATTTGCAGTAGTTTCCACACCAGTACTGATCTCTGTCATCAGCTCTGAGAGGGGAAAGTTTTCTGGAAGAAAATAATAGCATTACAATTAATATCTCCCTCATTTTCCCAAACAGATAATAGGAAATCTAATTTTCTAATCGCTTTACATAAGTGAGTGGCAAATATATGGACTGTGCTGTCCTGAAATATCATCTTAATTATTCTCTACAAATTAAAAAATTCTCTCTCAAGACATTTTTTAGCTAATTTCATCTAAAGCAAAGAGTTTTTAGAAAATATGTTCTGTGATCTTTGAGGGCTTGGTTGAAAAGTAACTATCACACTTTCCCACAAACTCTGGGCTGGATGGGATTTTAGGCAAGTATATATTTCTAATGCTCTAATGTTGCTTATGTAAAAATCATGAGAAACTTACCCAGAGTGCAACTCTTAAGGACAAATTAAGCTTTATACTAAAACGAGACAGTAGGACATGTGGGTGGAGAGAGGGTAAGTGAAGTGCTTCCCCTTCCCCTTTCCAAAGGTCCTGGGATGACTGAGACCAACTGGCAACAAACCACTGACTGTGATGCCAACATGAATAGCCAAAAGCTTTGTATCTACTGGTCTCATCGAATCTTCACAACTATGAAAAAAGTACCAGGATTTAACAGAGGAGTAATCTAAGGCTTAAAGAAACTGAGTAGTGGAGCTGGGGTACAAACCAAGGCTTGCTGAACTCCAGGACTAGCTCCTGGCCACACCAGGCTTATGTGCCCACTCCCTGTAGACATTTAGCAAGTCACTGTCATATATTGCCATTTTATTTATGGACAAAGTCCTCATACAGTACCTATATCATCATAGCGTTCCACCCAGACTACAGAAACTCTTGTCTCAGGTCCAAGGGGAGGAACAGGGCGACCCTGAGGCAGCTTCCTCATTCTGGAACTGGGACTGAGCTACATGAAGAAGAAGAAGACAGAGAGCGGGAAAAACAACAGCAACAAAAAACTGGCTTAATAAAACTACCCAGTCATTCATTTGTCAAGGTGCTCAGTGACCAAGTATCAGGTCATGGAAAATCACTTTAGGAAAAAGTGTATACATTTGCAACAAAGCTCTTCTTTGGCTCCTGTTCATCAGTCTTAACCTAGGACAAGGCTTAAAATTGTCAAAGAAAAAAAAAGGAAGGAATACTGAATAATTATAATTTGCATTAATAAAAACAAAATTTACACACAGTATCTTAATGAGGGCTTAAAAGATTTGAGTCTATCTCTGTTAGGGCCAGAAAGCAGTATCCTTCCCCATCACAGCAACATCACTACTTGTCTGGGGATCCTAATCTCTAAAATGTCCCATCAGCAAGTTATTCCTAGATTCCAGACCAAATGTCTCCTACTGCAATTTATGCTTAATTCCTTTTTCTCATCAGTAGAAAGAAAAACGAGTTGTTTGGGGCTTCATTACCATGCAGTGTGCTTCTGGCTTCCTGCCACCCTAATCAACTCTTAAGTTTCACTGCAAGGTTAACAGGACTATGTGGCTCCCCTTTAGCAAACTGGTACCCTGAGCTGCACCTCTTTTGAGGCATGCAGCAGAGCTAAGTTTGTGCTAAAGCCCTAAACAAAGCTCATGTGTACAGAGGGAAGAATCTCATACTTGAGGTGAATTTTAAAATTAAAACTACTTTATTAGCACAGAAATATACATGTCTTTACCAGATGACCAGAGTCCATGGCAAGTCCCCCCGGATAATTATATCTACTCTGACATTCACAGAAAATGTCCAGACCAAGAGATTTCTCCCAAACTAGTGACAAACATCTGGCCATATTCACAGACTACTTTCTTAGTATCAAGGTCCCTATTTAGCTTTGACTCTCTCTCTAACTTCTTCCATCTCTGACCTCTAGCCCTAGATTTAAAGAGCTCCTGTGATTAGGTCAGGTCTACTTGGAAAATCTCCCTTTTGATTAACTCAAAGTAACCCAATTAAACCCACAGGATCCCTTTGCCAAATAATGTAACATAATCACAGTTATCCTATCATAGTCACAAGTTCCACCCACACGCAAGGAGAGGACACTGTACACAGGCAAACGTCGCTGGGGGTTACCTTAAAATTTTGCCCAACACCCTGGCGTTTTTCCTGCAATCTTGCTAAACTCACCTCAATAGTTCTAGTGGATTTTTAAAAAGATTCCTGAGGGTTTTCTACTTACATGATCATGTCATCTGCAAATACATACAGTTTTACTTCTTTGTTTCTAATCTTTATGTACTATGTTTCCTTTTGTCTTATTTCTCTGTGTAGGCCCCTCCTCTACCATGTTGAACGTAAGTGGTGAGAACAGGCATCCTTGCCTTGTTCTCCACCTCAGAGGAAAAGCATTCAAGAATAATGTACAATGTATAAGTATAATGTTAGCTGTAGGTTTTTAGTAGATGCTCTGTATCAAGTTGAGAAAGTTCTATTCATAGTTTGCTGAGAACTTTTCTCATAAATGAGTACTGAATTTTTGTCAACTGCGTTTTCTCCATCTATTGAGATAACCATATGGTTTTGCTTTGTTTTTTTTTTGTTTTTGTTTTTTTGTTTTTAGTCTGTTAGTGTCTGCAAAGTACAGTATAAGTGAGAAACAAAAACATGGTGCTTTATCTGGGTTCTAAGGAATAACTATGCTGGCATTCAGAAAATGAGTATAAGGGCAGCTAATCACTGAATACTAGTTCTGTCCACAAATCTCAAATAAAAAAAACTTTTAAAGTAAGTATTAGATTTGGCTAAAATCTTGCATTGCTATGCAATACTGACTGATCATCTCTAAACTGTATTCTGTAAAACCTTTTAAAAACTCCTGATTCTCAAATCAATCTACTCCAGGGACTATTACACCACCTGGCATTTTTTTCCTAAATCAATTTTAAAGGTAAAAACCTCCCCGTATTCTCTTTTAAGCATACACTTACATTAAAAATAACTTTCACTGTGGAAGGAAGCTAACCTAAAATCCTGTACAATGGAGGAACACCTTTAGTCAAGCTGACACTTCTGTCTTTGTTATGTTTTGTTCTAAGTCAATCTTCCTACACTTCTGACCTGATCACAGATAAAGTAACATTTGCTGATAAGGTAAGAAAAAAGATAAAGCAAAAAGCTCCTCTTGTAGTAGGTGCTGTGTTCCTCACTCAGAATATTTATCCATATACTGAGTTATTCTCCCTAATGTTCCTATTTTTATATGGTCAGACTTGTTTAAGATGAACATTGCAAGATTAAAGATAAAAAAACATGTAGTTACTGCAGTAACTTTAGTGGATATTTCAGGGACAAAATTAAAACCTAGGCTTAAAAAGGAACAGATGAGAGAATCAAGTACGGGACCAGAATGGTGAAATCAAGAGAAACCACAAAGGCTGTCTCAGAATGAACTATTTGTTACAGGCTGAAAAAGAGAAAATCGTGAGAATTTTATTTTAAAAAATTAAGTTACTAAGGAATCAGTACTCTGATATAAATACTCTCTGGGTTAAAAGCTTTTCAGGCAGGATTCTATAATTACCCTGATTTCACTACAAAATTTTGGAGACCTATCAACAAAGTAACTTACCCTCTGTGAGGAATTAAGATTGTCTGTATGATTGGGGAAAAGCTCAAGTGTCAGGGATGGCTGTTTCAGAATTCCTGGCATAAGATCCATATTTGAATCACTATCTTGGTCCGAGATGTTACTTTCCAATGAATCAGCTATGGGGTAAAGGAAAAAAAGCAACTATAATACATACCACTTATTTGGAGCAAGGCTGTTAAAACTAATTATGCTCACCAGTCTAACCTAAATCACTTAAACAAAGCATTGCTTCGAGAGCAAGGGCTGACAAACTTTTTTCTGTAAAGGATCAAGTACTAAGTATTTTAGGCTTTGCTGGCTATACAGATCTCTCGCATATTCTTCTTTATATTTTATTTATAACCCTTTAAGAATGTAAAACCCATTCTTGGCGGCATTTGGCTTGTGCCACTGTGGTTTGCCAGCTCCTGCTCTAAAGGATAACCAAAATAAGACTAGAAAATATTTGACGTTTCAGATGTAGAATATAATAAATGCCATTATTACTCTCTGAATTATTTAGATTATATATTCAATCATGTAGCATTGTGCCAAATAGGCACTGGGACATCCAGAAGCTACAGAAGATCTAGTCTCTGTGATTAAGAGCAATCTGGTTGGAGATAAGTACACAGAAAGTTATCCTCCACCCCATCCAAAAAAATCCCCAAATATCAGAAATAGGAGGAAGCTGAGTTGGAGTGGGCACAGTTGGCATAGGAGATGTTTCACAACAGGAGACAAAGACCCAATTGCAGGAGCTATAGAATAAGGACGAGGCTCTAGCTCTGGGAGGACTTGTCTGGTACTAACAGGCTGGGCCAGAGAAACCAGGCAGGTATGTCCCCAAAGAGGACGGACAGGTTCTGGCTTCTGGAATTATAAGTAGTAAACCAGAACCTTGACGGGAAGCCCAACAGCTGTTATAATTCAAACCTAAACCATGGAAGGTCCAACCTTCCAGGAACACAGCCGGCCCCAGAGAGTAAGACAGGGAGGGGCCTAGAGTGAGAAATCAAGGGTCCAAGTACAAAGGTTAGGCAGCTACCAAGGTAGGGCACAACAAAAGTCATTAGTCTGGAAATAAGACTGAAATCGTGATGTATAGTATCCCATCCTACAAATGATCTCAAAGAAGAAGGTGAAGTTTCCCACCTACTGCCAGACCACCTACTCGGTCAGGCATGAACAAACAGGCTTAATTTGCAAAGAGCAAAGGTTCTGGGCAAAATAAAACTGTGAGTTCAGACTAAGAAGTAATAATTACTCCCAATTCTTAAAAAGTCTTGGACCACCATCTTTTCTAGGCTGCTGAAGTTTCTCTTGCTCAGTGTTAGAAGAATGGCCATATGCTATCATGAGATACTTCCAGTTGTAGGATTCTAGGTGGTTCCATGCAAAGGCTCTCATATGGGAATAGAAAAGTAGGTGAGGGATCACTCGTAATTAGAGAAAGAAATGAACTGGAAAATAAGCCTATGTATTGATTAATTAGATTAAAGAAAGCAAAATATCAGTTGAAATGGGATTCCTTCACTATTTAAAGATTATTAGAGGGTCAGTCTGCTTGTCTTTAACTACTTTCCATAAAAAAGTTAAGAGAAGACATCTTGTGCTTCTGCATATTGTTATAATGCCTTAGAAGCTAAAGAATGCCTTAGATCACTTCAAAATCTCTTCCAATGCAGTAATATCACACAACCCAGGAATATAAAAATAGATCCTAAAACAGGACCATGCAAAAATCATCTTACTTAAGGACTCCACAGGAGAAGGAACCACAAAAGCAATTTCTGTAAGGGCATCAGCATAATACAGCACCTTCTTCTGTCCATTGAAAATGCTAGCTCCAATATCTTCAGAGGAAATCACTTCTTCTGGGAAAAAGAAACACTACATTACCGCTTCAAAAAGTAGGAAAAAACCAGTATCATCTTGCTACATGAAATGTTAACTGGTTAATAAAGTGATAAATAGAATATATGTTTTCAACAAGAACCAATTAGTATGAAAGAATAAAATATAATGCTTATTAGATGTCTTTATTTTTAAATAATAAAATCTTAATTTCATAATTTCTGAAACGACTGTATATCAGACCACTTCTGATTAGCAGGGCTTTTAATTCAAGTGTATGAAGCAGATTAAGGGAGCAGTCCTTTGGATCCAGTAAATAAATAATCAAAAGGAAGACCATCCCAGTCCCTCAGAAGGGAGTTGGGCCAGAGAGACAGGCAGGCAGGCAGGCAGGCAGAGAGAGAGAGAGAGAGACAGAGAGAGAGAGAGAGGGGGGAAGAGGAAGAAGAAGAAGAAGAAGAAGGGAGGAGGAGGAGGAAAAGAGGAGGAGGAAGAGGAGGAGGAGGGAGGAAGAGACAGAGAGAGAGAAGAAGAGAGAGAAGAGAGAGAGTGCACATGTGCGTTATCTCTGGACTCTTGCTTTTAAGGCATTTCTATCCCTGGTCTCTCTCTATGGCTCCTCAAGTTGGCCTATGTTCCACCTTCCTCAATGGTCAGTGACACTGTATAAAAATGTACAGCCAGTTTTAGTAATAGTATCTGCTCTAAGCCAGGAAGACTGAATTAACAAAAGAAACATTCATGAGAGCTATATAGTTCTCAATTAAAATGAACTCAGTGTCCTACTAGCAATACATAAAAGACCAACAATCGGACCAAAAATTGGAAAGGGGAAATGGACAAGTACTTCTCAGGGAATAAATAAAAATATGATAAGATATGCTCAACCATTATTAAAAATTAAAAATTTCTCACCGAAAAAATTGGAAGATACCTAATTCTGGTGAAGGTATGGCAAATAGGAAGCTTTAGACAAGAGGTTAGCAAACTTTTTCTGTAAAGGACCAGACAGATAACATTTTAGGCTTTGTAAGCCACAGGGTCTTTGCCACAACTACTCGATTCTGTCATTGTAGCATGAAAGCTGTCATAGACAATGTATAATCTAGAGTGTGACCGAGTTCCAATAAAACTTTATTTACAAAAACAGGGCTTTAGTTTTCTGACTCCTGGTGTGGGCTCCGGGCAGGCACTTTGTATTTGATGTAGTAGATGCTGTGGTTACTATCCCAATAGCCACTCTATCCACCCCTATTCTGCAGCAGGCAAAATGTGCAGGTGGGACTGACCTCTGATACTAGTTCTAGCTTGCCTGTATCTCTCTACCAGAGTCATTCTATCTTTCTTGCCATAAGGACAGGCTTGGGATAGTCTAATCGCCATATAGTTCCGGATTCGGGGAGTAGGGAGTTCTGAGATCTGGCTAATCTCTCCTCTTCAGGCTGCTGTGGTATGTGAATGTAAAGCCTGGAATTGCCTTTCTGCACTATTAGAGAAGCCAGGCTGGGGACAAAGCCAAAATATGGAGAGCAAAGCTAAAGGAAAATTGTAAAGAAATAAAACAGGAATGCTAATCAAATGACACCAAAAACTTAACCAACCTCTGGAATTTTTAGTTACATGGGCAATAAATTATCTTTAAAATCTAAGGCAGTTTGGGTCACGTTTTCTGATACTTGCAACCATAAGTATCCAACTGATATATTTATCAAAAGGAAAAATGTGCACTGGGCATAGGCATTATCCACTTTAGAGAGGTAACACTAACTTTCCAGTGACCTCAGGAGCCCAGGAACAGAAAGCATTAGCCAGGTGGGGCAAAGGTCTTAAGTTTAAGTTTATACTTGCTCTGCTACTTGTTATCCTGATTACAGTTCCTCAGAGGATCTGCGGGGATGGGCAAGAATCCTCAGAGATGGTCAGCTGTTTACTACAAAGGTTTTGGTATAATATCCCAAGAATATAACCTTTAAGTGTGACTGTTTTGATAGCCACAGTTGGTAAAACACACTGGTTAATAGAAAACTACTTATTAGACAAAACATGCTTGTTAGGAAGCTGTATTGTTTGTATGGATGACCTATATTACACCATTTGTATAGAAAATTGAATCTTATGCATATTATAAAAAAGGAACTTATCAGCATTGTAATAAGCCAGTCATTTTGTATTAACTCTATCATTATGTGTATACATATCTTTCATATACACTGAAAATGTCTAGAATATATAAACTGTTACTAAGTTACCCTGTCAGGACTGGGATTAGGGGAAGGATACTTTTCCTCTATATACCTCTGTTTAGTTTTTAGAGACAGGGAGTTGCTCTGTCACCCAGGCTGGAATGCTGTGGCATGATCATAGCTCCAATCCCTGGCCTCAAGTGATCCTCCCACCTCAGCCTCCTGAGCAGGTAGGACTACAAATACATGGCCCTCAAGCCTAGAAATGTTTTCATTTTTTGTAGAGATGGTGTCTCGCTATGTTTTCCAGGCTGGTCTTGAACTCCTAGCCTCAGTCGATCCTCCCACCTTGGCTTCTTGAAGACAGGCATGCGCCACTGTACCCAGCCTGGTTTTGTATTTTTAACAAGACTATAAATCACAGTAAAGGGGGAAAAAAAAAAACAAGACTAACAAACAAGAAACAACTGACATTTGAAACACTGTGAGTTTTACCTTGTTGAGATCCTTCACCATCATCACAACAATTAATAGACCAACTGGTAGAAACATGCCCAGTCCAACCAGGGTGTCTGCCCACATCTACTGACCAGCCAAGGGAAAGCAAAAATTCTAGGAAATGTGGCTGAACAGTTCTGGAAGACTCCACATTCTTTAAAATCTGAAATACATACCAATCATCAGCTATAATGAAGGAAACAAAATAATATATCAAAATAAATCTTCATAAAAATTGGTTAGTTTTGAAGCTTCTGACAAATCATGTCCAAGCTCAGAATAAATTTGAGGATATATCACTATAGAGAAAAATGCATTCTCCAGAGTTAGACAGATTTGGATTGGCTGAGCCTTGGGCAAGTTTCTTAACCCCACTGCCTCAGTTTCTTAATCCATAAAGTAGAGATAATAATAATGGTTGTGAAGTAATGCAAGAAAAGCCCTGAGCTCTCTTCCTGGCAAAACAATTACTGAACCAGGCATGTTTACTAAAAGACACTATGTCCCTGCCTTCACAGAGTTTACTGTCTGGTTAATGAGAAACATTACATAGGTATGCAATTATTTAACTATAAATCTTGATAAATGCTATAAAATCTACTAAAATTCAATAAACATTAGGTGTAATTAATAAATGAGTATGAAAATATCCTTTTCTTAGGCCAAAGAAGAGAATTCCAGGAAAAATGAAGTGTCCAGAAAGTTCTCTCCTCTTCACTAAGCACTAAATGTAATGCGTGGGGTTTCTACTGGCCTCACAAAGAGTCCTTCATTCTAAAACAGTGCTTCTCATCTAGGGGTGATTTTGCTCTTCAGCAGACATCCAACATTTGGAGACATTTTTGGTTGTCATAACTGGTGAGGCACACTACAAATATCTAGTGGTAGAGGCCAAAGATGCTGCTAAATGTTCTAAAATACACAGGATAGCCCCCGTAACAAAGAACTTATCTGGCCCAAGATGGCAATAGTGCTGCTCTTGAAAAACTCACTTTTAAAGGAAGGAAACTAAGAAATTCCCTTGCAAATGAAAAATAAAAGGGGGAGGGTAGAGAGCAGAGTATATCAAAATCATCTGGGAAATCTCCTAAAAATAAGGTTCTCTTCGCCTGCTCTAGACCTTCTACATTAAAATCAGTGAAGGCGGAATCCTGGAATCACTATTTCTAAAAATTCCTCCAAATGACTGTGATGCAGCCAGTCCACAAATCACTGATGTCATTCATACAATGCTAATCTATACCAAGATCATACAGAGGCCTGTGAAAGTCAAAATATAGGAAGTTACATTCATTACATCTGACCCACTGCAAATCATCTCAAGGTCATTACCTCTTAAACACAAAACCAGACTATTTTTTCTTTTCTTTTGAGACGGAGTCTTGCTCTGTCGCCCAGGCTGGAGTGCAGTGGCGCAATCTCTGCTCACTGCAAGCTCCACCTCCCGGGTTCACGCCATTCTCCTGCCTCAGCCACCCGAGCAGCTGGACTACAGGCTCCCGCCACCACACCCAGCTAATTTTTTTGTATTTTTAGTAAAAACGGGTTTTACCATGTTAGCCAGGATGGTCTCGATCTCCTGACCTCGTGATCCGCGCGCCTCGGCCTCCCAAGTGCTGGGATTACAGGCATGAGCCACCACACCCGGCCTAAAACCAGTCTCTTTTGAAGTGAACCTATTTAGTTTACCCATATCCCTTCACATTCTTATGGACGCCAAGAAACTGACTTAACAACCATTTCTAGTTTTTGCAATTCAAATTTTTATCTAGAAGTAAAACTTTTAAATAAACAATTTTTGAAAATTTAGTCAAGAAGCAGTAAGTGAATCAAATTCAACTTTCATGCCACTTGCTGGCAGACAGAAATTAATCTTAATCTACCCTACGGCTAGGGAAGGCAGGTCTTAGACATTCCAAAGGAGATCTCAGGAAATCTTCATTAATTCCTAGTCACCCTCAGCTTCTAAAAAGCTAAGGAAACTGAACTGGGTTAGGAGGTGCCTCAAGGGTTTGTGTCTTCTTGTACAGGCAGGAGAAAAGTGGCTCCATTATTCTTATACAAAACAATGCACTGATTTGCTGCAAAACAGATCCCCACCTCCATAATTAATCCAATTTTACTGAGCTTCTTCTAAAACACTTGACTCCATCGGTCTCATCTCTGGCTACCCCCAGCCCACCTTCTCTTAAGCTCCAAGCATATTAGACCCCATAATGAAATTCATGAAGAAATGCTCTCTTTACCCTGAAGAATTTACACGTTATTATTATTTTGTCAGTGACAATCTGCTTCTACCTCCTTACCTACAGTTAAGGCACACCTTAAATACCAGCTAGAATATCTTTTCCTCCAGGCCACCTTCTTAAAACCAGATTAGGTTTTCCTGCTATGGCTCCTATAACATGCTTTAATGACCCTATTAACACCCTTTACAATGGTTGTTTGCTTATTTAATCATCTGCCTTCCCTTCTATGCAGTAGTTTTAGGGGGCCAGAAATCTTGTAGATTTTGTTCGGCACTATAACCCTGGTACCTAACAACAGACACTTCTTAACTTTATTGACTCAATAACAAAAAAAAAAAACTTTCTCATAAATCAGTGTTCTTTTCTAGGAGCTCACAAATCATTTGAAACAGTGCTTCTAGTGTAAACATTTGGAAACTTTGGTAAATTTCTTTAGGCATGCTAATTTGATTAGCTGATTGTCTTAAAATGACTACAGTAAAATTCCAGGATCATGTAGTCACAGTGCCCTACACATCTGAATACGACATTTTACAAGTCTTCCTTCGGCTCTTTCCTAGTTACAGTCAGTAACTTCCTGCCTATTCCATATTTCAATTATTCCTTTCCAAAAAGCACTTCAAGTCTCCTGCCATTTTGCTCTCAGTTTTCCATTCTCACCTATCTTACATTTTTCTTCGTCCTTCTCTTAGTCTCTTTGTTCCACGTATCCAGGTATGTTTTACTTAGTCCTTCTGTTTTGTTTTGTTTTTGAGATGGAGTCTCACTTCTTCGCCCAGGCTGGAGTGCAATGGTGCAATCTTGGCTCACTGCAACCTCTGCTTCCCGGGTTCAAGCAGTTCTCCTGCCTCAGCCTCCCAAGCAGCTGGGACTACAGGTGCCTGCCACCACGCTGGCTAATTTTTGTATTTTCAGTAGAGACAGGGTTCCACCATGTTGGCCAGGCTTGTCTTGAACTCCTGACCTTGGGTGATCCATCCGCCTCGGCCTCCCAAAGTGCTGGGATTACAGGCGTGAGCCACCACACCCGGCCAGTCCTTCTGTTTTTCTCCTTTATTTCAGGTGTTATTTCTCCCACTGCACACTATGCATTCCTCAACTGAAATGATTTGCTTCTGAAATTACTAGGAAGGTGAGCTGCTTCTCAAAAAGGAAACTGTTACTCACTTCTATATCCTGGGATGCTGAGCCACAGGGAAGATGTTCCATAAATATTTGTTGCTATTGTTTTATTCTTCTTGAGCCTTACTTTAACTTTTATGACTAACCTTCGTTATTTCAGTTTCTTTTGTCTTGTGAATCTGAATTCCTTAAGGGGAAGAAAGATATCCTACAGCTCCTATTTAAATCACATTCCTTAAGGGTCAAAAGACTCAGGACTCTAAGCATCATAGTTTTCATTAATTCTGTTTTCAAACTGGTTCATAGCAAGTCTTTAGGCATCAAGTACAAAATACTTCTTACCATAGACAAGTGCATACCATGTAAAATTTTGTATATGAAAATGAAACTTTTTAAGGAATGTGAGTCTCCCTCAAATTATCATGCCTAGAAAGGCACTTTTTTGATAGCAGTCACATCTCACTCCCGCTTGAGCTAAGTAATCACTTTGAAGCTGCGTGCTATATGGACTCTAGACTGTGTGTCACCACCAACAGTTCATTAGCTAATCTAACAGTGCTGGACACCATAGCTCATATCCTACAGTTCAATAATTTATATCCACTCATTAATCAATGTTATTTCTGTAAACCAATGAGAAGTCCTGAAAAACAACTTTTGTAATTGCCTACTCTCCTGACTCATCCTTTTTATCTTTAAAAACTTGAGCCTCTCCTTTGTTCTTGGAAGCACTTTCCAGCACTTCCCAGGCTGCAGTCCTCAACTCTGGCCCAAATAAACTCTCCATATTAATTTTGCCTCAATTTTTTTCTTTAGACGTGTATTTATAGCACAAAAACATACCAAAAAAAAAAAATTCGTAACTCTTACCTCTTGGTTCGTTTTCTGACCTGGCTTCATATAGAAAATAAAAACTGTGTCAAAAGGACGACATGGCAAGAGATCCAGATACCCAATGTCATCAAAAAATCCAGGTATCGTGGAATCAAGTGCAATAAGGTGAGGAGGTAGACGACTATTTGCAGGTTCCTGCCACCAAAAGAAGAAAGGAGCAATTATTACCTATTTTCTTTCATTGTTATAATTATAAAAACAATACTTGCTCATGGTTTAATAAAAATAAAATTAAAAAATATAGAATGGTAGGAATAAACACAACCATAATCCTAAACTAAAGAAACTATTTAACATACTTCCTTTTAGTTCTTTTATTTGCCTCTTTTTAAATTAAAGACAACTGAGATTATATTGTGTATATAATTTTTGGATCCAGTTTTCTCTATAATATTGTGCTTTCTAGAACTTACTTTTAATGTACTTTTTTTCTCATTCCTTACTGGTGAAATGCAAAATGGTACAGCTACTTTGGAAGACAGTTTGGCAGTTTCTTACAAAGCCAAACACAGTCTTACCATGCAATGCAGCAACTGCACACCTTGGTATTTTCCCACAAACATCCACACAAAAGCCTGCACACAAATGTTTATAGCAGCTTTATTCATAATAACCAAAACGTGGAAGCAATCAAGATGTCTTTCAATAGATGAAGGGATAAATCAACTGTGGTGCATCCATACAATGGAGTATTACTCAGCAATAAAAAGAAATAAACCACCAACCCAAAAAGACACATTAAATGCATACTGAATGAAGAAACCTTAAATGCATACTGATAAAAGTGAAAAAAGCCAGTGTGACAGGACTACATACTGTATGATTCCAACTATATGACATTCTGAAAAAGGTAAAACTATAGAGAAACAGTACAAAGACCAGTGGCTACTAGGTGTTGAGTGAGGAGTGAAGAGGGAGGGATGAATAGGTGGAGTACAGGGGATTTTTAGGGCAGTAAAACTATTTGTACAACTGATGGTAGACACATGTCATTATACACTTGTCAAACCCCAGAGACCTGTACAGCACAGAGTGAACCCTATTGTAAATCACCGACTTCGGTGAGTAATGCACCAATACAGGTTCATCAGTCACAACAAATGCACCACATCAATGCAAGATGTTGATAACAGGGGAAACTGGGCTGTGGGGAAGGTGTATGACAGCTTTCTACCCTTTCTGCTCAATTGTTCTGAAAACCTAAATCTTCTCTAAAAAAATTAAGTCTACACATTTTTCAAAAATGCATTTTTGTTTTGTTTTCCTCTTAATCCCCTATCTTCTTTGAGATCTTGATCTTGCCAAACAAGGTTTTGCTAACCATAGTATATCTTTCAGGAAAGCATCCTCCAGAGAAAGCAAGAATGACTGTCTTTCACACTGACAAGGATTGTGAGTCTAGCCTTCTAGTCAATTACATAACATTCCTAGCAAGGTCTAGGGCAATATTCTAATAAAAGACATTAATATTTCTGCAGTCAAACATAAGTGTATTCACACTAAGTGACATAAAACTACAAACAGCCTCATGTCAATTCAGGTCCAATTTTGCCACTAAATGAATTTACTACAAATATATAAAAAATTTTCCAGTTTTCAGTTTTTACGTTGAAATCATGGAAAAGGAACTGTGGACCTGAAGCATGTTGCAATACACCTTGTAGATCAGAATGTCCCCATTCTTCTTTTTTTTTTAAAGTAAGGTATTTCCTCAGCTTGTTCTTCTGTGTGATCTTCTAATCCAGGAACATAACTCATACATATTTTATATCTCTTAATAATTGTTAAAAGTTTCTTCCTCTAGGTCTTGTACATAGTTTGTTAAGGTAACTTTTGTCAATATCACAGCTGTAAATGGGGCATTTTTGCATTGTATTTTTAACTGAATATCATAGACATAATCATTAATTTTTGTACTTTTTTGTATGGCAACCTTAAGTCTCATTTATTTTAAATATTTTATTGATTTTCTTACGGTTGTCAAACTAGAAGTCATACTACCTACAAACTGTCTTCTCATTTCCAATGATTTTTACCTCTTAGTTTAACATTTCATTGACTTTCCTCATTTTTATACTGTACTGTAGTTATATAAGAATTTATCATCGCAGGAAGGTCCTCATGTCTTTATTTTGCAATTTCCTGCTAATCTATAATTATTTAAAACTAGAAAGTTTAAAAAACGTCATTGACTAAAAAATTCTCTTTGTTAAATAGTAGTCAAGATAGATAACTTTTACCTCTGATTTTAACAAAAGATTCCTCTAGTTTGCTCCTGGGTTTCATTAGAGGAATCTTTTAAAGTAAGAACCTACACTAGTAGTGCTGGCTTAGTTTGTTATTTTTTTAAGAATCAGAATATGATTCTAGTAAATACTGACTTACTGTTTCACTGACTGAACTGCTAATGGGACCAAATTATTTTCTTAATAGCTTTATTAATATTTCCTGGTAATTAATTGCTAAGTTCCTGGGATAAACCTTATTTGATCATGGAAAACAATTCACTTAACATGCTATTAATTCAGAACTAAGTCTGCTTAGCATTCCCTTTAATACTTTTGTACATACATTCATAAGTAAAACTGGTTTGTAGTTCTGTATGTATGAGCTGTCAGGTTTAAGTTATTAGAAATATTCTAAGGTTCATAAACCAGGTAACTTTATTTTTCCTATGTTCTCATACAGATGAGAAAGCATGATAATTATTTTCTTAAAAGCTTAAGTTTCAACTAGAACAGATAACAGAAGTGGAAAACTATAATCTCAGAAACAAGGCTATTAGGGCCTTTCTTGTGTCCCTGAAGTCCATAGGAAGCATTAATTTTCTTCTAGTATATTTTTATTTACTGCTTCTACTCTGTTCAATTTTCTCCACTAGGAATATCACTAATGATTTGCAAGTTGTGTCTTTTTTCCTTGCCTTCCATATTTACCACTATGTTTCTTATAATTTTCCTCTCTCTGCTCTTTTATTCTGCATTTTAAGTTTTTATGTTCATATGCTGCATCAAACTCAATTTTCTACAAAAAAAATACAAAAATACAAAAAAAATTTTCCCGCTACATGCTGAAATACAAAATCAAACAGCAATGTCCCCATTACTTTCCTACAAAGCTAAATGGCCTATAACCAGGTAGTTCCTAGGCAGTAAGGGCAAGGGACAAGTTATGCAATAAGCAACTTCTTGCTTGGCAATCTTCAGTTGTACTTTTCAAAACAAACAGGACTTAGAGTAAATTCCAAGTCCACCTCCAGACAAGTTATTTCACATATTTAAGCCTCTATGTCCACATCTATAAAACAGGAATTGCATCACTTGTCTTGTACATTTTTTTTTCCCAAGAGACAGGGTCTCACTCTGTCAACCAGGCTGGAGTGGAGTGGAGTGACCATAACTCACTGTAACCTCGAACTCTCAGGCTCAAGCAATCCTCTTGCCTCAGACTCCTGAGAAGCTAGTATTATAGGTGTGCCACCACATCCAGCTAATTTTTAAAAACAATTTTTCATAGAGATGGGGGGGTCTCGCTATGTTGCCCAGACTGGTCTCGAACTCCTGGCCTCATGTGATCCTCCTGCCTTGGGCTCCCAAAGTGTTGGGATTATAGGCATAAGCCACCGCACCTGGCTGTAAAATTGTTTTAAGGCTAATGGAATTAAGAATAATAGCAATATTTATCTTATAGGCTGGCTTACTTTGTGCTAAGTACTATACCAAGTATCTTCTATGAGTTAACACATTTAATCTTCACATGATCAATGAGATGGATACTTTTATCATCCTCACTTTATAGATGATGAGGAACTAAGACAAGATGAGAAACTCACCAAAGACCACATAGCTGGCAAGCAGTGATTCCAGGACATAAAGCCAGACAGTTTGATCTTACAAACTGGACAACATAAGAAGTGCTTGACTTACAAATACTACAGTATTAACTTCATTCTTTTCTAAAAGTGGCATGAAAGAGCAAAGTTAATTGTAGCTTATATTTTTAGTAATAATGCTTACTAGGGGAAGATTTTTAACATTCTTCTTCTAATTATCTATAGATTTCATTTATCTGTGTAATATGGGTACTGTGTTATCTAGGAAAATTCAGAGTTAGATGTATCATCAAACCAGTCCCCTCAGACAGAACTCTGAATGCATTCATGGGGTGACCTGTCCTGGAGCACAAACTATAACCTACAGCAGCACAGAATTTCATTTATTTGTATGCAGGCTAAAATTTTAACCAGTTTTTTTTTTTTTTAATTCGCTTCTATCCTGATAAAAATATTTTAGCTATTGTCAGCTGAATGTTAACTTGTGAATATATTTATTCATAAAAGTTCATGAAAATTACCTTCAGTGCTTCTAAGGACAAAAATCCAAAGTGTGAGAGAAAAAGGCGGGCTGTTTGGAATTCCTGGGCAGGAGGCGGGGGCTTGCAATCCGTAACTGGGTCAGGAAAACTTCTCTTCTGCAATTCCTCCTCACTCTGTTGCTCAAGGTGTATTTCATAAGCAATCTGCTGGGCCATGCCACTCCTTAATTTTTCGTGTCTCTCTTCTAACTGTAATAAACCAAATATTTCATTTTTTGAAACTATTATCAAACTAGTAAGGCCAATCTTAAGTGTTTTTTTTTTTTTTTTTTTTTTTTGAGACTGGGCTCTATGTTGACCAAGCTGGTCTTGAACTCCTGGGCTCAAGTGATCCTCCTGCCTTAGGCTCCCAAAGTGCTGGGATTACAGGCATGAGCCCCACTGCACCTAGCTAAGTCAATCTTAATTTTAAAATGAAAATAAAGCTACAAGCAACAAAGAAAATGAAGATAATTTTCAGTGATCAACATTGTGATTCAGTTCAATGTAGAGTATGCCATTAAGCAAACATGGTCCAAGGTTAAAACAAATGCCAAAAAAACTTCCCTATACCTTCAACAATTGCTCCTTCATGTTTTCACTGTAAATGAAAACATTCAGTCTCTGGTTCCCTTCAAATAGGCAAGAAAGGGGGCAGAGTTGTCACTCTCACCCCTCGCTTGCAGATCACTGTCCATCTTCACCCTGACGTGCTCCCTGTGTTTAATTCCTCATCTGTATGGATGACATGACTGTACTCTTAGAGACTTCTCCCACCTTTCCTTCTGATCAATCCTTGTTTAAAGTTCCATTCCCGGGTGAGTAACGATCCTTCTAACAACCTGGCTCAGAATTCTACAAGCTCCTCAACCTTCACAATTTTGGCCATCCATGAAAACAAACTTGAACCTGATATGTGCCCTGCTTTCCAGGGCTGTAAGTCTGAAATTCCCTCTCCAATCATAAGCCCCCTTGTGCAACTCCTATCCCTTCACTTCCTGAGCTCGTGCTCTACTATTGCGGTGGGGCACTCAATCCCTCCCCCTGCTTTCCCACTCCATTAGCATCCTTCTGGCTTTATCTGCTTCCCAACTAAACTGAAGCCCCCACATCTAACAGCTAAATACCCTCTCCTTAAGCACATTAAATGGCTGTGTTGAACCTCCTTCCAAATTTCCACACCTGTCAATCTCCACACCAGTCAAATTCTTTACTTATGCTTCCAGATCCCAAGGACTTTTGAAGAAAGTCAGCAGAGTGAGTTAAATAACTTCACTATAGATAATGCTACTTAACCTCAGCTGCACTGCCTGGCAATTCTTAAGAACTGTCTGGGATCCCCTATTACACTGCCAAGAACCAGGATTAAAATTTTCATAAACTTCTTCAATTTCCCTCCTTTCCTCTCTAAATGTCTCTGAACCTTCACCTACTCTCTCCTTCTGTCTTAGAAGCATCTCTTTTCTAGACTAGACTCTTGACCCTACTGCCTCTATTACTTGTAAGTCCCACTGCCCATCTTACAGTGTTAGCCAGACTCCTCTCTACTGGTTTCTTCCTTTCAATCTATAAGCATGTTCATAATCCTCACATCCTTGAATGTAAAAAAATATTTAAAAACTAGCCTTTTCTGGCCGGGTGCGATGGCTTACACCTGTAATTCTCAGCACTTTGAGGGGAGGCAAAGGAGGGTGGATCACCTGAGGTCAGGAGTTCGAGACCGGCTTGGCCAACATGGTGAAATCCCGTCTCTACTAAAAATACAAAAATTGGCCAGGCATGGTGGCATGCGCCTGTAATCACAGCTACTTGGGAGGCTGAGGTAGGAGAATCACTTGAACCCGGGAGGCGGAGATTGCAGTGAGCTGAGAATGCACAACTGTACTCTAGTCTGGGCAACAAGAGCGAAACTCCATCTCAGAAAAAAAAAAAAAAATCAGCCTTTTCTTTCCTTAACGAGGCCATTTCCTTAAGCTATAATATTACCCATTCTGTACCCTTGCCTTTACTGTTAACAGTGTAGTTTCTATTCACTGCCTGTCCCTCAATACATTCACTCCCCAGCCCTTTGAATTATCCCTCCTACTGTACACACCTGTTCTCAAAGGTCACCTAAATTTCATGCCAAAATTCAGGGGACTTTTTCTATTCCTTCTTCTCCCTGGTCTCTCCAGCATTGGAGAGTGTAGCCCTTCCTCCATTCCTGCTCTTCTGTTCTCTCATGTCCTGACATACTTCTGTCCCCGACTTCTTAAAATTCTTCTCCCTTGACCTAAGAGACAGTTATCTTAATTAACTCTCTAAATTAATCCAAAGCCAAATAAATTTTTCCCATCTTCCCAAATCTATCCTCTTCCTAATGTCTGCATTTCTGTAAATGGCACTGATATCTCTTTGTCACTCAAGCTCAAAATCTGAAATTCTTTGGCTCTTTTCCTTCCCTCACCAATTCAAGACTGCTTGGATCTACCTCCACAATACATTTTATATATTAAAATTCCATATGAGTGAAATAGTCCTTCCTTTCTTATAAAGACTTAGATTCTCATAATAGTCTCTGAACTGGTCTTCCTTTTCCAAATAACTCTACTACCAGAGTCTGATCATGTCACTACAGTACTGAAACCTACCACGAACAGCCAGGCAGCCCAGCAACACCTCTAAGAGATATGCAGTTCCTTTCGATCAGCCACAATCTATATTCGTCTTAAACATGGCAACCTCCTGGATGATGGAGGCCCATGTCATCTTAAAAATCATCTCCAACAACACTAAAAGCATTGTCTTGACCAAGGAAGTCGTAAGAATGTTTCTATTCATCCCCTTGACAACAGCTAAAAATAATGTACTTACTTCTTCAGTGACTATTTCATGCAAATCTGGAATGCTGAGATCTGCTTTCACAAAAGGAATCTTGTCCACCTCTTCAGGAAATGGCCGATGTTTCACAGAATATTTAAATCCAACGTCATTTTTAGGAACTGGGCGAGGTTCAGGTACAAAAAGCTGTTAAAACAAGTAACATTATGTTTATTACACAGGGTCCAATACCCATCTGTAATGACATGTATTTCCCTGGTCTCTTAGATGCCTGTGTTTCCCTAGGATTACATGTCACAAAAACTCACTCAGAACCTGCAAATGCTACAGATAACAGCAAAGGGAAGCAGCCTGTGCCCCTGTGTACTCTATTTTTCTAAAAATATTCATCGACTTCTTATAGATCTAATGACTGACAAATGGGCTGTGGACCTCTACTGCTGCAGGCCTGAATCTCCCACATTCAGTGGTTATCCAATGGGTATAGCATTTTGGAGCTTTAAGACTCAAACTCTCTTCCCCAGGGGCTCTCACATCATTCAATATAATTAAAGACAAGTTTGGCTTCACTGGGCATCTCTAGAAAGTGATTTTAACAAGAATCTTAATACGGCTTAATTGAGAGTATGGGCACCAAATCTAGGTCTTCACAGCTCCAAATCCATGCTTTAATATGTATATGGGTACATGGTGAACCCTAAACAAATTTTAGCTCCTTTCCTGGTCCCCTTCCTCTTCAGTCTTCAATGCTAACTTACTGGCTTACAGAGTTGATGACAGGATGTGCTCTGTACTGCCCCCTCCAAAAAAATGGAGGACTGGGTGATAAACACATCACATCTAACAGAGACATCTAAGATATTAAATGATTTTAGGCACATGCTCCAATTTTGTGGTGTCTCTCAAATGCTAGTGAAATATTAAGTCACATTTTAAATTTTTTTTAATCACATTTTTTTATTATGATACTTTAAGTTTTAGGGTACATGTGCATAATGTGCAGGTTAGTTAAATATGTATACATGTGACATGCTGGTGCGCTGCACCCACTAACTCGTCATCTAGCATTAGGTATATCTCCCATTGCTATCCCTCCCCACTCCCCCTACCCGACAACAGGCCCCAGAGTGTGATGTTCCCCCTCCTGTGTCCATGTGTTCCCACTGTTCAATTCCCACCTATGAGTGAGAATATGCGGTGTTTGGTTTTTTGTTCTTGCGATAGTTTACTGAGAATGATGATTTCCAATTTCATCCATGTCCCTACAAAGGACATGAACTCATCATTTTTTATGGCTGCATAGTGTTCCATGGTGTATATGTGCCACATTTTCTTAATCCAGTCTATCATTGTTGGACATTTTATATTTTTAATAGCAGAAATAAAAGCTTACAATGTTATAAATGAAAAGAGCAGTATACAAAATGACTCAAATTCTATTCAAGTGTTATTGTGTATGAAAAGAAAAAAAGGGAAGGAAATCCAATAAAATATTAGCAGTGGTTATATTCCTCTGGATAGTGAGTAAAGGTGATTTAAAATTTCTTCGTTATCTGAATTTTTCCAACTTCTCAAGTATTATTCACATAATTACAAATGTAATAAAATAAACTGCACCCCAAAAGATTTCATTAAATTATACACAGCATACATATGTGTGTGTGTGTGTGTATATGTATGTGTGTGTGTGTGTATATATATATATATTTTTTTTTTTTTTTTTAATTAGGCTGGGTGTGACAGCTCACATCTGTAATCCTAACACTTTGGGAAGCTGAGGTGGGAAGATCACTTGAAGACAGAAGTTTGGGATCAGCCTGGGCAACAAAGCAAGACCCTATCTCTACAAAAAATTTTAAAAATGAGCTGGGTGCCATGGCATGTGCCTACAGTCTCAGCTACTCAGGAGGATGAGGCAAGAGGATCACTGGAGCCCAGGAGCTTGAGGCTGCAGTGAGCTATGATTACACCACTGCACTCCAGTCTGGGCAACAGAACAAGACCCTGACTCTTTATAAAAAAAATAAAATTTATACAATATATTACCAATTATTATATAAGAACAAATCATATAAAACAATTTCAAACTAAGTCCTGTTGCGGACAAATCAAAAGTCCCACCAAATTTTTTTCACGTATGGTATATATCTGACTTTTATTACATTTGTAAAATTACATGGAAAAAACTGGGGCCATTGTCCACAACAGCAATTACTCCTAAGTAGATGTCAGAATCACCTGGAAAGCTTTTTGAAAAGACACCTGCCTTGAACATGTCTTTAAAGAGTAATTGAGTACATCTGGAATTCTAGGTTCCTAGATGATTCTGATATGAACCCACTGACTGAGAATCTGGCTAGGGATCAAAAATATTTATTTGATCTGTGTCTTCTGTTGGAATGTTACCTAACCTTTAAATTACAAAACACACACACACTTCCCTGTAACTTCTGATGAATACCTTCTGATTTGCTTTTGCTCCTCTGGGTAAAAGACAAAGCTGTTGTGCCCAAGCAAGTCTTCCAGACATTCCCCGGACCAGCACAGTGACAGAGGGGAAAAAATCATCTAGAATAAAATATGTATATAAAAGTTTTAATTTCAGACAACAACCATTTAAAATAAACTTGTTATCAACTGCAGAGCTTCTCATAATCAAAGGCCCAACAGTGTTTCCTAAGCTTTGATCTTTTGTGTACCACTTCTGTGGTTTCTGCCGTACCCATACCCGTGTACTGTAAGTACTATTACTTTGTATCAACCACTCTTGTGCATCTCTAAATGGAAAATCATGAATTTTGGCATGTACTAATTATATAATTTTAAAGCACATGCTTAAAAATACATAAAATAATGTTCACTAATGTATCAACTAAGATCATCTCACATACCTCCAATGGTACATGTACACATTTGTGGGAAACACTGTCCTAGTAAATACTCTTAACCTCCCAATGTTGGGAACAACTTAAGTGTAGAAAGACAGACTGGGTGTTTGCAGTGTTAGTGTTATATCTGCCCATGCCTTTGTGTACCACTGCCCACCACAGGCAGGCACTGTTCCATCTCAGCAGAAGTTCAGGGACATGATGGGGGTGTTAAAAAAAACACTCAGGATGGACTTCCCGAGTGACCCAGATCCTTTTTTTTATTCTTCCGTCTCAGATATGGGAGTCAAACGCCTTCAAACTTCTCTATAATTTCTTATTATTACAATAAACTATTAAAATGTCCTTGTAAATCTATACAATTCCAATTGCTTGTATTTTTGGTACACTTCCTATGCAATGAAATTATTTGGAATGAAAGTAGGAGAGTCTTTAAAAAGCTGGAAAAAGGCCAGGAAGCCTGAAGGGGACACTGGGATTTTGCAGACTCCTCAGCAGATGGCTTGGAGTAGGAGGCTGGAGGAATCATGAACAGGCACAGGCTAGGAAAGAAAGCCAAGCAAGCTCCATGTCTAGGGTAGAGAAGGATGAGATGCCTGTAGAAAAGACTTGGGAGTAGCAGTTCTGAAGTTAGACAATAATAAAAGGCACCATTCCATTTCACATTAATGTCACCGCATCTCACCACAACACAACAGAAGTTTATGATGGTATTCTTTTCATCTCAAACTGCAGGGAAATGTCTCACTTTCACTTCATGGATTTATGAGCTCTTACTCATATAATCAACAAAACTGGCACAGAACTCTTCACCTTTACAAAGGCAAGAAGGCAAATCTTTAATCACTGAGCAAATCCTATCACTGTGCGACAATAATAATAGAAAGGGACAATACAGGGTTTAGAAAATCTGGGCTCTAGTCCCAAGTAACCCTGGGCAAGTCATATACCCTCTGTGAGCCTGAGTTTTTTCACTCATAACTAAGGGAATTGTATACCAGGTGACTCCATGGGTCACTTTATACCCACAGATTCTGTAACCTTCACTTTCCTTCCCCTTCCCAGCAATAAGGGTCTGAGAACATGCTTCTTTTACATACTGGCTGATGCCAATTACCATCAGAAAAAAAAAATGTACTTGTGGATAGTTTGGGTCGCAGTGATAATCACATATTGTGAGATGGCTTATAACTGAGGGGGAGGGAAAGGAGGAAAACAGTGCATGTTGTGTTAATGGAAAATCACTGAAGGATTTTCAGTAGGGCACTGGCATGGTCATTTGTGGTTGAAGATGAATACTATGGTGGCAGCAAGTAGGATGAAAGTAGGGAAAACACATGTTAGAACTGGCAAGGGGTTTAGGGGTTGAGGGAATCAGAGTAGGTAGGAAACAGCTGTAATAATCTAGGTGAGAAATAATAAGGACCTGCACTTGGATGTATTGGGAAAATACAGAGGAAAGGAAAAATTCAAGGGTCCCTGGGAAGATGGAAACTTAGAAACTAATTATATAAGTGAGTAACAGGAAGGGGCAGGTAAAGATAACTCCTCAAGTTTCTAGCCTGTGTAGGTAGCACCAACAATTGATACAGAACATGAGGAGTGAGAGGGAGGGGAGCAGAGGGGCAGGATCCGAAGTTCAAGGGGGAAGAAAAAGTGACAAAGATAAACAACACAATGGAACCCACTAAAACACCACCTTTTATAAAACTACAGAGCTAGTTCAGATGCACATCAAGAGCCTTTAAAAGACTCTATGTAATATGTATATTCTATTTTTTTGCCCCCCTATTTTTCAGGTGCTATTGTCCCACAGCTAGAAATCTTTCTGACCTACTTAGAATCTGTAGGCTGTCCTTCCCTGATCCTGGAAACAGCTTCATGGTACTGGTAACACTGATTAAGCAGTAGAGAAGGCTCAAAGTACTATAAACTTACTCTGCTCATTTCCAAGAGGTTGTTCCAGCATTGCCAGGATGACACTGTTATCCAAGACAAAGTACCGGAAACTATGCTTGTTTATGGTTGGCAGCCTGGAGTATTTAATCAAAGTGGTCTCATTCACAAGACTACAAGGAGAGGCAGGACCACTAGGTGAAGGAAATGCGCCGAGCAACTGCATAATGCTATGGAGAATGGAAAAGATAACAGTTAATTCCCAAAGCAAAATCTTCAGTTTACCTTGTGCATCAATGTGTCCCCTTCCACTCTTCTGAATTTTAATTGACCACAGCCATGCTTCTTGACAGGTCAGATTTACTCCTTGTGGTGAATGCCATGGCATGCTGTCCAGACTCTCCCCTCCAAGATTAAAAAGCCCATTACCCCAGATGCATACCTGTATGTCTTTATTTCAGAGACATTTAATCTGCCTTTCCAGTCTGGTCAATATCCGGAACAGAAAATGCAGTTAGGCTGGTATAATTTGATCTTAGTGACCTACTCCCTTACCAGCAACCTATCTGATATCTTAGAATCTTGCATGGAACACAGCAAGCTCATATTCCATATGCTTTGTGACAACCGTCTCTATCCCATTTTAGAAAACCAAAGCCATATTTTCTCATTATTGATCTCCTGGTGTTTAAAAGCCATATTTTCTCATTATTGATCTCCTGGTGTTTCTCCTATTTTCTGCAAACCATTAGAGGCCTGAACTTAATGCCAAGTTCTCCTGGTCCCTGAAGTTCTGAGACAGTCTTCGTTTTAGGAGGAGAGGAAATGGAAGAAAAATAATCTGTTGAGCAATGTTGCTCTCCATTGTTAGAGAGCTTTAGGTTCAAACCTTAGAGTGAAAGAGGAGAGGCCATTCAAGCTGAGAGTTGAGATGACAAATGTGGTGCTGTAGAATACTGGTCTTCCCATTGAGATGCATATGAAGGGCCAGATGATATTAGAACCACAAGATAAAATCTTCATTTTAAGATATTTTCTTTCTGTGCTACAGTTCCTTCATTATAAAATGGGAATAATGGTACCTATCTGATAGGATTGTTATAATATTATGTGATATAGTATCATAATATCACAACAATTCACATAATATCCTAACAATAGGTACCACTATTATTCCCATATACCATTATTATTCCCATTTCATATTATATGAAATAACATTTCATATAATATCATGAACTTGTAGCTAAATTTAAAAATCCCTGTGGACCTGAAGGAAGTGCTCTGATGATGTGCTTTGCGAGTCTATCTGTTCAATATTTTTATCAAGGTATTTAGAACACACAGGATATGCTCATTAAATGTCCAGTTGCCCAAAAGCAGAGCTGCAGAGATAATATACCATAGAAAGAGTTGAGATCCAAAAGAATCTTAAAGACTAAAAATAATGAGGTAAATCTTAGATGAAGAAATTTCAGGTTTAAATGTAAAGTTCTGTGCATTACTTTCAAACACTCCCAAACAAGTCAGGATGAGAAAAACACATGAAAGGTAAACGTGTGAAAAAAAACTCAAGGATTTTAGTTGACTTAATGCAAATCATCAAGTTCTCAAAAATGCAATGCAGTCCGAGTACATTTTAATGAAAATGTAGTATTATATAGAGTTTAAAGATCATCAAATCATATCTAGAATACTGTACTCAGCTGGGTGCAGAAGGCTCACACCTGTAATCCCAGCACTTTGGGAGGCCGAGGTGGATGGATCACCTGAGGTCAGGAGTTCAAGACCAGCTTGGCCAACATGGCAAAACTCCGTCTCTACTAAAAATACAAAAATTAGCAGGGTGTAGTGGCACGTGCCTGTAGTCCCAGGTACTCGGGAAGCTGAGGGAGGAGAATTGCTTGACTCTGGGAGGCGGCAGTTGCAGTGAGTCAAGATCATGCCATTGCACTCCAGCCTGGGTGACAGGGCGAGACTCCGTCTCAAGAAAAAAATACAAAATAATAGAGTATTATACTCTGTAAACCACCTGTAAGAGGCTCATAGTCAAATCTATGCCAGTTGAGAATAACCAGGATGATAAAGGTACTTGAATCTTTGTAATATTTAAAAAAAAAAAAAACTGAAGGTAACAGCAGAAATGAACCAGAGAGAACATGAAGACTGCTTCTGGATACTGCTACTGCCTGGACAAAAAGGATTTAACGATCAAATGTATGAATTAGAACCAACGCATAGAAGTGGGAGAGATTTTAGCTCAATGTAAAGTATCAAGTTTTTAACAATTAAAATGAAATGGGCAACCTTGGGGGTTAGAAAATCTCCAAATTAGAGGCTAAATAACTTGGTACACATGTCTTAAAGGTGACAGGCAAAGGGACTGTTGAAATGACTTCCAAGAGCCCTAATCCTGAATTTGTATTAGTGTACACAGAGAGGAAAAAAAACCTAACCAGCTAATCTGCACTCCATAATTTTCTACTACGTGTTCAGCACTGTGTTGGCAAAGAGGTAAATGTGCTCCCCAGACTGGCGAGACAACACTAGCACGGATCACATGTAACCAGGTACAATCATGACAGTATAAAACTCCATGCCGTGCAGCAGGGTCAGACAGAATGAGCACGGAAGTACAGAAAAGAGTCATCTTCAGAAGCAGAATAACCAAAGGCCCCATGGAGGTAGATAGATTTGCTATAAGCACTGAACAGCGGAGGATGTAGCCAAGTGAAGAAAAAAGAGGTCCTGAAACCCAGGGGAAGAGCATAAGCAGGTATAAGCATGGCTAGTTCATAGCCACAGTGCTCTGTCAGGCCTGACAACGGCAAAACAGACAAGTTGCAAAGCAGTGGTGGAAAAGATCAGATGGTGCCCTTAAAAACCAGATTGAGGAGTTTAGACAACAAGGAAGGAAACAGATCTACTCAAGGTTTTCAATCATTCAAGCAGCAGGATCAAAATTGTGCTTAAGGATGATGAGTTTTGCAATAGAATACAAAATGAACAAGAAGGGCTAAGAGATCGAAAATAGGGCAATTGGGCAAGAAGTGAGGAGGGCCTGGACTAGGATGCTATCCAGGTTGGAGGGGATGGAGGAAATACTTTACAAAAATAAAGTCTGTTTAACTCAGTCACTGGCTCATGTACATGGGGAATGACAGAAAGATAAATCAGAGAAACAGCCAAAGTTCTGTGTTTGCATAACTGGCAAACAGCAATGATACTAACATAAAGCAGCAATTGTGAGAGAACAGAGAAATCTGGTTAGAGACACGTTTCATGATGACAGTTAAGACTGAAAACTGGAGATACCATTTGTCAAGCTGCTAGCAGAGACAAGACAGCTGAAGCGAAACAGATGAGCCATGTAGCTTACTGGTGAGGTTGAGAAGAAGCATCCCAAGACTCTACTCACCCTGAGCACATATCCAATCCTCACTGCTAGCCATGCACTCAAAGAACACCCCATCCAGGCTAGGATGGAGCAAGCTTATTTTTGTATAATGAAGAGTTTCTAGTGAGAAATGTCCCCTCCTTTCTCTCCATATCCTTCTTACTCTTTAAGACATGCATCAAGTTTTAGTTCTATGACACTTTTTTTTTTCTGAGATGGAATCTCACTCTGTTGCCAGGATGGTGTGATCTCGGCTCACTGCAACCTCCGTGTCCTGGGTTCAAGCGATTCTCCTGCCTCAGCCTCCTGAGTAGCTGGGACTACATGTGTGCACCATCACACTCAGCTAATTTTTGTATTTTTAGTAGAGGTGGGGTTTCACCATGCTGGCCAGGAGGTCTCGATCTCTTGACCCTGTGATCCACCCGCCTCGGCCTCCCAAAGTGCAGCCACTGCGCCCAGCCCTATGACACTTTTAAGGGTACCCTGGCCCACACATGGTCTTCTTTCTGAACTTATATTACTTCTAGTATTCATCATCAGCATAAGCACATGCTTCAGTAGCTGTATTCACATTTTTTTTTAATTTTCTAGCTATTAGCCAAACCTCCATCAAGTCACCGAAAGTCCAGCATTTGCATAGTGAGCAGGACTAAATGACAGAAAGCATTCTTCTAAAAATTCACTGAATGACTTAAGCCCACAGGAATAGAAACAAATCCAACTTCACTGTGCATGTCCCAAGCAAGCAACAGGCCACTGAACTCACAGAAGATGCTGGGATCTTGGTAAGGGCTGACTTACACACGAATTTTCAAGCGGTTTTGCCTGCTACTTTACTAAGACCAAGATGCCCCAGCCCACACTAACTTGCCACTCCTCCTTTCTGCTTTTACATTTTCTGAGCCTTCATCTGCACATATCCTTTCATAAGCCCCATCTTTCCACGTGTACTATGGTTCCACCTAATTTCCACTAACTGTTCCATTCAGTCCACAAATGTGGCTAAGCTGCCTTCCTTCCCTCTTTCCAGTATGCTCACTTACAAGCCAAACAAAAACTCTCTCAACTTTCTCTGCTACTCTTTTTCAAGGTACCAAACTCCCTGTCTTTACCACTTTACTACACCAAAATTCTCAAAACAGCAGTCGTGGTGCCTTTTTACCCACCCTGTACTCTGGCTTGCAGCTCAAACTTGACCCATCCTCCCAGAGTCAGGTCCAGTGTCATTTTCCTCAAGAAATGTTACTCTGACTTCCCCTTATCTGGAAGTATTCATTTTCTCCTTTCAACTCCCCAGCATTTTATTTATACCTCTTTTGCAGCACTTATTTTCCACCTAATATTATAGCTATTTGTGTTCATATTTTATCTTCCCTACCAGACAAGATGGTAGACGTAGTGGTGACTAAATCAGACTTATCTTTAAGATCCTATTCTCAGTTGTTAAGAGAGTTCATAAATCTTGGTTGAATGAACCTATACTATGTAATATAAATGGTATAGCAGAGAATACAGACCACTGAGCTGGAAAGCAGATCTAACAGTGTAACCACAGAGAGACAGACACCATCTCTGGACTTAGCTATCAAAGTGAGGGGGTACAGTAAGTCTAGCTCTAACACAGTATTACTTGAATTAACATCAAACGGTATAGAAAAAGGACTCAAACTCTCAACCCCAAGTTCCTAGTTTCTTTTGGTCTACAAAACACGTAAAAAAAAAATAGAGATTTTCTTCCCATTTTATTTCTGGAGAAAAAGTATATTCTAAAGGGGCTGCATCACGCAATGCTGAACAATCAGGAAGGAAATGAAACAACATGGATCACTGCTAACCCCATCTAATTCCTAGGCACAATCCCTGTGCGGTCACTTCCATACCATGTTAGGGTGGCTTCAGCAGCATCCTTTACCCTCATAGATGCAGGGTTTGGCTCCTTATCTCCTTTGTACTTGACCTCTTGCTCATTGTTCTTGGACTTACTTCCTGAGATACCCAGTTCCACAATCTCCAGTACTTCCTTAAGGCAGTCCTAAAAGCAGGAAAGGCAGATCAATTTTTAGAACACACCTTTCTCATGAGAAGACAAGGAAATCCATCCAAATGCTAACAGTGGTTGCGTTTTGGTGGAAGGGCTCCAGTTTCTTGGTAATTTCTTTAATGGATATATATTAACTTCATAGTAATATAATAAACTTTACACCCCCTCCCCCCAATTTCTCATTAAAGAACTAAATTTTGGTGTTTAGAGTGTTAGATAAATAAATTCAATTCAACTTTCTTGTGAAATTACTGAAGACTATAAATCACAAAAGCACAAATCTAAGAGATTAAATAGTAATTCAGTTAAGCTTGGGATAGTGTAACCACAGAGAGACAGACACCATCTCTGGACTTAGCTATCAAAGGAGGGGGATGGTTTAAGACATATTATAATATCCAAAGGAAATCTTGTCATTGACATTTTTAAGTAATTTCTGGTATTACAACTTCAGAAGCCATAATGAAAATGACTAAGATTTAATCAACAATATTATTCCTTAAACTACATAAAGGTTTCTATAAATATCCAATGATCTCTCCTTTGATTTGCACTGTGAATTCCTTATAACACCTGCTTCCCTATAAGGAAGACATTACACAGAACAATGGTAGGGAACATGGACTAGTTATCTGCATCCACTTGAGAATGAAGAAATGAGTATGGAGTAACATTTTTCGATAGAAGCAACCTTTATAGATGAGCTGTGCTCTAGGTTTGCAGCCTGGCAATCATCTGCCCTTCTTTGTTTGGTGAAGGGTGACCAAAGTGCCTACTAGCTATCTCCAGGCTACCATCCTTTCAAGAAAGAACAATCTTGATAGCTCAGATAAATTAGCCAAGGTCTCATCTTTCTAAACAATTTCTCTATGAGTTAATTTGCAACCAAATATAAGCAAAATGACAGTTTTCAAGTTGTACCCAAAAGGACAAGTGTTCCACTGTAATCTAACAAGTATTTTCAGTTTAAAGTGTGCAATACTGTATTTAAATTTAGATATTCTCTTTCAAAAGGCATTTTGCTAGCATACATTTTTGTTTTTACTTAATGGTTTAAAATAAAATAAACTCACCTTTTCATCAAGCATATCAGGGTGCTCTGTCAGCCAGACACAGAGACACTGAAAAGCTGCCACTATCATGGAGTGCAGATCCCTGGAGTGTAAAGGAGCTGGCCGACTACACTGATAAACAATGTAGGTGCACACAGAACTGATGGCTCGCTTCCGGTCTCCTGAGTCAACCATCACTTTTACCTGAGCATATTCATTTGGAGAACAAAAACAATCAGCCAGGAATTACTGTACCAATTTCAAAGCATTTGCACTGAAGCTTGACCTATTTGACAATGTCATACACTACAGGAAGCCTTGCTTTTTTATATTATTTATATACAGGAACAGATTATTTCAGATGTATTGTAATACTCCACAAAAAATAGTGGCATTTTTCAAGTGCTCAAACAGTATTTCATTAGCATAGTTTTTCATGCCCTAAAACCCAAACCCATTGGGTATACCTGTTCATCATTCCCAGAGACTGAAAGAACATGGGCACATTTTTAAACCCCTAACCCAACCTCACAGTGATGCACTAGGCTCTGCAGAAAGTTCTGTGCAGCTGCTCAGAGGCATAATTGTCATAAATTGCCCAATATTTCAAGTATACAACTGGTCAATTCTGACATAAGTATGCACCTGTGAACTATCACCACAATCGACAGCGGATGTATCTATCACCTCCAAATCTCTTCATGCACCTTTGTAATCCTTCCTCCCACTCCTCTTTGCCCCTCTCCCTAAGCAACTGCTGATCTGCTGTCACGATAGATTAGCTTGCATTTTCTAGAGTTTAAATAAATAAAGTCATATAAAGATCATACAATATGTACTTTTTTTGGTCTGGTTTCTTTCACTCAGCATAGTTATTTTCAGACTTAGCTACACTTTTGGGTGTATCAATTGTTCATTCATTTCTATTGCTGAATAGTAGTCCACTGCATGGATATACCACAATTTATCTAGTTACTTATTAATGGACATTGGGTTGTTTCCAGCTTCTGGATATTATAAATACAGCTGCTATAAACATTCATGTACAAGGTATTTATATCGATAAATGTTCTCTTATCTCCTAGGAGTGGAATTATTGGGTCATATGTAGGTGTATGCTTACCTTTTTAAGGAACAGCCAAGCTGTTTTCCAAAATGGTGGCTCCATTTAACATTCTCGTCAATAGTTCCTCCACATCCTCACCAACATTTGGTATGACCAGTCTTTTATATTTCAGCCATTCTAATAGATTTGCAGTGGTATCTCATCATGGTTTTAATTGAATTTCCCTAATAATTAATGATATTGAGTATTTTTTTCATGTGCTTATTTGTCATCTGTATATCATCTCTGATAAAACATCTATTCAAATCTTTTGCCCAATTTTTAATTGGGTTGTTTGTTGTATTATTAAGGGCTTTTGTTGTTGTGTTTTGTTGTCTTAAAAGATTTTATTAAAGGTCTTTACAAGGCAACATCCAGACTCCAGATCCAGCTGCCAAGGAGACCCTATTACACAGTTGGGGCTGGGTAGAGCATGGCTTCCTAACCATCTGTCCTGAGATGGGCATGGCGAATAGTATCTCATCTTTAGGGTCTACAGTGCTCACGTGGTCAGGCAGGGGATTCTTAAGGCCAATCTTACCACTTGGGCCCAGGACGCATGAGCTTCACTTTGATGCCCAGCACACCCTGTCTTAGCAGCACATGGTGGATGGCAGTATCAATGCAGTAGTTAACAAGGTCTCTGCTGTGGATCATCAGATCACACACAAAAGTTCATGAATTCAGTTCTCTGTCCTTAGAGTTTCGCTGACACCATGACCTCGTAGCTCTTGCCCCACTCTCCATAATGAACCACAGCACACTACAGAAGGCTCTCCTCACAGCAAACCCTAATAGTAGTTTACAGCACAGACTCTGTCTGGGCAATGGCATAGAGAATTATTTTAGGCCACCTTTTCAGCATAAAGCTTTCCCTGCCCTCAAGGAAGCCAAACCTCTTCTGAACTATCTCAGCCAATTCATAGATCCGGTGGTTCTTTTCACCAAGAACACTCTGCATCCTGGAGGCTAAGGTAGTGATTTCTATCCTGGTTGGCATAACTTGGACCTCAGCTCCAGAGTAGTCACCTTCTGCAAGCTTCTGAGTGAAGAATTCGCTCAGTTTATTTCTGAAGATGCTATCAAACTTCCTCTTCTTAGAAATTTTCACCACCATATTGCTGCTGTGCACCACCAAAAGGAAAGGCTATTATTGAGTCCTGAGAGTTCTTTATGTAATCTGAATACAAATCTTTCATCAAATATATGCTTTATAAACATTTCCTCCCAGCCTGTGATCTGTCATCTCATTCTTTTAACAGTGTTTACTAAAGAACAGCAGTTTTAAATTTTGAAGTCCAACATATCAGTTTGTTCTTCTAGCGTAACACCTAAGAAATCTATCCCAAGGTCACAAAGATTTTCTCTTGTTTTCTTCTAGAAGTTTTATTGTTTAGGTTTTATATATATATTTTTATGTAATAGAGACAAAGTCTCACTATGTTGCCCAGACTGGTCTCTTCCTGCCTCAGCCTCCCAAAGTGCTGGGATTATAGGCATGAGTCACCATGCCCAGCCAGTTTGAGTTAATTTTTGTTCATAGTGCAAGGTATGAATCAAAATTTTTTGGCTTTTTTTTGTGTGTATGACTATCCAATTGTTTTATAGTACCTCTGGTTGAAAAGACCACCCTTTCTCCTTTGAATTACCTTTGCACCTTTGTCAAAAATCAGATGACCACTTAAGTATGGATATACTATTTTCTTCCACCGATCAATTTGTCCACCCCTATGCCAATACCAGGCTGTTGTGTTACTGTAGCCTTACAGTAAATCATCAAATCAGGTAGTGTTAGCCCTTTATGAATTGTTAGGCAGGTCCAGAGCAGTGCTCCATTTAGGACTAATTATTGCTTACTACTGAGTGTACTAAAGGTCACAGGAAACAGTACCTTGCTCTCAAAGACAGTGTGGTCCTGTATGTCTCACAAATGGCTGTTTTTTATTTTCTGTACCAGTAACTGCTTCTCGCAAAGTTATGATGTCCATCCTGGAGGATCTTTGAGGTAAGCTCTAAGTGGTGGTAAGAACACCTTAGGTTTTATTGCTTATTTTGTTTCTTACAGCTTAGGTAAGTCACAGCCTCTGACAACTATTCCCATAACTGAAAAATAAGGATTTGAACCATATCATCCCAGACAGTAGCACCTGGTTATCGGCTCTTTGTTCACAAAATATTTTACGTATTTCCTCAATTATATATTATATGTAAGATAATCCTGCTCATCTTACTGTCAAGAAAACACCTAGATGTTAGAGAAAATGCAAAGAAAGTGAAACTCTCATACACTGGGAATGTAAAATGATTCAGTCACTGTGAAAAACAGTTTGGCAGTTCCTCAAAAAGTTAAACATAGGGTTACCATATGACCCAGTAATTCTGCTCCTAGTGTACACCCGAAGAACTGAAAACTGGTATTCAAACAAATACATGTACATACATGTTCACAGCAGCACTACTGACAACAGCCTAGAGATTAAAACAACCCAAATGTCCATCAAGTGATAAATGGGTAAACTGGGGTATATACACACAATGAAATATTATCCAATCATAAAAGGGAATACAGTTCTGACACATTCTACAACATAAATGAAACTCAAAAACATTACATTTAGTGAAAGAAACCAGACACAAAAGGTCACACATTGTATGATTCCATTTATATGAAATGTCCAGTATAGGTAGACCCATTGAGATGAAATGGTGGTTGTCAGAGGAGGGGGTGCGGAGACTGAAGCAAAACTGCTTCATGGGTATGGGGTTTCCTTTAGGGATGATAAAAACATTTTGGAACTAGAAGTAGAAGTTGCTCAACATTGTGAATGTACCAACAGTCACTGAATTGTTTGCTTTTAAATGGCTAATTTTATATTACACAAATTTCATCTCAAAAGAATACACTTAGAGAAGCACAAATGACCACCAAGTTCTAAGTTTCCAAAAAACTGAAGTAACGGCTGGGAAAGAAATCTAAAAAGTGTAGCCAAGGCCAGGTGCAGTAGCTCACACCTGGAATCCTAGCACTTTGGGAGGCCAAGGCGGGTGGATCACCTGAGGTCAGAAGTTCGAGATCAGCCTGGCCAACATGGTGAAACCCCATCTCTACTAAAAACACAAAAATTAGCTGGCTGTGATGGCGTATGCCTGTAATCCCAGCTAGTTGGAGGCTGAGGCAGGGGGATTGCTTGGAAGCGGAGGCTGCAGTGCAACAAGTTTGCACGACTACGCTACAGACTGGGCGACAGAGCAAGACTCCGTCTCAAAAAAAAAAAAAAAAAGGTGTAGCCAGTTTTCACTTATCTCTGATAATGGAGGATGGCAGAGCCACAGGTAATCCCAAATGGCATACATTAGGATAATCATTTTTTACAAAATCAATATGCATTCTAGTATTATATGCAAATAAATAAATGGCAAGTATTGAAATGTTTCCTATAATTTAACGGTAAAAATCTCATTCATACTCTTTGAACCTATTTTTAAAAAGTAAAGTTCATTGCATAGAATATCACTTGGAGGCTAAATTTTGTACACTTTGGATATAATATAAACTATGTTTGAGCATGATCAACACTAAAATACCCACACAAGGGGTTAAGAGATACAGAAAAAACAGCCAAGGCCCAAGGCTGTTGGGTTAAAATAAAAGGACTGTCTTCCTCACCTTTGCAAGGCCAGAGAGGAGCTCTAGAGCTGCCAGTGATATGCTCATGTCTTGGCGCCACTGGGAGTTGAGTCTTTGGGTGACGAGATGAATGCTGCGAATCAGGAGCCCAGCAGCTGAATCTGTATTAAGAGCTAGGATATAACCCCAATGCCACATCCCACAGGGAGGGAAAACAACTAAGCATTAGTAACGAGAAGCACAGCATCCACTAGGCACAGACCACAGCAGCCACAGTGAGAACGACGGGCACCCACACAGTGCTACGCTCCCCACCCCACTGGGTTGAGTGCCAAGCCTGACTACACGGTGCACAGGCACATGTGCTAGACCAGAGCAGCTTCTAGTTCCTGGTTCACGCACTTTGACACAACCGTGGGATTTGGCAGTTTCAGTGTCATTTTCATAACAACGTAATTTAAAGTTTCTAAATTATCAACTCATAGCTACATTTTCAAAAAGAGTGATGAAAAGGCTATCAATTATTTCCTTGAAACTTTACAGAGGAAAGTTCTAATTTTACGGCCTCCTCAGATGCTAGGAATTACTCTGAAGCAAGCATCTGTTGAAATTACTTACAGGGTTTAAGCCATCAAAACTCACATGCAATGCCTTTTCAAACATACTTTAACATTTAATTCTCCAGGATTACTTTAATACTTCTAAAAAAATTAAATAACCAAGCCACCATATTTTTATTTGGGCTCCAATCTATATGTAAAAGCAATCACTAGTTAGCTAATAGGAAATTAGGAAAAATTAAATAAAGACAAATTAAACTGAATTTATAAAGGAAGCTTTAGGGACATTATACCTGTCGATCCTATCAGAAAGAGGGCAGTGACAACAGAAAAAGGAATGATCATTAAAGAGAGACACTCATGCGACACTAACACAAATCAGGATTTCTTAGTAAAAAATATTTTACGACATTACAAGCAGAGCTCACTAACACCAGCTCAAAATGCTGAAACAAACAATAATCACTTAAAACATTTATATTAGAACACATGCAGTAATGAAAAATTTCTTTTTTTGTTTTTGTTTTCTGTTTTTTTTTTTTTTTTTTGAGATGGAGTCTCGCTCTGTTGCCCAGGCTGGAGTACAGTGGCGCAATCTTGGCTCACTGCAACCTCTGCCTCCCAGGTTCAAGAGAGTCTCCTACCTTGGCCTCCAGAGTAACTGGGATTACAGGCACCCACCCCCACCCCCAGCTAATTTTTGTATTTTTAGTAGAGATGGGGTTTCACCACGTTGGCCAGGCTGGTCTCGAACTCCTGACCTCAGGTGATCCGCCCACCTTGGCCTCCCAAAGTGCTGGGATTACAGGAGTGAGCCACTGCGCCCAGCCAGTACTGAAAAATTTATTTAGCTTAAATGTGTTTCAGAAAGCATGAAAAATAATTTTCAACCTATAGAATACCTAAATCTACATACACAGTGAATAAGATAATTTAAATAACTTCTTCACGAATATAATATTTAAATGTGTCAAATATCCACATAATGGCTTTATGTATATCTGACATGTTCAAGGATACTTGTTGCAAACTTAAACCATAGAAACATGCCTCATGAATTCATGAACTCATGAACATGGCTCATGACATGCCTCATGAACCTCATGAACATGGCTCATGAACTCTCCAGATGATTAAAGGATTAAACTCACATCTAAGAATCTAGATATCACTCCAATCTAGCTGGATAAGTGCTCACAGATTTAATACACTGTTAGTACTTGTGTAGAAAAACATAAAGGTACCCACAAACTCACAGAATCCATAAAACAACTGCCCAAGGTAGGGGACAACCTTGTATAGGATGCTTGGCTGGCAAATGTTTTACTTGGCAGGGCAGAAAATAAAAATGTTTCAGGGCTAAAGAATCTAGTGAGCTACAGTAGGGGGTACACAGGTTTTAACATGAAGACATGCTCTCCTCTGGGCTGCTATCTAATCCATCCCCCATTACCCTCCTTGCCACACTGCAATAACTGGCTTATTGGACATCTCTGCCACTACACTGTGAGCTCTGAGGCAGAGTCCACATCTTATTTGGTTCTCTACCACCACACATGGTAGAGAATTCAGAAATGTTTACTGATCACCCATTACTATCAATTATAAAACCTAATATACTACCCCAAATCTAATATACTACCCAAAAGCTATACAGCTAAATCAAAAAGATTTGTTTTTTCTTAGCTTCTTAAGACTGACATCCTCTCTATTATACTTAAGTATATAAAAAACATGAACATTAACATTTTTAATGTTTTTGTTTTATAAATGTAAGCATTAAAGTCATTCTATTAAACTTTGAATTTCAAAAGAAACACGACTAACCATAATCTCTTAAGAGAGCTTGAGCAGGTCTCTCACTATCGGGAGTCGTGGGCTCCGTGCTTCCACCACTTGCTGAACTAATACCACTATTGGTGCGACTATGACTCTTCAGGTTATTTTCTCCACCACCCTAGTCAAATGAAAATGAATCAAGTGAGGATTACATCACAGTTTACAAGCATAAATAAAGGTCAATCATTAAAAACCATGTTGATAAAGCAGAATGTGCCAACTGAATAGTACAAACTGATAGTAACAGAAATTGACAAGGGATTAAAACCACTGTGGTATTTTTACACACACAAATCTACTGGAGGGTATGAAGGATTTGTACTACTACAAGTGCCCATACTGGGGTCTTCTTTGCCACTATTTACAAAGGGCTGGCCCAGCTTTTTCATCTTTACTAGACTTCACTAGATTCCAGGTCCTTAAAAAGAATACCCTAGTGCCTCCCAAGCAAAACCTCAGAACAGAAATATAAGCTTAAAAAGCATGAATAAGGCCAGGCGCGCTGGCTCACACCTGTAATCCCGGCACTTTGGGAGGCCGAGGCAGGCGGATCACGAGGTCAGGAGATCGAGACCATCCTGGCTAACACAGTGAAACCCCATCTCTATTAAAAAATACAAAAAAATTAGCCGGGCGCAGTGGCAGGCGCCTGTAGTCCCAGCTACTCGGGAGGCTGAGGCAGAAGAATGGCAGGAACCTGGGAGGCGGAGTTTGCAGCGAGCAGAGATTGCGCCACTGCACTCAAGCCTGGGAGTCAGAGCGAGACTCTGTCTCAAAACCAAAGCAAAACAAAACAAAACAAAAAACAAAAAGGCATGAATAAACAAACGGCAACTTTCAAATACAGTTATATCAGAAAACACAAACAATACTAGGGTTAGTTTTAACTCCCGTATGTATAGGGGCTAATAAACCTATCTGTTAGACTTCCCTCATTTTTCCCCATATAAACACAGTTCATTATATTCAGATCAGTAAATTATTATTCACCATCTACTGAGACACGAATGTAATTTCCGTAATAATAATTTGATCACCCATCTTACATCTACTCAGCTTACTACATCTACCCAACTTACCCCAGTATACCCTATTAACCCCTCCATTGTCTTGCCTATACTCCAAGTATAGGGATGATATATCTTGAAGACAAAGCAGAGAGCACTGGAAGTCTCTGAGAAGCATTTTTGATTTGGAAGCATTGGTGCTTTGAGGGACCTGCAAACTTAGGTCTAGAGGGGTTAGAAAGAATTGATGGGTAAGAAAAAGTTAAACTAGTTGCTTGCTGGCTAGGGCTTTTCCTAGGTTATTCAACCAAGTTTGCCACCACAGCAAAACAAGTAACAGTTTTAAGCAGACACTGTTCAGGAATAAAGACTGGATTTAGCTGTAGTTTCTCTCATACAGAATATCTCGGGAACCTGATGTACAGCTGAAGAGGCACTGAAAAGCAAACCTCAAAATATACATTATTTTTAAAAAGAAAACTTCTGAGCCAATGAGCAGGATTTACAAACCAAAGGCCTTTAAAATTCACAAAGATGGACATTCTGGAATATAATTTACATGAAATTCAAAAGTGATATTCTCTGACAGATTGCATGTATGCTTCTTACCATCTCCATCTGGCAACCAATGGCTTCCAAAAGTGCTGAATCTTGAACAATATTTAACATTGCCCCTACAACAACAATAAAACAGTATTTTATATAAAATACACAAGAACACTAAAATGCGTAAGACATTTTATATGATTAATAGTACAGATAAGAATATAATTTTGGTTGAGCATTCCTGAAATACCCATGAAATTATAGTTGGCTCTTAAACAAGAGCTTGAACTGTACATATGCAGGTTTTTTTCAATAAACATGTTAGAAAGTTTTTTGGAGATCTGTGACAATTTGAAAAAACTCCCAAACTGCATAGCCTAGAAATATTAAAAAAAAAAAAAAATGGCCAGGCACAGTGGTTCATGCCTATAATCCCAGCACTTTGGGTGGCCGAAGTGGGGCGGGAGGTCAAGAGTTCGAGACTAGCCTGGTCAACATGGTGAAACCCCATCTCTACTAAAAATACAAAAATTAGCCGGGTATGGTGGTGTGCGCCTGTAATCTCAGCTACTCAGGAGGCTGAGGCAGGGGAATTGCTTGAACCTGGGAGGTGGAGGTTGCAGTGAGCCGAAATTGCACCACTGCTCTCCAGCCTGGACAACAGAGCGAGACTTCATCTCAAAAAAAAAAAAAGAGAAAGAAAAGAAATATTTAAAAAAGTATAAAAAGTTAAAATTGGCCGGGCATACTAGCTCATGCCTGTAATTCTAGCACTTTGGGAGGCCGAGTCAGCAGGATTGCTTGAAGTCCTAGGAGTTTGAGACCAGAGTGGGCAACAAAGCAAGACCCTGTCTCTAAAAATAAATAAAAAATAAAAAGCTAAAATTTATCAAAAAACTTACGTACACAAACACTTACAGACCATACATGATGCCATTTGCAGTCCAGAGAAATGTAAACAAAGATGTAGTATTAAATAACTGTATAAAATTAGCTGTAGTACATACTGCACTACTGTAATCATTTTGTAGCCTCCTCCTGTTGTTACTGGGGTGAGCTCAAGTGTTAATGAGTATGCTGCTTAAAATACAATGTGATGCTAACCATCTCCATGTGAGTAGTTCATCTCTCTAACAGACTGAACACTGCAGTAAATTGCATACCATGGTTCTCACATGTTTTCATCATGTTTACTGCAACACCATGAACCTTGACTAACGCCATGGGACCCATAGGAAGTGCCACTAGTGATGCTGGAAGTGCTCCCAAGAAGCAGAGAAAAGTCATGACATTACAAGAAAAAGCTGAGTTGCTTGATATGTACTGTAGATTGGGGTCTACAGCTACAACTGCCCAACAGTTGAGACGATTTATCTTATAAACAGACAATTTATGGTATCAATAAATACAGTACTGTAAATGTATTTTCTCTTCCTTATGATTTTCTTTTTTTTGAGATGGAGCCTCACTCCGTCACCCAGGCTGGAGTCCAGTAGCGTGATCTTGGCTCACTGCAACCTCCACCTCCCGGGTTCAAGCAATTCTCTGCCTCGGCCTCCGAGTAGCTGGAATTACAGGCGCCTGCCACCACGCCTGGCTAATTTTTTTTTTCTTTTTTGTATTTTGAGTAGAGACGGGGTTTCACCATCTTGGCCAGGCTGGTCTTGAACTCCTCACCTCGTGATCCACCCACCTCGGCCTCCCAAAGTTCTGGGATTACAGGCATGAGCCACCACGCCCAAGCTTTATTTTTATTTTTATTTTATTTTTTTTTTTTGAGACGGAGTTTCGCTCTTATTGCCCAGGCTGCAGTGCAATGGCATGATCTTGGCTCACTGCAACCTCCGCCTCCCGTGTTCAAACATTCTCCTATCTCAGCCTCCCAAGTAGCTGAGACTACAGGCATGTGCCATCACACCCTGCTAATTTTTGTATTTTTAGTAGATACAGGGTTTCACCATGCTGGCCAGGGTGGTCTCGTGAGTCACCCACCTCAGCTTCCCAAAATGCTGGGATTACAACATGTATTTCTTAATAAAATATTCTTTTCTCCAGCATACTTTATTGTAAAAATGCAGTATATATTAATAATATGCATAAAATACAAAATATGTGTTAATCAACTGGTATGGGTAAGGTTTCTGGTCAACAGTAGGCTATCAGTAGTTAAGTTTTTAGGGAATCAAAAAGTTATATGTGGATCTCAACTACTCAGGGAATTGGCATCACTAACACCCATGTTGTTCAAGGGTCAACTCTACTAATAAATCCACTGATTGGTCAGAAGAGACTCTTTAAAAATTCCTTAATTCTGGCCAGGTGCATTGGTTCATGCCTATAATCCCAGCACTTTGGAAGGGTAAGGCAGGTAGATCATTTGCTATCAGGAGTTCAAGACCAGCTTGGCCAACATGGTAAAATCCTGTGTCTACTAAAAAATACAAAAATTAGCTGGGCGTGGTGGCGGGTGCCAGTAATCCCAGGTACTCAGGAGGGTGAGGTGGAAGAATTGCTTGAACCCAGGAGGCAGAGGTTGCAATAAGCCAAGATCATGCCACTGCCCTCTAGCCTGGGTGACACAGCGAGACTCCATCTCAAAAAAAAAAAATTCCCTAAAATAAATGTGGGCCAGGCACAGTGGCTCACACCTGTAATCCCAGCATTTTGGGAGGCTAAGGAGGGAGGACTGGAGAAGCCCAGAAGTCCGAGACCAGCCTGGGCAACAGAGCAAGACCCTATTCTAACAACAACAAAAAATTAGCCAGGTGTGGTGGCACACGCCTGTGGTCCCAGCTACTTCAGAGGTTGCGGCAGAAGAATCACTTGAGTCCAGGAGCTTGGGCTGCAGTGACCCATGATTGCACCACTGCGCTCCAGCCTGGGCAACAGAGCAAGAACTTGTATTTAAATAAATAAATAAATAAATAAATAAATAAATAAATAAATAAAAATAAAATGAATGTGAAGGTCAAACTTGCTTTATATAAAAACATGCTCATTATCAGATATTTTTTAACTGGTGTAAAAGACCAGATGTAAGCATCTCAATTTCAAGGGTAATATAAACTAAGGAAAATATTATGGAATACTTTCAAAACTAGGTTCTAGTCTTAAAAATAAAACAAACATTACTGTCTGTTTTTTCTACAGGGAAAAAGAAACAAATAAATAAAACAAAAATTACAAAATAAAGTCACAGCAATAGCTTTCTGACCACACTGCTTTTTAAGAATGATTAAAGCCACACAGTCTGGGGCTTGTTGACATCTGCATACCCTGAAGTAAGCTTCATTTATTTATTATCAAGGAAACCATTGTCCTGGAAAGGCTAGGACAGAAATGAGATGGTGAGCCTAACACACTGCTTCTCATCCCCGTGGGAGGTACTCTTGCCCACTATGGATAAAGAGAAGATGGAAAGAGCTTTGCCACTTTATGGCAAGAGTAACAACTGACTCTTCCTTGGAAAGTACATAGGGAGTGCCTCAGAGCAAGGGTGTAACAAAACCAAATACTGCTTCAATCGTAGAAATTATATAATTTCAAGCAAAATTATGTTATTTAAATAACCTAAAACATTGTAACTTGGAGGTTCTCACATATCAAAACATCCCCCTCCACATAAACCACCCTCTGTGTTCAGAATGTATCTGAGATATTATCAATGCCACTGGTAGACTCTGGTTCCAAACCTTGGTCAGACTGACCACATTAACTTCAGAAGGTCTCTAAAAGCCCAGCCTGAACAAGAATATAGCTATACATCATAACTGAGAATGTAAAGAGCAAAAAACTCCATTTGTGAGTCTAGAAAATCATGTCCACAATTAATGGCTTTTGAGACTTACGAAACCCTAAAAAACTTTTTGCCCAGCTACAGACAACTCCAGTCACCTACTAATTAGGTGTCTCTGGATAAATATGGTTCTTGGCCGTTGTGACCCATCTCTTCAGGATCTGTCCCTCAGTTTTAGAGGCCTTTTAGAAACCATTTCAAGGATTGTGTTCCTGTTGGAAGGACATACACCCCACCTCCTCTGGGGGCATAAGGGCTTAAAGGGAATGTCTGATCCCACTTTTGAACAGATAAAAATCTAAGATGCTAGGAAGAAGCTGAATTCTAGTCTTGCTAATGAAGAGAAGAAAGAAAGCCTCTAACCACTGCCAAGGTCAAGTCATCCTCAGAGATCAATTGCTCCATAAGCGGGGAGTTCTAACTGCCACCCAGGTTTGTGGGCTGGGATGGTATTTGCATTCACATGGTTCAGTGGGGACTCCTGTTAGGTGGCTGAGGAAAGCCCTACTTTCCTAAGAGCTTCCACTGTCAAGGGTGGTGATCTCAATACCCAGGATTGCACTTTAGTGGCACTGAGACACAGAAGCAACAACTGAAAACCCTTTGCTTTCAAATGTAATACATTGCTGTTTACCCAATTTGAACATCAGATTAGAGGAAGAAAAGAAGAGCTCCTCTGTTCATCAGGGTCTCTCTGAAGATTTTCAGGGAGATAAGACTGTCCCTTAGTGCTAACACTAGATTTGTCAATCACCAAATACCTTATGATATATTTTGAAAAACATGTAAAAAGCGGGGAGTTTAAGCATTTAAGCAAACAAGATAATTTCAGGTTTTGTGTTGTGAAAAAAATGATGAAATAAGATAATCTTTAGCAAGTATTGTTAGGGAAGCTCTCTCTTAAGAAGATGATGAAGAAAAGCTAAACAAAAATCTAGGGAAAGAACACCCCAGCAGGAGGGATATAAAGTAAGGTTCTGAAGAAATCATTAGCTGATGTGTTTGAGAAAAAAAGGACTAGGACGAAAGTGCAGACTGATGAGACCTGTAAGTAATGGGCAGGAGTAAGAGGAAGAGGCAAGAAGAAGAGGAAGAGGCAGGAGGAAGAGGACGAGGCGGGAGGAAGAGAAAGAGGCAGGAGGAAGGAGAGCAGGAAGAAAGGAGGAAAGAAGAGAGGGATGGGAAGGAGAGGCAAAGAGTGGAGAAAGGAGAGAAGGGAGAAGAGAAAGAAAAGCAAAAGCACAAATAAATGACCAACCAAGACAACTGTAACACTTTACTTCCCTCATCTCACTGCTTTAAATTTTTTTACATTAAAAAACTAACTTGTGCCTCTGATTCAGAGTAAGTAGAGCTACATTAGGTTTAGGCTCCCATTACCGACTGCCGCCTCCTCAGCAGGCCTGTAGTCAACAGTACTTTGGTTTCACTTACAAAATAACGTGTGAATACAAACCTAATATCATTTGGGTGTTGTTGGGGTCCGTTTCAGTTTGCAAGGCACCTATTAATATATTCACAAGTCTCAACTTCAGGGACAGAAAAGTTATTGGTTTATCATAAGAAGAGCTGTCATCGTTACTAAACTTTCCTTCCAGGACCACCTATGGAAAAAACAAATAATATTTAACATCAGCTGTTGCAGCTTATGATGCCCATGTGGGAACAGCTAGATGGAGGAACGGATCAGTATAATGAGAAAGGCTTTCAGTCTAATATTAGCCACTGTGCTGAATCTGTCACTAACAATATGTTAATAGATGTCCTTAGCCTATAACTGCTTGAAAACTGGTAGAAAAACTGACAGAACAAAAAAAAAAAATCACAAGTCAACTTTGTTAATTCACTTGAAATAACTTGATGAAATAACTTGAATTGAAAAATAAAAAAAGCTCCTGTTTCATTTTTAACATTCGATTTGACTTAAATTAGTACAAAAAACAGAATATAGGATATAAAAAAACTTTAACAAAACATTACCTCAGATTTGACTGTGCCAAAATGATGAGGGAGGGGCAACAAAGAAAGCAGGATATTAATGGAGGATCTTCGCAATTCTGTTGGATTTACATAGCTTTTGAATTTTGAGAGTTCTCTGCCAAAAAATAAAAAGCTATTAGTATTTTTGAACTAAAGCACATTTTTAGCTACTGCCAAATACATATAATGCCAATTTTTCCAAATCCAAGCATTGTGTATTTGTATATTGTATATTTCTAAGTTAAACTGTTACTGAATTAAACTAGAAGTTGATTGATTGATTTCTTTACCTAAAACGTAAGGCCTACTCTACAAAGGTAAGACCTCTGTGTTGGAGTTGTTCTTACCCTTCTAGACCAGGCCAAAAACGATTCAACAAGCCCACAGACAAATGAGAACTGAAGGATTTCAGGGATGAGGTGGGTTTGGACACACTACACTCATTTAATGTCGCCTGAGTTCTCTTGGACTATGAAGACAACTGGACAGGATACATTAGGAAACTGGGGAGGAAGCACCAACAGACCAGGCCAAATCAGACAGTTGATATAATAGCAGAGAATGATAGCTTACCTGTCAGGCAAAATGGTTTCAAGAGCTGAAATAAAGTAAGGAACCACAACATCAATCCCTTTCAAGTCACAGCAGAACAAAGGAGGAGAGTTTAGAATAACGCTGGCCAAGACAGGATGGCACACATAATCATTTATCTGCAAACCTTGAATTAAAAGCATGTAAAATCTAGGAAAGCAAGAAAAAAATTTTAAACAAACTGCTGATCAAAAGTTTTCATAATTATTATTTGCTACATAGTTAACTGAAAGTCTATTTCCACTCATCACTATTTTTACCCTTTAAAGAAAGGACATTATTGGAATTACTGGAATTTATTAGAATTTTACCCTTTAAAAGTTATTACTGGAATTACTGGAATTTTACCCTTTAAAGGATATTACTGGAATTAGAACAATTCTGAATCATATACACTAAGACCCAAATCATCTTTCTTAATGAAGAAAAAAAAAAATTCATGTCTGTTGCACCTTCTCAAACCTTAAGCCTTGCAACTCAAAGTTCTAGGGGCCTGCAAATAAGGCAACCAGAACAAAACAAAACAACAGGCTGCAGTACTTTTCAATAAACTGGGGGAACTGCTGAGTTAAATTCCGTAAGAGAAAAATGTTGCAACATTTAGTAATTCCTAGGGAAAAAGGTGTGTTTACATTTTTGTCCCTTCCCCATTATTTTTGGGGGGACAATGAAAGAAAGAAACCTGCATTCGATCATCTGTATTCATCATGAAGGTCACCTGAATAAGATTCCTTTTAGGAATATACCTGAATATAGCTTAGTTTTTAACTCCACCCCCAACCTCTAATCAACTTACTAAGCATTCAATCTCCCGTTATTCAACAGCAGCTGCACTGTTATACTCTTCTATTGTGAGGTGAGTTTCTCTTCTCTGCAAAACTCTTCAGAAACAACTTCATCACCTACTGGTTACTGCTCAACCCATTTCAATCTATCTCTCTCCCTAGAACTCAACTAAAACCATACTAGCAAATAACCAATGGGCTCTCGATTGCCAAATCCAAGAGACATGACTAAGTCTTAACTCATTCTGCCTTTTGAAAGCATTCAGCCCTCTAACTACTCCCTTCTCTCCTTGCTCTTCCCTGATTTCTATGACCATTTTCTTTTACAGGTCCTCTTACTCTACCTGCCCCCTAAAGATGGTGTTCCTCAGTCTGACAACCTTAGTTCTCAAAGCTCTCTCTTTTACTAACCTGATTTTAAACACTTCTTAAGTCACTAAATATAATCAAATCATTCTAACCCACACCTCTCAACTGAACTCCAGATCTATTACCCAAAAGCTTACTGGATATCTGGATGTCTAGTGATTATTATGGTACTTCTGTGCACAATATCTGGCACAAAGTAGGACTTAATAAATATTTGTTGATAAATATCCCATAGGCACTTCAAATTCAATCGATTCAAAACTAAACTAATAACTTGCCCTCTCATGAATCTGTTGTTTTGGTTTGTCCTACTACCACCCATTCAGTCTTATGGCTCAGTCAGAAAGTTCATGGTGATAGCCTTCTCCCCTACTACCAAAGTACCATTTAGGATATCTCCCCAGCCCAGAGTTCCTGAGAAACATGCCCCCACAACAAGTGGGTGAGCTCCAACACCCTTATGTGACCCACCTTCACAACTGTAGCTGACTAGACCAGAGACAGGCAGATTAATTAGATCCTCCTTCCCAGGAGTCTATAATTAAAATTCAGAGATACTAATTGGTCCTGATGGTCACCTAGACCAAGGCCATGAAAACTGGGAACTTTTTTTTTTTTTTGAGACGGAGTCTCACTCTGTCGCCCAGGCTGGAGTGCAGTGGCACAATCTCGGCTCACTGCAACCTCCGCCTCCTGGGTTGAAGCGATTCTTCTGCCTCAGCTTCCCGAGTAGCTGGGACTACAGGCAAATGCCATCATGCCCGGCTAATGAAAACTGGGAACTCAGAAGCACACTACAATAAGAGAAAATGATCTGCAGAGAAGAGAAGAATGAAGCAGTTCTGGCAGACCAGGAAGACAGAGAAAGAGAGAGGAATAAAGTTGTTTTGGTCCTTGAGTATCTGCTCTTCATGAGGCCATACTGCATTTCCTGACCTTAGAATTTAATAAATATCACTAGCTTCTCACAACTTCTTCTCCTTTTACTTAAGTCAGATTGAGAGGGTTTCTGTTGCTTAAACCAAGCGCCGATAGTTATGATAACCCTGCCTATTTGCCTGTATATACCATTCTTTTTCATATCTATAAAATTCTGTACTTGGTTCCCTCTGATAGGGTCAGTTTAATTCTATCTCCTGAGAACCTAGCAAGTATGCAGATATCTAAATACTCTGTTGATATTAACCTCACTTCTGCACTTGTGTGAATGATCAGTTAAGGAAGGCAAAACAGTGTCAAGAAGAACGGGAGGCCATTATGAGTTAATTTAGGAGAAAAGTGACAAAGTCTAAAGTATAATGGTGGGGATAGAGTGAAAAGAGAGATCAGAAAGAGAGTTAAGTAGCAGGAAGGCAAGAGTTGGTTGATCGGTTGATCAACTAAAGATACAGAAGAAGAGGATTCTAAAATGACTCTTCGTTTCTGGCCTGAGCAACTGAATGGATGGCAGAGGCATTAACAAAGATGGCTGAAGCCATAGATTTGGAGAAGATGACCCTAACCAACTTTCTAACATAGGCTAAATGCTACTCATCCTTTATAAGTCCAGCATAATCATTTAATCCCCCAAAACTCTTTCCTGAATCCCCTACAGTAAATAAATGTGCGCTGCTTCTTCCCCTGAATGCCCACAGCACATTATCTGTGCCTCTCCCATCAATATCCTAATTCCTGCTGGATCATTGTTACATGTGTACACGGCTTTGTTTGGGGCTTTGCCCAGAAAATAAGCTCCTTGGAGGCAGGATTTACAGCTGACTTATTTCTGGACTGCCTACATGGGAATACTGTGCTAAAAATTTGTTAACAAATAATTGTGGTCCTTCGAAATCTCTCCATATTAAAAAGATTCAAATAAGATGACATAAATAGCACTTCTAAAACAAAAAGGGTCTTAAGGGTCTTTACCAAATCTGATGAGACAGGTAAAATGAAAGATTTCAGGCAAATGTCGATCACTTACAGACATCTGTAGGTATTTCAGACCAACATCACTCATCGGTTCAGTCGGCCAACCAACAATGGCTTCACTATCAAAACTATATAAATGAAAAAACAAACAAAAATTCCAAGACCTGGATAAATAAGCTGGCAGAATCTCTTCTCCAGTCTTCTTGCTACAAAAAATCCTACACAGTGTCCCACAAGCCTCAGCTCTTCCTGCTTCATAGTTATCAGGAAATTCACTTGCATCAAACATAGGATTGGAAACCATGGTGTCTGTGGACATTTGTGACCCTTTCCGTCGAAACTCCATGCTAGCTTGTGTTGTAATGGCTGGGGAGAGAAAAGGAGGGTTTTATTATATTTGCAATATGCCACGTAGGCTCATGGGACCCTGGACACAAAGATCAAATATTGGTGTCATTAAATAGCTACTTGAATCCAATAAGTGCTTTTGTTTAGCAACTATGTCTTAATATTTTTAAAAAGGGCTCTCTGAAATCTTCTTTGAAAATAGGTTACAATTAATTTACAGTGGCATTGTCAGTTTAACAGATGGTACAAGAAGCATTTTTCAACTGAATTTTTGATCAGCAGAGTACATTTGTATATATCTGTATCCACATACAGATATATAATACAGAATTTGGCTTTTCTATTATTTCTTTTCTGTTTTTTCTTCCCCCTACAGAATGATGCTTAAACGTTAAGAAAAATAGCTACTGCAATTTACACATTACCCCAGATGGACATCCTAATTAAATGGGCAACCCTATGCCAGTCTGTATACTTTAGGGAGAGGGCAAAGTAAGGATGAGAAGTGGGCAGGGAGAAAAAGAGAGCATTCCCACCACCCACCCAACTCCAAAACACACACCAAAGAATCGCTCAACCAAGCAAAATGAGAATGAATTTTAACAACCACAGACAGCAGCTAACTTGAGGCTGATAAATCAGAAAATTGGATTGATAAAAAAGATTATCATGGTCATTTGTTATCACTGAAACAGAAGCCCTTTGAAAGTTGCTTTTATTTTTAACAAAAGATTTCACAGTGTATTGAAAATCACTCTGAAATCTTTTATTACTCTACATGAAATGCTTAAATTATTTTATAATAGATTTAATAGAATACAGAGTCAAGCATAAATCTTTATGCAACTTCCCATGAGCCATTTTTAGTCCTAAATAAGCTATCCAGCAATAATACATTTGAAAAACACTACATGCAGAATGCATACAAATCAAACACTAAATCTGTATAAAAATAAGCTTAAAGCTTTAAAAAAAAAAAAAAAAAAAAAAGCCAAAACACAGTTAGTGCAAAGTCCTGGAATTCATGACATGACCAGACTAGTATACAGAAATAATGGGACTGATTCAGGCAGATTAATTTGCTCTTGCCAACAATCTTCCCCATTCAAAACACAGAAAAGTATTTTTCTTCCCAAGTGCAAAAACTACAAGAGACAATGACAATCAAATTTTTAATGGAATTATGAAAAAAATAAAAACATGACTGCAATTAAGGAGAAGCTTCTGGTTCCTACTTACAAGATTTATAAGAAAGAAGAATTTGGATAAAAGATGCTGCAAGATAATAGAAATAAATGGAAACAAATCAAAGGACAGTAGTAATTATAAAATACTTTAAAGATGGTGAAATTTTACAATAAATTAAGAAGCTTTTTAGCTTTTTAAAAGTTAAATTAAAAGCTTTACGATACCACAAGCTAGTTCAAAAACATAGGAAATTGTGCATTCAGGTCCAAAATTATGATTTTTGTATCATGCAAAACAATGAACGAAGAAAATTACACAACTACAAAGAACTGAGGTTTTGAAGTGCCCATAACGTGCATTAAAATTTTAGTTCATTAACCCTTCCCAGCTCAATGTTACTTTTACAAAGCACAGTGTACTGTCATGTAAATCAAAAGCTAACCAGTTCAAAGAAGCAAACACTTTAAGTTAGAGGTGAACTGCATGGCAGAATTCCTTGATGGCAGCCAGTACTTAAAAAACAGTTAATATACCCATGCCTCCCACCAGACTTGAGACCTCAAGATTGGCACCTAGCATTCTAACCCCTTTAACTATTTGGACACCTCATATCTCCTGGGTAATGTAACAGCCTTTATCATCTCTGAACACAATGAGGAGAAAAGGAGCTTCTATCCTCTCCCCAGCAAGGAAAAATTTTAAAGTAAGATGTTGTTCACGTATGATTTGAAGTCTGGTTTTTATCTTCTGGTGCAAGAGGGTGAGCAAAGCTGTTACAAACTCCCTGGAGAGCAAAAAGATCTATAAGTTCCCTTTAAGCAAGCCCACCAACCAAGCAACAGGTTGAGCCATTCTAGATTCACAGATTTCAGTGTCAACAGCTCTATACCCAAAAGTTACATTGTAAGAATTACATCTTAACAAAAAGAAAAAAGAAAAATAGGACTGATTCATTCTAGAAAATGCAAATTAATAAATATAAACATGGTACAGAAAACTCAAAATACAAGGTACATGAACATAAAGACAAGAATAACCCAATAGTCATTTTTTTAAAGTTTTCACTTATTGTAAGTAAGCACATTTACCTATCCCAGAAGCACTACTTTCAAATTGTGGATAAAATTATAATATGAAAATGGAAGAATATAAAGTGTCTGAATTTGAACAAAATAAAGCAAGCAAAGACATCCCTAAACTCAACCATGGCATTCTCAAATTATATTCCCAAAAATCTTTATATTCACAACTTTTCTAAATTAAAGATTTGTAAGAATATTCAAAATAATTACGAGTATAATGTTCACAGACATAGATCCTAGTTCTGAGATGATAATAATAATAGCTAAGAATTATAGTAACAGCTAAGAATTCATTTCTGAGAGAAAGCAGAGACCCTTCTGGTCATTGTATTAGTTTTATCCTTGGAACTGACAGTCTCCCTAGAGATACATAAACTAATTAGACATCTTTTTGTCTTGATCTATTTCCAACCCCAGTAGAAGAGTGGTTTCTTACCAAACAATCAATACACTCATTAATGCATATATCACAGTACCTGGCCAATAGTAACAGCAGCTCAATAAATGCCAGCCATTGTCATTTTTCAGCTCTCTAAGACATATTATAAATATTCAAAACATTGTGCCCTACCCCACCCATCCATCCTGCACCCTATGCCATTACTTTCAAATATAATAGTTAAGATGACAAAAAAAACCACCAGCTCTTAGACAGTTTCCTTTTTATAATAAAATCTAAATGAAGATATCAGGGTTGAGTTATTAATTCTCCACCAATCAATTTTATTAAGTTAAAAAGCAAATAATATTTTTGAAAGTGTGCCCTTGAAATAAAGTTCTCTAGACTAAAATTTGAGAGGTCAGAGTGTAGTGTGAAGCAAAAATTTTCTGATGTTTACATATACTAATGAGTGAATGGCTGTCAAAATCGAAAACACTTCTTGTAAATTTCCAGTTCGAATTTTTAATTCTTTATATAAATTTTATTATCCTGGCTGACATGAAGGGAACTTCCAGGTCACCTACTGAAAGAAATCTGATTCAACAAAATGTGACTAACCTTAAGTATGTCTAATAAAACCAGACAAAAGGCCAAACCTCATAGAACATACATAAAAAGAACAGGGAGGAAAACTTCTTAAGTTCTGTTACTTCAGCTGGAAGGGGTTAAGCACAAGACATTGCTTGGTCAGAAACAGAGAGCTTTTTAAGATACATATTAATCTTGCAGGTAGGAAAGACTAAAAAGAAAAAGAAAAAGGAAAAGGAAAATAATGATAACATATTTCTTGAGTAATATTTACCAGTCATGCTGCTGTCTCTGTTTATCCCATTATGAAGTTTACAGTGAACAAATGCTGCATCAAATAACCATGATCCAAAGAGATTCAAGATGCTGTTAACCTTTGGTCTCCGAGGGGCAGGCAGTGGCCGGGGTTCTGAACTAGTCTGATTTGGACTTGACAGAGGAGAGGTGGAGGACGTCTGGTGCTGAACTTTAGAGGCATGAGCAGTACTAACCTATTAGACGAACACAAGAATACACCCATACCAATGAAAAGTCTGAGAAAATAGCAAGACTTTATAAAAAGAATGGCAGATTAAAAAGCCAACCTTATATAGCATAACAATGGTGATGTAAACTCTTACTGTGCTTGTCTTCATGGTGGCCTTATTCACAGTAACAGCCCGGTGCCTCCGGTTATGTGGGGGGGTGGTACTGACAGCAGCACTTTGAGGCATACTTAATCTATTCACGGGTGTTGGGGGAGCACTGTCTGATCGGGGTCTAGAAATACCTTAAAAAAAAAAAAAAGACAAATGAAATTATTCTTCATAGGTCAAAATATATGATCAGAAAATTTCTCCCAGTAACCTAGTGAAGGCTTGGGACACATAGACTATAGCAGAGATTGCTAGTTGCCTCTCAGTATCTACTCACTATTTCTTCCTGAGTAACAGAACACAAACTTTAGATGGACATGGCTACCCAGAAAAAAAATGACTCAATTTTCAAACTCCCTTTGCACCTAGATGTGGCCATATTTTGACCATAAAGAAGTTGGTGACTGTTGGGTAGGTCTTCTAAGAGATCTTCTTAAAGGACCAATTATATGCAGACTCTCCTTCCTTCCTAATTCCTGGACAGGATGTTTGGAACTCACTCAACCATCATGGCCCATGAGGCACTGTGCAAAGAATGGAGAGCCACCAGATGGAAGGGCCTTGGATCCCTGCTGGTGATGGAACCATTACACTGCCTAGCCCTAGATTTAACATATGTGAAAATAAGCTATCTTGTTTACAATAGGATTTTTGGTTGTTACGTGGCAGCCAAACTTAATCAGAGCTAACATATTAACTGTACATTAATAAGTATACATAAATATTTTAGAAAATATTATAAATCACTGCCTTTCAACAGGTTAAAAAATTGACTTTTCATATATCTAAAATGTGAAAAACAGCTTAAAAGAATGGCTCACTAAAGGTATAATTTGCTTTTTAATGATATACATGAGAATGGTCCCAAATGCATTTTCATCTGTATTTTCCTGGATAGCTAGTATGCATGAACACTCTTTTCTTTTGCAATCATTTACTCTTATCCTTTGTCCATTTATCTACTAGGCCTAATTCTTGTTCTTAGCACTTTGTTTGATGTATTAGGTGGGTGCAAAAGTAACTGCAGTTTTGGCCGCATTACTTTTAATGGCAAAAACCGCAATTACTTTTGCACCAATCTAAATATTTACATAGAAACGATAACCCTCTGGCTATTTTATTTGTTGCAAATAATTTTTCCTCGCTTGTTATTTGTCATCAAATCTGTTCATCTTTTCCTTCGGATGTTTTCTAATAACTCCTAGGGTTAGCCTCTAGAGTTATCTAAATGAAGCTCTTCATACATCTAGCAACATACACAAAATTCACCTAAGAATGCATCCACCAGACAGCTGATTCCACGCATGGCACGAAAAAATATTTGAGGCAGATGTTTAAGGCAGGGATACTGATTCAATTCTTGCGGCATTCCGCTCACATTCAAGAACTGTTCCTGAAATTTGGGAGTAGAGCTTATAATAGCTGGGTTACTCAAATCCACAGGATTACTATTAAAAGAGAGGAAAGAATTAATCACAAATTTAGAAATTTCTATAGCAATAAAATACACGTAATCTAATTTAAGAATAGGACTGTGCCTATTTCTCTGATTCAGAAAAGAGACTGATTTGTATTTAATGGGCCAGCGATTCAAATCTCAACACTTCTTTACAGAAGATCTGCAGTGTGGTTACATGAACATTGCCTACTCCAAGCATGAGAATCAAAGTAAGACTAGAAAAAATTTTAATTTTGAGAGTATACATAGATGCTTTTTCTAATATGTTAAGAATTAAGCAATAGATGGACATGGTGGCACGTGCCTATGGTCCCAACTACTTGGAAGGCTGAGGCAGATCACTTGAGCCAAGGAGTTCAAGGCCGAGGCTGCAGTGAGCTATGATCATGCCAATGCATTCCAGCCTGAGCAACAGAGCAACATGCCATCTCAGGAAAAAAAGAAAAAAAGAAAAAAAGAAAAAGCAATGGAATGGTAAAGCTATAAATATGTCAACAAAAGCTCCAAGGAGAAAATTTTACTTTAATATTAACATTTTCAATTAAAAAAAAACAACTATATTTGAAAATCAGGATTAGTGTTAATAGTTTTATGTTGTGTTCATGTGTATGTACTAAAGCCATAAATTTCAAAACGGTGTATTTGTGTTTGAATTACATTTTATGTACAAACAGTTTGAAATATTTCCATTAAAAAACAGATTATGATTTTTCACTCAAATGGTCTGCTTAGCATTCCATTAAAAAGCCTCTCCAATTCAAAGTAATACTGATAATCTAAAGCCGGTAAACAGAATTTCCACTAGCTACAAGGCAAAAGAACTAGGCTGAGAAATAGGAATCAGTGATCTATACATGCTCTGCCTTTCAAAACCTCTTTTTCCACCCACCAAAAGACTTAATTTCAAGTAACTGTAATTGCGGAAAGGAGAACGTGTGTGCATGTAAGAAAAATGGGCTTCCAGTGGTAGCACACTGTTTCCATAGAACTGGACTAGTCCACCAAGTAAGACAGAGGAAGGGAGATTCGTCTCCAGCAGCAGTGCCTGCTGGGGGCTGTAGTTCAACTATTCAGAAATTAGAAGAACAAGGAGTAAAGCTGAAATGGAACTACACCTAAGTCCCACAGAGCTTGGCTAAATTCATGTCTACTGTAAATCAAAAACTGGAGAGAGAAAGATTCATACCAGCTTCTCCAGAGGTAAACCAGGAATGATTTTATTGGCTCCCAAATATTTAGAGAACAGACTCAAGAAAGTAAGTAAAACTTGAAATAAGAATGGGTAACAAAGGATATGAAAAACTAAAAGCAACTGCATTCCTGCAGTTCCCAATGCCCCGTGTACCTGACACATTTGGGGAACCTGTTAAAAAATCCAGATTAGACCTAAATTTACTGAAACAATCTCCAGATGGGGCCTAAAGGGCAGGTGGGCATACACAAGTCCAAAGACAAGCATTTGACAACAGTATGGAAACAAAAATGAAAAATATTTTTTGGTTTTCCTGGAAAAAGATAAATCACTAACACACAAGACAAAATGTTGATGCCTATCTCCCCATCATATTCAACCTTCATCCTAGGAAATCTGCCAACAATCACAAATAATCACAATCATAAAAAATCCTCATGACCTGCCTTCTACCCAGTCGCAGCTCATTTAAGAAAGGAGGTAAAACTGTCCTAAAGGAGGTATCCAGATGCCTGCCAGAGACCTAATTAACGAAGATAATTTGATCCAATTTTCCCTTTGGAGAAACTAAGCAAAGGGAAAGCCCCCGTGAACTGAAAGGACAAACACTGAAGTCAAACAGTATCACAGCTATTTACACCACTGGGCAGTTATCAAGAGACTGCATGTCCCCCTCTCAAAGGCAGGAGGAAAAAGGGACCCAGGAGCAAGCCTGCTGGAGAAAGAACAATGTGCATGCACAAGAGAATCAAAAAAGCAAAGAGAAACAAATGACAGAGTGGCTTGTCCCGAGGTTGCCTTCATCCCTCCCCAACATGAGAAAGGGTTGTTCGCTGCTTCATGGAGCCTAGTAAGACTGCTCTATCTTCACATAATCTCTTTTTCTCACCTGCATTTGCTTAAGTTGGCTCCTCTTTTTGCCATCCAAAATAACTCTGACTAAAGTACCACAGTCAGCTCAAGAAGAAAGACTATCTAAGTACTACCTCTAAAAAAGACTCGACTAGAGTTTTACTGTTCATTTATTTCAAACTCTTAAGGAACACAAAACTTTGACACAACAGACCATAAAAAAGGACAGAAAGTTTTCCTATCCAATTCATGAAAAGATAGAACTACAGACAATTCAGAAAAACATTAAAAGAAAAGCATTCCATAACCAAGCAAAACTTTTCTTTCAGGAATGATAGATGGTTCAACATTGGGAAATTAATTAATATTTCACATCAACAGATGAAAGAAGAAAAACCACTTAATTGCTTAAATGGATCCAAAAATATTATTCGAAACAATTCGGTACTATAGTTTATTTATATTTTAATTTAATTTTTTTTTTTTTTTTGAGACAGTCTTGCTCTGTTGCCCAGGCTAGAGTACAGTGGTATGATCTTGGCTCACTGCAACTCTGCCTCCCGGGTTCAAGCAATCCCTGTGCTTCAGCCTCCTGAGTAGCTAGGATTACAGGTGCACCACTATACTCAGCTAATTTGTTTTTTGCTTCCCCCCCACCCCCCACCGCCGCCGCTCTGTCGCCCGGGCTGGAGTGCAACCTCTGCTTCCCGGTTCAAGCGATTCTCCTGCCTCAGCCTCCCAAGTAGCTGGGATTACAGGCATGTGCCACCACACCCAGCTAATTTTTGTATTTTTAGTAGAGACAGGGTTTCACCATGTTGGCCAGGCTGGTCTCGAACTCCTGACTTCAAGGGATCCGCCCACCTTGGCCTCCCAAAGTGTTGGGATTACAGGCGTGAGCCACCACGCCCAGCCCATTTTTTGTATTTTTAGTAGAGACAGGGTTTCACCATGTTGCCCAGGCTGGTCTCGAACTCCTAAGCTTGGGTGATCTACCCGCGTTGGCCTCCAAAAGTGCTATTATTATAGGCGTGAGCCACCGTGCCTGGCCTATATTTTTAAAAATTTTTAATTGCTGGCCGGGCGTGGTGGCTCAAGCCTGTAATCCTAGCACTTTGAGAGGCCGAGGCAGGCGGATCATGAGGTCAAGAGATCAAGACCATCCTGGCTAACATGGTGAAACCCCGTCTCTACTAAAAAATACAAAAAATTAGTCAGGCATGGTGGTGGGCGCCTGTAGTCCCAGCTACTCAGGAGGCTGAGGCAGAAGAATGGCGTGAACCCAGGAGGCGGAACTTGCAGTGAGCAGAGATTGCGCCACTGCACTCCAGCCTGGGTGACAGAGCGAGACTCCATCTCAAAAAATAAATAAATAAAAATAAATAAAATTTTTAACTGCTTAGGAAACCAGGAGCATAAAAAAGAACATCTAATATCAACAACCAACATCCTACTCAAAATTCCATATATCAGAGGCATTCCGATGAAAATCAGACCAAAAAAGGTGCCAAAACAGTATCACTTTAATTCAACAGTGTTCTACTTCTGATGGATGCAGTAAAATAATATACAGAAATAACTGTAATAATAGCAACTTTCAAGCACCTACCATGCACTAGGCATCATGCCGTTTTACATGCTTTTTCTTCTTCAATACTTATAACGAGATGGTACTATCATTATTCCCATTATGTAGATTAAAAAGAAACTGAGGCACAGAGAGAATAAATTGCTCAAGTTCACAAAGAAAAAACTAGCAGAATTTAAGTCAGGTCCAAGTCTTACTGCATCCGAAGTACTTTTAATTAGTCACCAAAACAAGTATGAATTATTAGAAAAGAGACACTTCTTATTTGCAGATATGTGCCCATATCTCAGAAGAATCAGTGAAATATTCAGAGCTCTTTTAAATGCTATATATAATATGCAAAATAACATGCAGTAAAAAATGTTCTTTACAGCAGTAATAACCATCTAGAAGACAGAATAGCAGAAAAGAGTTAGCTTTTCAAAACATCAGCAACAAATACCTAGAAATAATGGTAAAGAAAATATTAAAAATCTTTGTGAAGAAAACTGTAAAACATTTCAAGAAGATACGCAAAATTCTAAAAAAAGAAAAAGACATGCTCTTAGAAAGGCAGACTCGCCAGCTGCCCCGTCCGGGAGGTGGGGGGCAGCCCCCGCCCGGCCGCCGCCCTGTCTGGGAGGTGGGGGGCGCCTCTGCCCGGCCGCCCCGTCTGGGAAGTGAGCAGCCCCTCTGCCCGGCCGCCACCCCGTCTAGGAGGTGTACCCAACAGCTCATTGAGAACGGGCCATGATGATGATGGCGGTTTTGTCGAATAGAAAAGCGGGAAATGTGGGGAAAAGAAAGAGAGATCAGATGTTACTGTGTCTGTGTAGAAAGAAGTAGACATAGGAGACTCCATTTTGTTCTGTACTAAGAAAAATTCTTCTGCCTTGGGATGCTGTTAATTTATAACCTTACCCCCAACCCCGTGCTCTCTAAAACATGTGCTGTGTCAACTCAGGGTTAAATGGATTAATGGCGGTGCAAGATGTGCTTTGTTAAACAGATGCTTGAAGGCAGCATACCCGTTAAGAGTCATCACCACTCCCTAATCTCAAGTACCCAGGGACACAAACACTGCGGAAGGCGGCAGGGCCCTCTGCCTAGGAAAACCAGAGACCTTTGTTCACATGTTTATCTGCTGACCTTCCCTCCACTATTGTCCTATGACCCTGCCAAATCCCCCTCTCCGAGAAACACCCAAGAATGATCAATAAATACTAAAAAAATTAAAAAAAAAAAAAAGAAAGGCAGACTCAATATCAGATATCAGCGTTTCCTAAATATAAATACAAGCTTAATACAATTCTCATCTTCGGCAGAGTCTGGCTAGCTGTTCACCACTTTCTCTTTTCTTCTCTGTTCTCTTGCAATTAAGTGTGGTGTGTGTCTGAGTTGTGGCTAATGGAATATGAGTAACAGTGATTTATATTACTTCAAGGCCTGACACATAAAACCCTCCCACAAAATTTTCCTTGCTCTCTGTTCCCCATCTGCTAGCCAGATACGAGAATCCTGCTTATAACACTGAGGCCCTAATGGAGTCATCTGTTGAAGATGAAAGAGCCTCTGCCAGCTGGGTCTCTGAACGACTATGTGAGCAGAGCCAGTCCTGACTCCAGACTTTATAAAAGATTTTCTTTTTTTTTTTTTTTTTGAGACGGAGTCTCGCTCTGTCGCCCAGGCTGGAGTGCAGTGGCGCAATCTCGGCTCACTGCAAGCTCCGCCTCCCGGGTTCACCCCATTCTCCTGCCTCAGCCTCCCAAGTAGCTGGGACTACAGGCGCCCGCCACTACGCCCGGCTAATTTTTTGTATTTTTAGTAGAGACGGGGTTTCACCGTTTTAGCCGGGATGGTCTCGATCTCCTGACCTCGTGATCCGCCCGCCTCGGCCTCCCAAAGTGCTGGGATTACAGGCGTGAGCCACCGCGCCCGGCCCTATAAAAGATTTTCAAGTTCATTTGCTAAAGCAGCACATATTCCTTACCCTAAATAATACACAATCCAAACCCCAGAAGGTTTCGTTGAGGTTTTTCCTTCTGTTTGCTTATGTTTTGTAACTTGAAAAATTGGTTCTAAAATTGATCTGAAATGTTAAACAGGCAAGAAGAGATAAATATTCTAAGAGAAGGAAAAAGAGAAAAAGACATTAGACCTACTAAATATCAGTAAATATTATAAAGTTAAAATAAGAGTGTGAATCTGATATAAAAACAAATGAATTTAATGCAGTAATATGTGAACTAAAGACAAATTCCAGGCTGGGTGCGGTGGCTCGATGCTTGTAACCCTAGCACTTTGGGAGGCTGAAGTGGGTGGATTGCTTAAGTCCAGGAGTTTGAGACCGCCTGGGCAACGTAGGAAGACCCCATCTCTGCAAATTACATGCATGCGTGTGTCTGTGTGTGTGTGTGTGTGTGTGTGTGTGTGTGTGTATGTGCGTGTGTGTGTTTATATACATATAAAGACAGATCCTGAGGTATATAAAAGAACTTACTATTACAAAGGAAACAACATTGGAAGAAATCATAGGTGACTATCTGATCAAAGAACACAAAGGAAATAGAAAATGATCACAGAAAGACATTTAAAAACTAAGATCACTGACAGCTGAAAAACACAAACTGTAACTACAAAATGGGAAGAAATGATAAAAAAAGATTAACATACCTAACTTATAAAAAGGTCATAAAGAGTAATTCAGAATCACTGATACACAAAATAGAAAAATTAGGCTAGTTAAACCAGAAAGAGAAGATATGCAAGGAAAAAATTTAAGAATCAGTTTACAACAGAATAAATGTTCTACAGAGCACACAGATGGGGCTGGAAGAGGGACAAGTAAAAAGTGATGAAGCTGAACTGAAGAGAATTACTATATAAAAGACAGGGACAGCAGGAAGTAGCAGTATACCCCTCTGTGAAATTTTAGGGTGTATCTCCCATTGAAACTTTAAACAGGCTATTGGAGGAGGGCTCTGAGAGGCAGACTGACCAGTCAGTGCTGGGCACAGAGAGGAGCAAGGCAACCTCCAGTCCCCACAGAATGTGACAAAATCCCAAGAGAAAGATCATCAGCCTGGCTGCAGTAACAGGCAAGAGAACAAGTGCGGCATCTACCACAGGGAACGCGTTCCTAGAGCGTGTAAACCAAGAGCGGCTGAGGACAGCCTAACCCTGCTGGGACGGGGAGAGCAGGAGGCACAGGACAGAAATGTGCTTGTTGTCCAGCTGGATTCCATTTGATGAATGGGGCTTAGTGTCCACCTTCTGAATTCAAACAAGAGACTTACAGCATGATTCCTGCCCTAAGATACTTACTAGGTAAATGGCACATGAAATAATAAAATAACAATACCTTAACATGTGTAAAAAGCGAAACCATGTCTGTGCAACACACTCATTATCCATTTCTGGAGGGATCAGACTGGCATCTTCATCGGGAACTTTAAATGCAGGAAATGAAGGACCATATGTAAAGCGTAGCAATCTAGAAAATAAATGCACACCACTGAGTCCATTTCTTAACAGATTGAAAAATACACTCAAGCATAGAAAGAAGACAGAGAAAATGGATGAAACATGTGTACCTCACATACGTGAACAAGACATATGGAAACCCTCATTTATAAAACAGACAAACTGAAAGAGGATTTCTAGTTTTTTTATGTTTGGGATGATGGATATGCTAATTACTCTGATCAATCACTACACATTTTTTATATATATATCAAAACATCATTATGTACTCCACAAATATGTACAACTATTATGCGTTCATTAAAAAGAAGTTTTACATTGAAAACAAATTGGAGACTTTCAAGATGATTTCTAATGGAAAGAAGCTGGGAAGAAGAGTATATGCTGTTGTATATATTTTATATGTAATACACGTGTTGTTATCAGCATCTTCTTTACAAGATACATGAGTTTTTGGGTAAAATAAACAAGTATACCAAAAAAAGAGTGTTTTAAATTATTTAAGATACTTAAATAATTTAAAATAATTAGTATTAAAATACTGTTACTTCCTGCTGTCCCTATCTTTTATATAGTAATTCTCTTCAGTTCAGCTTCATCACTTTTTACTTGTCCCTCTTCCAGGCCCATCCATGTGCTCTGTGGGACATTTATTCTGTTGTAAACTGATTCTTAAAGTTTTTCCTTGCATCTCTTCTCTTTCTGGTTTGACTAGCCTAATTTTTCTACTTGTGTATCAGTGATTCTGAATTATTCTTTATGACCTTTTTATAGGTTAGGTATGTTAATCATTTTTTATCATTTCTTCCCATTTTGTAGTTATAGTTTGTGTTTTTCAGCTGTCAGTGATCTTAGTTTTTAAATGTCTTTCTGTGACATTTATATGTTTATATGTAATATGTTTGACATATACACATTGCATATTACTTATAAATTATAGCTATTTATATATGTAATTATACTTATATAATTATATAATCATACAATATGTAAATTTTTTAAAAGATTCATCTCACTGCAAATTTCTGCCATATAACTAAGTTATAATAGTTTTACATGAAGTTTAGAATTTATGACATACCATAAAAATAACTCAACAACTTAATTACTTAATATTCTAAATGTATTAAAACTATTCAAAGCCCTTTAACTCAATTATTCTCTACCTAGAGATAATATTCTCACATATAAAGACTATGTATAAAGCATTCATATCACCAATATTTTTAAAATAAAACAATGGGAACAACATAAATATCAAAACAGCAGGGGAAGATGGGAGGATTGCTTGAGGTCAGGAGTTCGAGGCTACAATGAGCCATGACTGCGCCACTGCACTCCACCCTGGGCAACAGAGCAAGACCATATCTCAAAAAAAAAAGAAAAACAAAAACAAAAAAACAACGCTGGCATAGTGGCTCACGCCTGCACTCCAATCCCAGCACTCTGGGAGGCCAAGTCTAGTGGATCACTTGAGTCCAGGAGCTTGAGTCCTGCCTGCCTGGGCGATATGCAAAACCTCATCTTTACAAAAAATACAAAAATTAGCTGGGCGTGGTGGCATGAACCTGTAGCTCCCAGCTGCCATGGGAGGCTGAGGTGAGAGGATTGTTTGAGCCTGGGGAGGTTGAGGCTGCTATGAGTCCTGATCATACCACTGTACTCCAGCCTGGGCAACAAAGCAAGACCCTGCCTCAAAAAAACAAAAATAACAACAACAATAACAAGGAAATTATTAAATGAATTATAATTCCAATTATATAATGGAAAACTACAAAACCATTAAAAATATGATCTCAACAGCTATTTAATGAGAAAAAGTTTGTGTAACTAAAGTGACAAGAATCAGACATCAAATGAAAAAAGTAGATAATATTATATAGAATAATTTCAAACTGGCATTTTTAAAAAGGGAACTAAATGGAAAAAATACATTAAAATGTTAACATGGGTTGGCTCTGAATGATAGGTATCTGTCCCTACATTTTCCAAATTTTCTATTATAAGCATGTACTGTGATTATAATCAAGATAAAAGCATTACTTAAAAACAGATTCATAATTTTTTTAAAGCAATCATCCTGCCTCAGCCTCCCAAAGTGCTGGGATTACAGGTGTGAGCCACCGCTCATGGCTAGATTCATAATATTCATGTTCTCTGTGATATACTAGAATTAACAAAATATTCCAAAGCTTCATTTTTTAGTTTAAATAATAATAAAGATCTAAACATTAACTCAGAAAAAGAGAAGTCTACCTTCTGATACATAACACTACCTATAAAGTTTTTGTTCCTGTCACCCCCTCTCTTTGCCCCCTATCAAACCTGAATGAGATCAAGTCTCTAGATCTAACTACCAGTTTATAGGAAATACAGCGGGGCAGAGGAATATAGTAATTAACAATGTGGACAAATCCAAAATGTGAAACACTCTGTAAGACAACCCAGTTTCTTCAACAAAAAAATTGCAAAGAAAAATAAAGCAGAAACCTAGGCCAGGCGTGGTCACTCAGGCCTGTAATACCAGAACTTTGGGAGGCCAAGGCAGGAGGACTGCTCGAGCCCAGGAGTTCAAGGCCAGCCTGGACAACATGGAGGAACCCCATCTTGACCAAAAATATAAAAATTAGCCAAGCATGGTGGTGCACGCCTGCAGTTCCAGCTACTCAGGTGGCTGAGGCAGGAGGATCACTTGAGCCTAAGAGATTAAGGCTGCAGTAAGCTGTGATTGCACCACTGCATTCCAGCCTGGGTGACAGAGTAAGAAACCCTGTCAAAAAAAAAAAGGAAAGAAAAAAGCAGGAACCTATACAGTTGTCCTTCAGAATTATAGGGGATTGACGCAGAACACCCCTCAGATGCCAAAATCCACGGATGCTCAAGCCCCCTTACATAAAATAATTTAGTATTTGCATATAACCTACACACATCTTCCTATATACTTTAAATCGTCTCAAGATTACTTATAATACCTAATACAATGCATACACATCCCTTCATTTGCACAGATTCGATGCAGTACTCAGGCAGTAGAAGGCAAATTCAATTTTTACTCTTTGGAATTTTGTGAAATTTTTTGCCAAATATTTTTGATCTCTGACTGGCTGTGTCCATGGATACAGAACCCACAGAGGGTCAATTGTACCTGGAAATTTGAACACTGACTAGCTAACCGGTATTAAAGAATTGTCAACTTTTTTGGGTGTGATAAGGGTATTATATTTTTTAAAGAACCCTTATCTATATCTAGAGTTATACGGGTATAACTTCGAGATCTTGCAGGTTCAGTTTCACACTACCCTAATAAAACAAACATTGCAAAAAGCAAGGCATGCACGTTTTTTTGGTTTCTCAATGCATATAAAAGTTATGTTTGGACTATACTGTAGTCGATTAAGTATGCAATAGGATTATATGTTTAAAAATCAATGCACATCCTTAATTTAAAAATATTAATATTTTACTGCTGAAAGATGCTAATAATTTATCTGTGCCTTCACCAAGTCATAATCCTTTCCCTTTTTAAAATTTTCCAACTTTAATTTTAGATTCAGGAGGTACATGTGCAGGTTATCTGGGTATACTGCATGATGCTGAGGCTTGGGGTACAAATGATCCCATCATCTGGACTTTTCAACACTGCTCCTCTTCCCCCACCAGCAGTCCTCAGTTTCTAATGTTGTCATCTTTATGTCCATGAGTTTTATGTCCAATGTTTAGCACCCACTTATAAGTAAGAACATGTGATACTTGGTTTTCTGTTCCTGTGTTAATTCACTTAGGATAATGGCTTCAAGCTGCATCCATGTTGCTACAAAGGACACAATTAATTCTTTTTCATGGCTGCATAGTATTCCATGGTGCATATGTGCCACATTTTCTTTACCCAGTCTACCACCGACGGGCATCTAGGCTGATTCCATGTCTTTGCTATTGTGAATCGTGCTGCAATATATAAAAGTGCATGTGTCTTTTCGGTAGAACAATTTGTTTTCTTTTGGATATATACCCAGCAATGGGATAGCTGGGTTGAATGGTAGTCGTATTTTAAGTTCTTTGAGAAATCTCCCAACTGCTTTCCACAGTAGCTGGAACTAATTTACATTCCCACCAGCAGAGTATAAGCATTCCCTTTTCCCTGCAGTCTTGCCAGCATCTACTGTTTTTTTGACTTTTTAATAATACCCATTCTGCCTGGTGTGAGATGGTATCTCATTGTGGTTTTGATTTGCATTTGTTTGATGATTAGTAATGTGGAGCATTTTTTCATATGTTTCTTGGCCACTTATATGTCTTCTTTTGATAAGTGTCTGTTCATGTCTTTTGCCTGTTTTTTAACGGGGTTGTTTTTTGCTTGTTCAATTGCTTTAAGTTCCTTATAGATTCTGGATATTAGATCTCTGTCAGATGTATAATTTGTGAATATTTTCTCCCATTCTGTAGGTTTTCCATTTACTCTGTTGATAGTTTCTTTTACTGTGCAAACTCTTTAGTTTAATTAGGTACCACTTGTCGATTGTTTTTGTTGCAATTACTTTTGAGGACTGAGTCATAAATTCCTTCCCAAGGCAAATGTCCATAATAGTGTTTCCTAGGTTTTCTTCTAGTATTCTTATAGCTTGAGGTATTACATTTAAATCTTTAATCCATCTTGAGTTAATTTTTGTATATGGTGAAAGGTAGGAGTCTAGTTTCATTCTTCTGCATATGGTTAGCCAGTTATCCCTGCACTATTTATTGAATAGAGAGTCCTTTCCCCATTGCTTGTTTTTATTGACTCTGTCAAAAATCAGATGGCTGTAGTTATGCAGCTTTACTTCTGGGTTCTCTATTCTGTTCCATTAGTTTATATATCTGTTTTTGTACCAGTACCATGCTGTTTTGGTGACTGTAGCCCTCTAGTATAGTTTCAAGGTGGGTAATGTGAAGCCTCCAGCTTTGTTCTTTTTGCTTAGGATTTGCTTTGGCTATTAGAGCTCTTTTTTGGTTGCAATATGAATTTTAGAATAGGTTTTTTCCTAGTTATGTGAAAAAATGGCACTGGTAGTTTGACAGGAATAGTGTTGAATCTGTAGATTGCTATGGGCAGTATGGCCATTTTAATGATTTTGATTCTTCTAATCCATGAACATGGAATGTTTTTCCATTTGTTTGCGTCATCTAGAGTCATCTTTTCACTGGTGGAGGGTATTGCCTCATTGATGGCTGCAGACTGATCAGGAAGGTGACTGCTGAAGGTTGGGGTGGCTGTGGCAGTTTTTAAAAATAAGACAACAATGAGGTGTGCCACATGGACTGACTCTTCTTTTCACAAAAAATTTATCTGTGGCATGCAATGCCATTTCATAGCATTTTACCCATAGTAGAACTTCTTTCAAAATCGGAGTCAATCCTCTCAAACTCTGCCATTACTTTACCAATTAAGCTTATGTAATATTCTAAATACTTTGCTGTCATTTCAACAATGTTCATGGCATCTATACCAGGAGTAGATTCCACCTCAGGAAACTCTTTGCTCATCCATAAGACTCCTCACCATTAGTTTTATCATGACATTGCAGCAATTAGTCATCTCTTTGGGCTATACTTCTAATTTGTAGTTCTCTTGCTACTTCTCCACCTCATCTGCAGTGACTTCTTCCACTGAAGCTTTGAACCCCTCAGAGTCATTCATTAGGGTTGGAATCAACTTCTTCCAAACTCCTGTTAATGTTGATATGGTAGCTATAACCTTACAGAATGTACAGTTGACCCCTGAACAATAGGGACTAGAGGTGCTGGCCCCTCATACAGTTGAAAAATCTATGTATAATGTTTGACTCCCTCAAAACTTAACTACTAATAGCCTACTTCTAATCAGAAGCCTTACCAATAACAAATAACTAATACATATTTTGTATGTGTATTATATATGGTATTCTTACAATAAAGAAAGCTAAATAAAATGTTATTAAGAAAATCATAAGGAAAATCAGATGCAGCAGCACACCCATAGTCCCAGACACTTGTAGGCTTGAAGCAGAAGATATTGTGTTGGTACAAAAGTAATTAAAATATGGCAAAAGCCGCAATTACTTTTGCACCAATCTAAACAGCTTGCGCCCAGGAGGTGTGAATAGCCATTATACTCTAGCCTGGGCAACACAGCAAGACCCCCTCTTTAAAAAAAATCATAAAAAAGGGCCAGGCGCAGTGGCTCATGCCTGTAATCCCAGCACTTTGGAAGGCAGAGGTGGGGCGGCTCACATGAGGCCTGGAGTTAGAGACCAGCTTGGCCAACATGGAGAATCCCTGACTCTACTAAAAATACTAAAAAATTAGCTGGGCATGGTGGCTCACGCCTGTAATCCCAGCTACTGGGGAGGCTGAGGCACGAGAATCACTTGAGCATGGGAGGCAGAGGCTGCAATGAGGCAGAGGTTGCAGTGAGCTGAGATCGCACCACTGCACTCCAGACTAGGTGAAAAAGTGAGACTGTCTCAAACAAAAAAAAATCATATAAAAGAGAAAACACATTTACATTTACAGCACTGTACTGTGTTTATTGATACCATAAGTTTATGTCATCTGTTTACAAAGTCAATTGTCTGCCTGAACTGGCAGGTGACCACAGCTGCAGACCTCAAACAACAGAACGTATCAAGCAATTCAACTTTTTCTTGTAATGTCATGAGTTTTCTCTGCTTCTTGGGAGCACTTCCAGCACCACTGGTGGCACTTCCTATGGGTCTCATGGTATTACTTATTCCAGGTTTACAGTATTGTAAATTAAATATGACGAAAAATAAATGAAAACTGAGACATCACTTTTTACTGAGATACACTATTTACTGAAGAGATTAACTGCTCAAGCAGAGATGATTAGTGTCACATGGAGTTTTCAGTGAATATTCACAACACCTGAGCTCATTGCAATAGCAACAGGAAGTGGCTACAAAATTATTACAGTAGTACAGTATGTACCAGAGTTAATTTTATGCAATTATGATTTAATACTGCAGCTTTTATGTTTGTTTACATTTCTTTACCTATTGTTTACATTACTGCAAATGGTATCATGTATATAGTCTATAAGCATTTGTATGCATAAGTTTTAATAAATTTTAATTTAGTATAATACATTTGTGTGTATTTTATGGTAGTAAATGATACAAGACTAGCATGTACATATATTTTATGCCTACGACATACCTAATTTTTTCTTAATTTTTTCAATATTTCTAGGATACACGGTTCATTTGCACATTTTTTCAAATTGTCTCAAATTTCAAAAAAAATTTTCCACTATTTTTAATTGAGAAAAATCTACATGTAAGTGGACCCACACAGTTCAAATACATGTTGTTCAATGGTCAGCTGTATTTCTTAAGATTTGAAAGTCACGCTGGGCACAGTGGCTCATGCCTGTAATCCAAGCACTTTGGGAGGCTGAGATGGGTGGATTGTTTTGAGACTAGGAGTTGGAGACCAGACTGGCCAACATGGTGAAACCCCCACCTCTACTAAAAATACAAAAACTAGCAGGACATGTTGGCACACCTCTGTAATCCCAGTTATTCGGGAGGCTAAGGCACAAGAATCACTTGAACCTGGGAGGTGTGTTCTACAGGCGCAAGCCACCACACCTGGCTATTTTTTGTAGAGATGGGCTTTTGCCAAGTTGCCCAGAGTGGTCTCAAACTCCTGAGCTCAACTAATCTGCCCACCTCGTACTCCCAAAGTGCTGGGATTACAGGTGTGAGCCACTGCACACAGCCAGAATAAATTTAACATCATTCTTAGTATATAGGCTGCCAAGGCAAGCGCAAATTTAACATTATTCTTAAGGGCCCTAGGATATTCCAAATGGTAAATGAGCACTGGCTTCAGCTTGCCAGGCACTGACTTCTCCTCTCTAGCTATAGAAGTCCTAGATGGTGTCTTCTTCCAATACAAGACTGTTTAATGCACACTGAAAATCTGTTGTTTAGTGAGGCCACCTTCGTCAATGATCTTAGCTAGATCATCTGGATCACTTGCTGCAGCTTCTCCATCACACTTGCTGCTTCAGCTTGCACTTTCACGTTATAGACATGGCTTCTTTCCTTAAACCTCATGAACCAACCTCGGCCTCTTCCTAAGCTTTCTTCTACAGCTTCCTCACCTCTCGCAGCCTTCATAGAACTGAAGACAGTTAGGCCTTGCTCTGGATCACGCTTTGGCTTAAGAAAATGTTGTGACTGGTTTGATCTCCTATCTAGCCCACTCAAACTTTCTCCATATCATAAATAAGCCTGTTTTGCTTTCTTATCATTCCTGTGTTCAGTGGTGTAGCATGTTTAATTTCCTTCAAGAACTTTACCTTTGCATTCACACCTTGGCTAACCATTTGGTGCAAGAGGCCTAGCTTTCAGCCTGTTTTGGCTTTCAACACACCTTCCTAATTAAACTTAATCATTTCTAGCTTTTGATTTAAAGTGAGAGACATCCAACTATTCCTTTCACTCGACCACTTTGAGGCCATTATAGAGTTACTAATTGGCCTAATTTCAGTATCATTGTGTCTCAAGAGTGGGAAAGAGACGGAAAACAGCTGGTCAGTGGAGCTGTCAGAACACAAACAACATTGATCAGTTAAGTTCACCATTTTATATAGGTGTAGTACGTGGCACTCTAAAACAATTACAATGGTAATATTAAAGATCACTGATCACAGGTCACCATAACAGTAAAAGTTTGAAATACGCAAGAATTACCAACATATGACAGAGGCACAAAGTGAGCATATGCTGTTGGAAAAATGGCACCCGACAGACTCGCTTGATGCAGGGTTGCCACAACCCTTCAATTTGGAAAAAAAAAAAAACATGGTATCCGTGAAGCTCAATACAGTCAAGTGCAATAAAACAAGGTATGCTTGCATATTAAAATCACGATTGAAATGAAAAAATAAGTCTGAAAAAAATGAACCTAAGAGTGTACTTATAAAACAGCGATGGTATTAAATATAAATGGCAAAAAGGTAAAATTATTATTATAAAAAAACTGCCTACTTTGGTTATAAAGTAGCATGTATAATATGGTCCCATTCCTGTAAAATTATATATAAATATACATGGTAGGATTTCAGGAGAACTTTTCTATTATATCTTTCTATGGTTTGTTTCTTTAAAATAATGATTAGGCATATTTTAATGATCATGCATATTTTAATGATCAAAATAAGAGTGGAATTTTTTTGTGGGGGAAGTAGGGTATAAAATTTATCTGTTTCTCAAGAATACTTGATTATTCTGAAATGTTTTAAACAGGCACTAGCCAAACTGTTATATCTATATTTAAAAAGTGGCTCAATTCTGTATCTAAAGTACAGTAATAACAGACCCAGCCTTTGTTATAATGTATTCCATGAATGCCAGAAAGCTGCCTAAGGTCAGACAGGTGAAGGAAGGCAGGGCAATGACAATAACCTACCTGGAAGTGAGTGCACAAATGACCTTGCTCCACTGCTCCACCACTGCTGGGTGATGCCTCCAGTTAGCCACCATCTCCTTGGCTGTTTTCCAATAAGGAGGTGTTGGGAAGCACCGAGTACAAGCTAGTAACCACACCTCAAAGAGAACACCAATCAACTTCTCTGCTAGATTCTCAGCAATGCCACCTTACCAACAAAAAGAAAACACATCTTTGGCAAACTTATTTTTAAAGCAGAATCTTTAAGACACTGATTTGGGAGAACTGGTCAAAAAATTAAAATAAGTGCAATATTAAGTTTTGACTTTCAAATAATCATTTAATAGTAAAAATGAGAAGCAATTCTTAGGAGTTCCTGTACCCAAAATCACAGACACATCAAAAAATTTTTACTTTGAAAGATTTCAAGTTGCCCTGTTCAGTTCTTATTGAAGGCCTTAATCCTCCAGCAAGGGGGACAGAGGGACACAGGGGAGAAGGAAAAGGATGACTGCCTATGATGACTGACTACTATGAGTCAGTTTCTATGCCAAATAGTTCATACAAATGACCTCATATAATCCTCACATTAATTCTGCAGGGTAGGTATCTGTAATACCTAATACCAACTGCTAATTATACCCATTTTGAAGATGAGAAAACTTAGATTCAGAAAGTTTAAGTAACTTCTCCGACTTCATGCAGCCAGTAAGTGAAGGAATCACAACAAACACCCATGTCTTTTTACCTCCAAACTTTGCCATACAATGCTCCAAGTATTTGAAAGCCACCCTTCAAGGGAGAGAGACAGAGAGACAAATAATGGAGCAAAAGGACTGGTGTTGGGAAGGACAGAGCCTTAACCATGAAAATGGGGCTGTTCCCCTGTTCTAAGCCCTGGAACCAGGTGGAAAAACAGCAGTGGTCTTTACACCGCATAGCTCCAGAAGGCAAAGTTGGGACTCACAGGAAAAGTTGTAAGAATGTGTGTTTCAAATGAGCAAAACCAAAGTTTCAACAACAAAGAGCCCAGGAGGGGGATGAATTGTCTGCCTCATGCTGTTGAGACCCCTGGCATGGGGAGTAAGTAGCAGAGAGGTGATGAATCAATGACTGTCCAGCTATTGTCAATACCAGACAGAGTATTACTATCATTGCATCCCTTCCCACACTGAAATTCCATGCTTCCTTTTAGATATTTCCCTGAATACTGCATCTGTGTGAGAACACAAGCACACTCACATGTGTTAGTCAACAGAGTACACCAATGAATAAGCAACAAGAGAACTTGGAACTAGATGATCAACTTATAGTTTATATACACTGTGCTATATACAAAGCAGGGATTCTGAAATACACTGTAAAGTCTTATAAAACTGGAGGCATTTAATGGCTAGCTAATGAATAGCAAACTGGCACACTTCCAAATAGAACAGTTAAAAGACTTTGGAGGTTTCATTTGCTGAGTAAAATATCTTGTCACTACCAAGTTTTCAGACTCTACTTTGATAACTACTTTGTAATATATTATCTATAGGCTCTAATTTAATTGGTTAATTGTTTCTTTTCTTTTTTTTTTTTTTTTGAGACAGAGTCTTGCTCTTGTCGCCCAGGCTGGAGAGCAGTGGCACGATCTTGGCTCACTACAACCTCCACCTCCCAGGTTCAAGCAATTCTCCTGCCTCAGCCTCCTGAGTAGCTGGAATTATAGGTGTGTGCCACCACGCCTGGCTAATTTTTCTACTTTTAGAAGAGATGGGGTTTCGCCATGTTGGCCAGGCTGGTCTTGAACTCCTGACCTCAGGTGATACACCTGCCTTGGCCTCCCAAAGTGCTGGAATTATAGCCACTACGCCTGGCCTATCCTATTAAACAAGCTACTGCTCCCATCACTATCAAACATGCATAATTCACTGAGTCCCTCCCTACATTAGCAAAATCATGACTGAAGGTAAAATAACTTCATCAGGGCTAAAGTTATATTGTGCCTGAGAGTTTCCATTCTAAGAACTGTTAACCTTTGTTTGTAAACCATCATGCCAAAATTTAAATCCCCAATGAGTCTACCGCTCACTGAGTTTAAAGATGAACTGTATTTGGAGCTCAGAAATAAATTAGAAAAAAAAAAATAAACAAACCTTGAACAGTTGGTGGGGCCAGAAGTATGTCGTTAATCTGCAGAAGAAACAACAGTAAGACTTCCCAAGTTTCTCGGGCCATGAGAGATGACTCACGGGCCAGTTTCTGAATGGCTCTCAGGACCTGTAAGCATAGTCGAATCTGACTGGAACCCTGTTCCTGTCTGAAGAAGACAGACAGATATCACTGACAAGCCTGGAGGAGAGACAGCAACAGCTTCAGGACAGGTGACTTATGGATGTAGCAAGCAGTGGTCCAATGAAGCTCCCTAATATTATCAGCAGAGAGGGCTAGGCATACCGTCTTCAGTTTAAAGCTACTTCTTACTCGTCGTAAAGTTAAGCACTCTGGAATCTAAACCTACCACTCCTATGAGAACTCGAAAGCTTCTGGGAGGAAGGCGGGAATACTAGAACATAAACTTCACTTCTGGATTTTCTATGTCTAACATGTGCCTAACACATAATAGCAGACACTCAATAGGTTTTTGTTGAATGAACAAGTAAATACCCACCGCCACCCTTGCTGCTCACATTGAAGCAGAATGGCCTTGGTATTCTTTTTTAATTTTTTTAAACACATATTTGCAAGAATTCTGCATGTGATTTTACAGTGCTCATAGTCCCTCTGAAGCTAAGGTCTGTTAGAGAAGGGCCTACAAGCCAGAAGGAATAGCCTAATAGGTCCCCAAAATTAATGAGGTATGCAGGCATTGCTTCAGAAATAAATACCTGCTACTGCTGCTCTAATTTTAGAAAAAGACACTTAGCCAAAGATGGAGGCTCCAAGTTTCCCAGGATACCCCGGAACAACAGTTTTAAAACTCACCGCAGGACCATTTTTTCCAAGGGAAATCTTATAAAGAAGAATGATCTATAAAACAGATCAAAGTATTTTGGCTAGGACTGAAGATGAAGATAGAGGTCCAGGTCCCAGCCCTTACCCTCACTTTCCAAAGTAGACCACTGAGAATTTTGAGAATAGTAGGAAACCCATTGTATTAGCAAGTGGTAAGCTGGCCTCCAGATCTCTTATGGGAAACCCAAGAGAAGTATCTAATATTACTGAAAAAAGTCTTGAGGCCAAGTTTCTACATATTGTCATTTGTCACAAAGAACTGATAGAAACATACCTGAATCAGACTGGGGAGTTTCCTCAAGAAATTCCAGAAAATGAAGTGAGTTCCCTTAGAACTGTCAACCCAACCTTAGAAGAGAGATTCTCAGATTCTGGGCTATGATGCAGAAAACGACACTTACCCTAGAGTTGCAAGCAAATGACACCACTAAGTTTTCCCTAAAGAAGTCAGACCTAAAGCAAAATGATGAGAAAATTGCCTAGGAAGAGCCAAGCACCTCCAGGAGCGGGGAGATGTTCCACATTCAGCTAAAGGTGGATCTAGTAAAGGTGGATCTAGTCCATGTAAAGCCCTAAGGCTCAAGCTTGTGTCTATTGCTCTGGCTTACTTGAAGAAGAATAAAAAACTATAGCATAGCCCCAAACCTAATCAAGTAATATAAGAGGAAGCCCAGAATAAGAAATAAAAATACCACTAATGGCCCTGGGACTGACACCCTTCCAAGAGTGCATGCCTCCTACATGGTAACTTAGGTCTACCTACCATTTCCAGGTATTTGCCCAATGACAGGAAAGGAAATACCTGTTCCTCAGGTACTGAGGCTCCTTCCTCCTCATTCAGAAGGCCTAAATTCAGAGGCAGGGTCCAAAGTTCTAAAGCTAAAAGAAACAAGGTAACCTTTACATTAAAAAAAAACAGAAGAGCTAAACACCAGAGATTTCCCTTTCAAAAATATCAAGTTACTTTTTAAAATGTAACTTGTGATTTTCAGAAAAACTGCTTTAGAACAGTGGTGGTGAATGCTGGCCAATGGGTCAAACCTGGCCTGCCATCTTTTATTGTAAATAGAGTTTACAAATCTGGCCTACTATCTATATTGTAAATGAAGTTGTATTGGAACACAGTAATGATCATTCATTTATATATTGTCTATGGCTGCTTTCATGCCACACCAGCAGAACTGACTAATTATAACACTATATGACCTGCAAAGCCTAAAATGCTATCTGACTCTTTGCTAACCCTGCTTCAGAACAATAATATGTTTTTCTAAAGTACAGTATAGTATATGTGAGCAATTAAAACCTTAACCAACTTTAAAAGATGATTTACTCTTCACTCAATCTTAAAAAAAAAAATCAAACTGATGGGCAAAAGAGAAATGTTACATTCATTCTGACATAATCTCTAGCAAAATGGCAAAGGCAGTTCCCTCCATTTTGAATGTCAGTTTTTATAAAAACAACTAATTAAGTAAACTTAGATGACAGTTTTGTGAACTATCAGAATCAAATAAACAACTAAAACTTCAAATAATGGGAGATGAGATCATAACACCAATACTTACCATTGAAAATATTCAGCTAATTTTCCTAAAACATTAGCCAGGAAGAGAACTCTAATTCTCAGTTGAGTACCCTCTCAGAATTTACTAACACTTATGCACACATACTTTTGAGAAAACAAGGTAATTACCAAATAGCAAAACCATTTATAAGGTAGTCATGTTTCTCAAAAGAGAAAAGTAAAGGCACAAGCCTAATTAACTCAAATGCCATTAATTTTTTTTCATCAATACAAATTAACTGAGCACTGAAAGGTAGTAGGCTTACAAAGAGGAAAGAGACACAGTGACAATACTACTCATGAGACTATCCCAGGCACGAAGAAAAAGCCTAGTAGGCTCCTAAATAAGATAACAAGAAAGTATTAAAACTATTACACCATTTTAGAAGAACCTGCTTATAAACAATATTCTAAGTACTCCCAACCGTTTCCTGTTTTTTTTGTTTTGTTTTGTTTTGTTTGAGACAGAGTCTCGCTCTGTCACCCAGGCTGAGTGCAGTGGTGCAATCTCGGCTCACTGCAACCTCCGCCTCCCAGATTCAAGCGATTCTCCTGCCTCGGCCTCCCATGTAGCTGGGATTATAAGCACATGCCGCCACACCCGGCTAAGTTTTGTATTTTTAGTAGAGACAGGGTTTCGCCATGTTGGCCAGGCTGGTCTGGAACTCCTGACCTCAGGTGATCCACCCGCCTCAGCCTCCAAACATGCTGGGATTACAGGCGTGAGCCACTGCACCCGGCCCATTTCCTGTTTTTAATTCCATGTGAAATCAATAAATACAAACAACACGCATTTAATTGACACCTAAGATAAGTACTAAGTATTAAAATACCAGTATTGCACCAGATACTGTGGAAGCCTAAAATAGAGACAACAGAGTTCCTGCCTTTGAGTTGGTTAGATGGGGAAAGGAGACACACATTTTAAAAGATAAGCAATAAAACAGTGAGAGATACAAGAGTGATGCAGAAAGTATCATATAGGTTCAGAGAAGGTGTGATCGCTGTGGGCCTGAGTGGTTAGGTAGGACTTCTCCTCACAAGGCAGAATTAAAGAACCAACAAGAATGAGATGTGGTGATGGAGAGAAGGAAGAGGAAGAAGACAAAAAGACATCATGATGGGAAAGATCTTTAGGAGGTCTTAGAGGAATGTCTGACTTACGAGTCTGACTACAGAGCAGCACTCACGCAGAATTCAGAACAGCTAGTCTAGTTAGGGGCCAGACTACACCAGGCATTTCATGCATGGTATGCTGTTTACACCTGAGCCTACAGACCAGAGTTCTGGAGACTTCTCTTTTTTAATTCAGATTTTCCAAAGTAATCTCCCTTCTATATTTAGAAAGTTAAAAACTTACAGAGCTGGTTTTCAAAGTCCCTCACCGTATGACAGACCAAAAGCTCTAACCAGAACTTTACCAAAAGGAAACATGTTCTACTGCTCCTTGAAGGTATCCCTATATTATGATATTTAAGGCCCTTGCCTAAGATGGAAAAAAAAATCAGAAACAAACTATCAAGAGGAATCTTTTGGCTTACTAACAATTTGCCCATAATCATTTCAAGTGTCTTCACTCTCTCATAGGAAAGATGCCTATTAAGGTAGATGCATCTCCCTTAGTTGTGTTTAGCCTAAATGGAAACAAGAATTGTGATAGGCAAAAGTATATTTTTTTGAGTAGAAGGGAAAGATGTTACAGTATTTTAATATCTAACAGGTATGAGATTTTAGAAGCAAAGCTAAAAACCTTTAAAGAACACATACCTGTTAAAAACTCCTAGTAAACATTACATAAGCCCATCTCTCCTAACATTCACATTAATACAATCTTTAACTGAACACATGAAGTCACTGTTCAGAGGACTAACAATGAAATCAGCTCCTATACTATAGTAACGTTTATGAATATTTTACTATGACCCTGATAATGGGCCAGATAGACAGGTATAGCTTACCTTGGTACAAAAAGATTCTGTAGGTGTTTTAGTATAGTTTGAACATATTGATTAGGCTCTTTAATAACTGGCAATGGAATAGAATCTTTTGGCAACACTAAAGCCATAATCCAGTCTGTATATACATCAACGCAATATTTTACAGTCTCTCCATCCAATGGAAGGGTCAGTCCATAGCAAATTACTTCCATGGTCCATTTTACCTAGACAAAAGAAAATATCCATATAGAATTATTACACGTTCCTATCTCAGTAGACTGATTTAAAATGTCAATCTCTTTTATTGCCAAAAACCTCTAAATTGACAGTATATTCGTCTCAACGTAAATATCAGATTTATTTTAGATAATGCATTTTTCACATATCAAACATACAATTTCCCAAGCAAAAGCTTTAAGAAGAAAATAAATTACTTATTTTTGAATATCAAGCCTATGCTGGTTTTTACCCTTTAGATATTATTATTATTTGCTCTGTGAACTAAAAAGTAAATACAGGTCATTTCAAATTTCCATAGAGATTAGATATGCAAAATAGAACATTTTAGAGTTTTTTCTCCACTTAATGTTTAAGTATGTGTAGCATTTAGAAAATCATATAAAGTCAGTCACATTCCATCTCCAGATTATGCAAATGCACAAACAACAGGAAGAAAGATCAACTGTTTACTCTTACTTTACAACTGTTCTCTGCCAAAAAAAAAAATAATAATAATACTTAAAATGAAGAACAAACACATCTGAAAAAGGATTGAAGCTGGGTAAGATCTTAACAAGGCATTTAGCTGCACTGAATGAGTCCCAGCCTCCTGACCTAGCTGAATCACATCCTAAGGACTGAGAGAACTTGCCTAAGAGACGGCTGAACCACTAGGCTGCCGGCAGTCGTAATTGTAGAGATTAAATAATCTGGCCCAAGTCACTGGTTTATAAAAAGTGGAGCTGAAAACTTGAATTCTGGTCTTCCAACTAGAAGGTGCCACTGGGCAACTTTTTCCAAAATGACTTTGGCACATTAGTCTAATACTATTCTGTCATGTGGTATCTTGACCAATTATAAATCCAGCCATTCTACCATCATCTGAGCTATATGTCTCCATCTATGAGAAACCCCAATTTGCAAAAAAGGGAGGAAACTGTATTCCAGACATTGTAAACTGGAAAGTTTAAGTGAATTCCAGACAAAACTTTGAGACAAATTACTAAGCAATCAGTGAACACTCACAAAAGAGAAGCATGATCACCAAGACCCAGCCTGCTCAATAAGATCAAGCCATGCCAAATGAGCTTCATTCCTTTATTAATAGGGTTACTATTTAGAGGGCTGACAACAGTGTAGTCCTTGCAGTTTACAAAGCACTTTCATAAATATCATCTAGCCATCACAATAACTCTGTGTAGACAGGGTAAACTATCCTTACTGTACACATAAGAAAACAGAAGCTTAGCAAGATTAAGCAATTTGGCATAAGTCACTGGTTTATAAAAGGTGGAGCTGAAAACTTGAACCCTGGTCTTCCAACTAGAAATTTTAAGCTATTCTCTCCATACCATTAACAGAGTTCTCCGGCAAACGGGTATCTGGGTGTTAGCAAGAAATCTAGACAGACCCAGGATCTCCTTGTGGACAAGATGGAGACATATGGCCCAGAGGATGGTAGAATGGCTAGATTTACAACTGGTCAAGACATCACATGACAGAGTAACAGTAGATTAACATGCCAAGATCATTTTGGAAAAAGGTGCTCAGTGGCATGCCAAAGGCTCTGCCAAGATTCTAACTTAGGGGAAAAAAAAAAAGAAAAACAGTGTATGCTGATCATCTGTAGATACCACAAAGCTAAAAAGGATGGCCAACTTGTTGGACAGAAATTCAGGATTCAAAAAGGCTTCAACAGCTTAAAACCAAAGTTAAATCTAACAAGATAAATATATGTATTAAATTTGTTAAGCTCAAAAGCAACTACAAAGGTTAAGGGTAGGAAATACATGGTTTAACTGCAGTAAGTGTTAAAGAAGCCTATAACAGCACAGTGAAGCTGTGACAAATTTGGAGCAGGGTGTAGCAAGATTTAGCCACATAAGAGAAGAGATTCTAAAAGACATTGCAGGTCCCTAATTATCAGATGAAAAACCAAGAAGATATCTTTGGTGGCATCTTCACACAGTTGTTTAATTTTATAATTCTAGGCCAGGCGTAGTGGCCCACAACCGTAATCCCAGCACTTTGGGAGGCCAAGGACTGTGGATCATCTGAGATCAGGAGTTCGAGACCAGCCTGGCCAACATGGCAAAACCCCATCTCTGCCAAAAATACAAAAATTGGCCGGGTGCAGTGGCTCACACCTGTAATCCCAGCACTTTGGGAGGCCAAGGTGGGTGGATCACCTGAGGTCAGGAGTTCGAGACCAGCCTGGCCAACACAGAGAAACCCTTGTCTCTACTAAAAAAAATACAAAATTAGCCAGGCATGGTGGTGCATGCCTGTAATCCCAGCTACTCGGGTGGCTGAGGCAGTAGAATCGCTTGAACCTGGGAGGCAGAGGTTGCGGTGAGCTAAGATTGCGACATTGCACTCCAGCCTGGCCAACAAGAGCGAGACTCTGTCTCAAAAAATAAATAAATAGGCCGGGCGCGGTGGCTCACGCCTGTAATACCAGCACTTTGGGAGGCCGAGGCGGGCAGATCACGAGGTCAGGAGATTGAGACCATCCTGGCTAACACGGTGAAACTCTGTCCCTACTAAAAATACAAAAAATTAGCCAGGCATGGTGGTGGGTGCCTGTAGTCCCAGCTACTCGAGAGGCTGAGGCAGGAGAATGGTGTGAACCCGGGAAGTGGAGCTTGCAGTGAGCCAAGATCATGCCACTGCACTCCAGCCTGGGCAACAGAGCGAGACTCCGTCTCAAAAATAATAATTAATAAATAAATAAAAATACATTTTTAAAATACAAAAATTAGCCAGGTATGGTGGCATGTGCCTGTAGTCCCAGCTACTCAGGAGGCTGAGGCAGAAGAATCGCTTGAACCCGGGAGGCAGAAGTTGCAGTGAGCCGAGGTCATGCCACTGCACTCCAGCCTGGGCGACAGAGCGAGACTCCGTCTCAAAAAAAAAAAAAAAAGTATAATTCCAGAGGAAACAGGAATTCTCATCTCTTTTCAATGGTGAGAAAGGAGAAAAAAAAGGGCTGCATCAGAGCACCTCTATCTACTCACGTACCATCTCTTCCCAGGAGAAGGCAACAAGGGATCACAAACGCACCAGGAAGAGAAACACTAGGGCCTGTGCTAGTCCTCGGGGATAAATCTAGGGTCCTCTGAAGAGAGAAAAATGTTCCTCAGACTGAAGACCTTTACTCTTCAGAGACCCATGGCTGAAGGAGGATCCTACCCTTAGAGCTACAAGTTTTAGTCTTATATCTAAGTCTAATCTCTCCTTCACAGGAAACCAAAAAGCAAACAGAAAAAAAGGGTCTGAGAAATAGGGTACAGGTTTTGCTAAACATGAAGTCTGAAGGTTGCATGAGCTTCTTCAACACAAGGGACAAAGTTTTAATCCTGCATCTTAGCCAGAATTTATACTAGCAAGCTCCTCTATCACTCCATTCTCAGGGCCCCTTCATGACTTCCCAATGGCAACTTTTTAACTTCAGCCTGGGCCGCTGAACCCAAGAACAAAGGGCCAGCTTCAGGGCAAGCCATTCCAAGAGCCCCTATCTTTAGAAACAGTAAACACCCAACCTGGGCAACATAGTAAGAACATCATCTCTATAAAAAAATTTTTTAAATTAGCCTGGCGTGGTGGCATGTGTCTGTAGTTCCAGCTACTGGGGACTCACTGGGGTGGAAGAATCATTTGAGCCCAGAGAGACTGAGGCTGCAGTGAGCCGTGGTGCCACTGCACACCAGCATGAGTGACAAAGCAAAACTCTGTCAAAAAAAAAGAAACAGCAAACACAACCCCAATTCCAATCACCTAGGCTTAGGCCAGAAGGGCTTGGCTTCTCTGCAGCACTCTTAAACCTGGAAGCCAGGAAGGAGTAGGTAGGGATGGGGACAGGGGAGAGCTTAAGCACAGCATACACATAGCCTGAAAACTTGACATGAGTCTTCAGTCAGGGGCCATCCAGAGGTAGGGATGAGGCCTTCCAAACACACTCTAAATGGAAATCAGAAGACTAAGCCTAGATCTTTGGGGGAAGTGTTTGACATTCAAGTCTTTGTCTTGGCCTTCAGCTCAAGTGGAGAATTGACCATAACTAGTAAAAAGTCCCAGCAGCAAAACAGTACAACTCACTCCTTATAACCTCCACAAACTCCGAGTCCCAGCCCTCAACTCAAACAAGATCAAAATTGAGAAGTCATACTACGTTGGGGAGAAATCCATTAAAAAGTTGACGTTATTCTACTACAGCTCTTTTCAAAGAAAAAAGAACAAAAAAGTTAACATTAAACAAATTCTTCAAGAACAAATGTACATTTTCATATAAGAGAATGAAATTTAGAAACACTTACTTCTTTGTCAGTTTTTAACAAATTCTCACTACCAGCCACTGAAGGGGTACCTAACACCTGCCCAAGAGGACGGACTACAGCATTTGCCACCTCTCGTCCAACGCTCTCTGGATAGCTGTGCAGCACACTGGTATGGCCTTGATCATTCTGAATCACCAAATGCAGTGACCTCCACTCAGAGTACATCGTGCCACTAAAGTACAATCCAAATGGCACCTGAAAAGACAAAACAGAAATGCATGTCAAATTATACTATTGGAAATTAACAGAAATAAATAAAACAGATGTATAGACTATTGGCATGATAAAGAATGCTGCAAACATCTTGCCTCTATCAATGTTTTTCAAACTGTGGGTCATGAAACTATCAATGTTTTTCAAACTATGGGTCATGAAATAAATGTTATGGATAATACTTGTTTTAATTAGATGGTATAGGATGTATGATAAAGGCATCACACATAATAAAGGCAAGCAATGTTTCTGTGAAACTTGTTTCCTTTGTAATATATGCATATGTTCTGGGTCACAATGGAAAATACATTTTTTTTCTTTTTTGAGACGAAGTTTTGCTCTTGTTGCCCAGGCTGGAGTACAATGGTGTGATCTTGGCTCACAGCAACCTCCGCGATTCAAGCAATTCTCCTGCCTCAGCGTCCTGAGTAGCTGGGATTACAGGCATGCACCACCATGCCCGACTAATTTTGTATTTTTAGTAGAGGCAGGGTTTCTCTACATTGGTCAGGCTGGTCTCGAACTCCCGACCTCAGGTGATCCACCCGCCTCAGCCTCCCAAAGTGCTGGGATTACAGGTGTGAGCCACCGTGCCCAGCGGAAAATACATTTGTTATGATAGGTCTTAGTCCAAAAATTTGAAAACATAACCCTAATGTGAATATGTAGTCTCCTAGATTTTCCTGCAAGATAATTGCATAATTTTTCACTTAACTTGTATATTCATCTGGAATTTACTTCTGTAAGTGGTGTAGGAAAGGTCTGATTTTACTTTCTTCTAAATGTATGGTCAGTTGTGTCAGCATCACCTCTTAAAAATACATCCTTTTCGCACTAAACTGAAATACTAATTCTGTCATATATTAAATTTTCATTTCTTCTAGAATCTATGAAACTTCTGTTCTACTCAACTACTTGTCTATTCCCATGCCAACCCATAATGATTTAAGTTCAGTGGCTTTATAGAATGTTTTTTCCAAAACTTTATTGTCTTCTCTAGACATTTATTCTTCAGTATACGATTTATTATTTTATCCAAATAAAAAAAAATCAACAATAAAGCCTTGCTACAATTCTAATGGGAATTGCATACACTACCTTGCCAGCCTCATCTTCTACTGCCACTTTCCCACAAACATCCCAAGCAATGGCCACAAAGAACTACTGATGATTGCTCAAGCCCAGCAAATCCTTTCTTACCCTAAGTCACTGGTCATGCTGCTCCCACTGACTGAACTGCCATTCCCTGCCTTGATCCATCTTATGAAGTACTCAGCCTTCAAAGCCCAACTCAAATGTCCTCTCTTTGGTAAAACCTTTCTTGACTCCTTAGACCAACTCCTCTCAGCTGAGTGCCTATTACCGGATGTTCATATAAAGCTGCCATTAGCTCATTCATTAGTGGTGTACGGATACATTCACCACAAAAGTGTCAGCCTTTTTTGGGTGGGGACCTTGCCTCCTGAACCTCTGAGTCCCTAGCACACAGTGGACATTGACCATGTGTTTGAGAGTGTCAAGGTTTACCAGTGGGAAAAAGGAAGATATCAGAAGGTATTCCCTCTATTCCACTAAAGTGTGTCCAAAATTTTGTATGTTATATTCAAATAAAAATTTAAAAATGTTCACTTGTTTGAAGCTAATTACTAGTAAAAATAAAAGTTGGATGGTTTCCAAATACTAAATGAATATTTAATATTCAGGATCCATCACAGCATATTATTGGAAGAAAACAGATTTTAAGAAGAAAAAAAAGGACAAACTAGCTCTCAAACTCTACTGTACACTTAAGAATCATCAGGGGAGGAAAGGGTCTAGCTGAAAATGCAGACTCCTAGACCCCATTCAGAAAAAGCTCAATTCTGCAGGTCTGAGCTGGGGCCTGAGAATCTGCATTTTTAAGAAATGGCCACTACCCTCCCAATTCTGAAGAGAGGAGTATACCTTATGAAAGACCAATCAAAATAGGTTTAATAGCTATTAAATCCTTCTGACAAACTTTTTTTAAGTTTTTAAATGTAAGAAATTTTCATTCTCTAAATGTATTAATGTTTAAATGATTAAATGAAACCAAAAAATGCTTTCAAGAAACATGTAAAATAGAAAGATATAGGCCAGGCGTGGTGACTCATACCTGTAATCCCAGCACTTTGGGAGACTGAGGTGGGTGGATCACCTGAGGTCAGGAGTTCGAGACCAGCCTGGACAACATCATGGTGAAACCCTGTCTCTACTAAAAATACAAAAATTAGCTGGGCATGGTGTCACACACCTGTAACTCCAGCTACCTGGGAGGCTGAGGCAGGAAAATCACGTGAAACCGGGAGGTGGAGGCTGCAGTGAGCAGAGATGGTGCCATTGCACCCCAGCCTGGGCGACAAAAGCAAAACTCCATCTCAAAAAAAAAAAAAAAAAAAAGATATAGAAAGGATACAATGAAAAAGCTGAACTAAAACATCAAAATATATGTAACAGAAAAAAGATGCTAAACTTTAACAAAATGCAGACAAAAAACATTAAAACAAAGAAATGCATTATAATTACGGATATATTAAGTAAAACAATGAAGAGAACATAAACATTAGAAACAAACATGGAAAAAACACAAAGGCAACTAAAGTATCATTTTGTACCTATTAAACTAACAAAACAAGCGATAAAACTCAACTCTGGCTCACACCTGTAATCCCAGTACTTTGGGAGGCCGAGGCGGGCAGATCACCTGAGGTCAGGAGTTTGAGACCAGCATGGCCAACAGGGCAAAACCCCGTCTCTACTAAAAGTACAAAAATTAGCCGGGTGTGGTGGCGGGCACCTGTAATTCCCAACTACTCAGGAGGCTGAGGCAGGAGAGGCTTGAACCCAGGCGGCAGAGGTTGCAGTAAGCTGAGATCGCACCACTGCACTCCAGCCTGGGTGACAAGAGCAAGACTCCATCTCAAAAAAAGAAAAAACAAAAAAACAAAAAACTCAACTCTGATGAGGAGGTAAGGACCCAACTGAGAGATTAGGGCAATGATTTTTAATAGAAAAACCTGTCACCTAGAGGCACTGTGGAAATAAGTGTACTTTTGGTTAGCACAATGAGTAGGGCAAGCTGCTGGTATTACAGGCAGAGTCAGGAAATCTAGACATCCTGTACTGCATGAGACAGTCCTGCACAATGAACAATTATGCCACATCTCACATGACTTTTGAACATCTGCTAGAAAACCATTGTCTGAGCCTAAAAATTAACTTCATTTACATATAAATACAAAATATATTGTGCTATTTTAATAGACTGAATTTTCCAATAATGCAATTAATCATATAAATTGAGGAAGACTAAGCTTCATTATCTTTAGAACCAAGAACTGTTCACAACTCTAGAAAAATCACATCACCAGGCAGGTGTGGTGGTGGCTCACACCTGTAATCCCAGCACTTTGGGAGTCCAAGGCGGGTGGATCACCTGAGGTTGGGAGTTGGAGACTAGCCTGACCAACATGGAAAAACCCCAACTCTACTAAAAATACAAAATTAGCCAGGCATGGTGGTGCATGCCTGTAATCCCAGCTACTCAGGAGGCTGAGGCAGGAGGATCACCTGAACCTGGAAGACAGAGGTTGCTGTGAGCCGAGATCGCGCCATTGCACTCCAGCCTGGGCAACAAGAGCTAGTATACAAGCTCTGTTTACAGCTATTACACAGTTCTAGCTGTCACCTAGAAGGAATGCAGACCTAGACTTGCCAGATAATCCAATTTTTGAAGAGACACAGAAAATCTGGACATTTCTACAGTCTCCTACTCTTTAAATGTTATCAACTAAACTCAAAACAAAATAAAACAAAAACAAAAACAAAAAAACACAATGTCAGCTAAAAAAGAACTTATCTATGGTCCAATTTATGCCTCTGATCACAGATAAAGGCATATACTAGTTTTGGTAACTGAATTATAGCAAAATCCTTGTGGAAAGAGGATAGTGAAGTGTATACTTTGTATAAGCTGTTGGTGCCCCAGAAGTCACCCCAACCCACCTTTGTTGCTGGGGCTGGGCTTATAACCCAACTATGGAGGTCCTACAACTTCACTTTATTTCATCGTGGTTGCTGTTAGGGAAAAAAGGGATGAAGGCAAAGTGCAGTGACAGATTTGGTAGAGGGAGTTCCATTAGGCCCAGTATTGTCAGTGGCCAGTCTACTCTTTTCTTTTCTTTTTTTTGAGATGGAGTCTCACTCTGTCACCCAGGCTGGAGTGCAATAGCGCCATCTTGGCTCACTGTGACCTCGCCTCCTGGGTTCAAGCAATTCTCCTGCCTCAGACTCCTGAGTAGCTGGGACTACAGGCGCCCACCACCACACCTGGCTAATTTTTGTATTTTTAGTATTCACCATATTGGCCAGGCTGGTCTCGAACTCCTGACCTTGTGATCCACCCACCTCGGCCTCCCAAAGTGCTGGGATTACAGGCATGAGCCACTGCGCCTGCCCAGCCTACTCTTAAACACACAAATAAGAACCTCCTCTTGCTGTTGCGGCTTAGGCTATCCAAAGCAACAAACCTTGGAGATCCTGGAGAACGTTACTTTCAGGAGCCAGTACTGCTGCACCACCTAGGCCCTCCTAGGCAAGAATCAACCTCTCAGGATAGCACCATGGCAGAACCCTCACATGTCTTGATCACACTTGCCATGTCTTAGTCTACTTGCCATGGGGTTGTTTGTAGCTCCATCCCGTTAGTAAGTTGGCACACTTGTAAGGCACCTCAGGCTGATATGTCATTTCCTAAACATTCACCCAAGGATAGCATGAACGTTTTGCCAGTACAAAGCAGAAGACAAAGGGTGCCTTGACCCGGTAATTTGACTTGTTTATCCTTATAAAACAGCTCAATTTTTAAAAATGTACAAGATGCTCACTGTAGTATTACATATAAGATGGGGAAGTGGGTGTAATTTAACTTCCATCAATAATGGGAAAATTTCATAATTAGGACATATTAATTCTATATACTATTATGTAGCCATTAAACACTGAGATTACAGAGAAGCATAAAAACATAGATGAGAGTGGTTAAGAGCCAGTGCTCTGGAACTAGGCTTCATAGATTCAAATCCCAGCTCTACCTGCAAGCTGGGTAACGTTGCAAAAGTTACTCTACTTTTGTGTTGGAACATCCTCATCTGTAAAATGGGGATAATAATAGAATAAGGCCAGGTATGGTGGCTCACGCCTATAATCCCAGCACCATGGGAGGCGGAGGCGGGCACATTGCTTGAGTCCAAGACTTTGAGACTAGCCTAGGCAACATGGAGAAAACCCAACTCTACAAAAAACACAAAAAAGTTAGCCAGGCGTGGTGGCACACACCTGTAGTCCCAGCTACTCTGAAGGCTGAAGTGGGAGGATCACTTGGATCCTGGTGTTGGGGCTACAGTGAGCCATGATTGTGCCACTTCACTCACTCCAGCCTGGGCTACAGAGCGGGACTCTGTCTAAAAAAAAGCAAATAGTAGATTAGGAGCCTACACATTGTGTTTCTTGTGGTGGTGATTAAAGAATCACATATGTAATCCGTTTGAAACATGCCCTTGTCCATGTAAGCAATCAATAAATAACTATTAGAGAAAGAAAAACATATATATCATAATTACAACCAGATAAACACATACACCAGACGCGGTGGCTCACGCCTGTAATCCCAGGACTTTGGGAAGCCAAGGTGGGTGGATCACCTGAGGTCAGGAGTTCGAGACCGGCCTGACCAACATGGTGAAACCCTGTCTTTACTAAAAAATACAAAAATTAGCTGGGCTTAGTGGTGTGTGCCTGTAATCCCAGCTACTTGGGAGGCTGAGGCAGTAGAATCTCTTGAACCTGGGAGGGTGAGGTTTCAGTGAGCCGAGATGGCGCCACTGCACTCCAGCCTGGGCAACACAGCAAGACTCTGTCTCAAAAAAAAAAAAAAAAAAAGATAAACATACAGCTGTGACTAAAGATTAGAAGGATGGTAGAGAAATGCAAGTACAGTTGACCCTTGAACAACATGGGTTTCAACTGCTAAGGTCCACTTACATATGGATTTTCTTCCATTTCTGCCATCCCTGAGACAGCAAAACTAATGCCTCCCCTTACTCCTCAGCCTACTCAACATGCAGATGATGAGGATGAAGACCTTTATGATCCACTACCACTTAATGAATAGTAAATACATTTTCTCTTCCTTCTAATTCTTAATAACATTTTCTTTTCTCTTACTTTAAGAATATAGCATATAATATATATACAAAATATGTATTATTTGACTGTTTATGTTATTGGCCAGGCTCCTGGTCAACAGAAGACTATTACTAGTTTTGGCAGAGTCAAAAGTTACTTGAAAATTTTTGATTGCACAGGGTCAGTGCTCCTAACCCTTATGATGTACGAGAGTCAACTGTAGTTTTAACTTAGTGGTAGAAATGTTGGTACAACTTAATGTAATATGTTTTTATTACTACATCTTTATGTCATAGAATTGGTAAGTATATGTCAGCATCCTGACTATACATATGAACATTCAGAGACACTGGCGGGGACCACCAAGTAGACTTATTCAATAAACAGCTATTAACCATCTATTTTGTCCAATGCAGTGTTAAAACCATGAAGAAGAAAGATTAATAGGACTTGGTTCCTGTTTTCAATGAGTTTATGGCTTAATTAAGGAGATTAAGATGTATACATTGATATGGTTTGGCTCTGTGTCCCCACTCAAATCTCATCTTGAATTGTAACTCCCACAATTCCCATATGTCATGGGAGGAACCCTGTGGGAGGTGACTGAATTATGGGGGCAAGTCTTCACTGCGCTGTTCTCATGACAGCGAATGAATCTCACGAGATCTGATGGCTTTTTAAAAACCGGAGTTTGCCTGCACAAGTTCTCTCTTGGCCTGCCGTCATCCACATAAGATGTGTCTTGCTCTTCCTTGCCTTCTGCCATGATTGTGAGGCTTCCCCAGCCACGTGGAACTAGGATTTCTCCATTAAACCTCTTTCTTTTGTAAACTGCTCAGTCTTGGGTATGTCTTTATCAGCAGCATGAAAACAGACTAATACCTACCATAAATAACTATAACATAAGTTAGAACATTAAAATGTTGAATGTGATATTTTTAAAAACTATAGGCAAGACACCACGGAAGTTCAAAGGAAAAAGATTACTTTTGATTGAAAGATAGGCTGAGCTGGAAAACAACAGGGTAAGATCAGGAAAGACTACAGATACAGAGCATACGAATTGTGCATTGAAGGAAGGGTATAATTTTGATGGAGGTAAGAAAATTGAGGTGATAAGACTGAGGGTAAAAAGGGGCAGATGAGGCCGGGTACAGTGGGTCACGCCTGTAATCCCAGCACTTTGGGAGGCCAAGATGGGCAGATCACGAGGTCAGGAGATCAAGACCATCCTAACACGGTGAAACCCCGTCTCTACTAAAAATACAAAAAAAAATTAGCCGGGCGTGGTGGCACACGCCTGTAGTCCCAGCTACTCAGGAGGCTGAGGCAGGAGAACGGTGTGAACCTGGGAGGCGGAGCTTGCAGTGAGCCAAGATTGCGCCACTGCACTCCAGCCTGGGTGACAGAGCGAGACTCCGTCTCAAAAAAAAAAAAGGGGGGGGCGGGGGTGGGGGAGTCACAGATAAAAGAGAGAACAAAATACATAGAAGAGCCAAGTGTGGTGGCTCATGCCTGTAATCCCAGCACTTTGGGAGGCCGACGCAGGTGAAATCACCTGAGGTCAGGAGTTCAAGACCAGGCTGACCAACATGGTGAAACCCCATCTCTACTAAAAATACAAAAACTAGCAGGGCATGGTGGCGTGCGCCTGTAATCCCAGCTACTCAGGAGGCTGAAGCAGAGGAATCGCTTGAACCCAGGAGGCGGAGGTTGCAATGAGCCAAGATCACGCCACTGCACTACAGCCTGGGTGACAGAGCGAGACTCCATCTCAAAAAAAAAAAAAAAAAAAGAAAGAAAGAAAAGAAAATACATAAAAGAAAGGAAACTTGCTTCAGGTAGCAAAAAAAAAAAAAGCACTAGAAACCGAAAACCCAGAGCCAAAGGAAAGAAAGCTATATGTAGAAGGTGGTAAGGTTTCAAAGGTAAGCAGTGACCAATTTTGAAGGACTCTGAATGTTAGGATTGAATATTTGTAATTAATTCAGTAAAACTGGAGGCAGAAAATGAGCAAAAGTTTAACCTTATCTTAGCCGGGCATGGTGGCACACACCTGTAATCCCAGCTATTCGGGAACCTGAGGCATGATAATCGTTTGAACCCAGGAGGTGGAGGATGCAGTGAGCCAAAATCGCACCACTGCACTCCAGCCTGAGCAACAGAAGAAGACCCTGTCTCAAACAAAAAAAAAAAAGAAGAAAGTTTAACCTTACCACAGGCATGACACATCGGGAACTAAATTTCCATTAAAGCAATTTGATGGAAGTGTCCAAGATACACTGAAGGGATAGTAGAAGAGCAAACTCCAATGTGGCTACCATATAGGCTAAGGTTGAGGGCGGTCAGGGGGGTAACAGGGAGGTTTCAGGCACTGTAGTGAGATATAATGATATAACTGTCAAGTTAGATGATTAAGGACTTCAACTGCTATATTAGGGATCCTGAGTCCCCTCCCCAGGTGGCTGTCTGCTATCAACCTGAGCTGCTAGCAGAGAAACCTCTACCTTCAATGCTCCAGAAGTAAATATAATGGGAAGAAGGGGAAGAAGTCAACAGTGCTCCCCTGCAGATCCCTTAATTTCCTTCCCAACTCTATATGTACTCATTTTCTAGGTATTCTCTCTGGAGGTTGTGTGTGCTGGGTAACAGCTTATGGCTTGTAAGCACCACCGCAAAATAACATGCAAGTTTGGTCTAAATGACAAATTACCAAAATAATCAATACAATGGTGGACACTCTAAGACCATAGCCTGACATTAATTACATCAATTGATTCAAACAATATTTATTACATGCCTTCTATGCAACAAGCACAGAAAATAAACAACATCCCTGTTCCCAAGGAGCTTCAAGTCTCATTACAAAAAACAATTCTTTAAAACTTTGTAAAGTACATCCAGACATCAGTTATTTCATTAAACAAACATTAAACACCAGCTACATGTCAAATTTGTCCTAGGATTTAGGACAAATCCTAATATAAACAAAACACAATGGCTGCCCAAGAGAAAGTTTCATAGTGAGGAAGACAAGAGAAATCAAAGATGACACCATGGTACAGTAGTATTCAATATGGTAACTGATGAGTTACGACAGCAGCATAATACAACAAAACAAACTACTTGAGGCTGGATGTGGTGGCTCACACCTGTAACCCCAGCACTTTGGGAGGCCGAGGCGGGTGGATCACTTGAGGTCAGGAGTTTGAGACCAACCTGGCCAATATGGCAAAGCCTCATCTCTACTAAAAATACAAAAATTGGCCGGGTGCAGTGGCTCATGCCTGTAATCCCAGGACTTTGGGAGGCCGAGGTAGGCAGATCACCTGAGGTCGGGAGTTCGAGACCAGCCTGACCAACATGTAGAAACCCCGTCTCTACTAAAAATACAAAATTAGCTGGGCGTGGTGGCGCATGTCTGTAATCCCAGCTACTCAGGAGGCTGAGGGAGGAGAATCACTTGAACCCAGGAGGTGGAGGCTGCGGTGAGCCGAGGTGGCGTCACTGCACTCCAGCCTGAACAACAAGAGCGAAACTCTGTCTCAAAAATAAAAAATAAAATAAAATAAATAATAATAAAAATAAAAAAATTAGCCGGGTGTGGTGGCGGCTGCCTGTAATCCCAGCTACTCAGGAGGCAGAGGCAGGAGAATAGCTTGAACCTGGGAGGCGAAGGTTGCAGTGAGCTGAGATCACGCCACTGCACTCTAGCCTGGGTGACAGAGCGAGACTCCGTCTCAAAAAAAAAGAAAAACTACTTGAGGTCTTGCTTGAGCACATTGTACCTTTGCATAATTTATCATTTTCAAAGAGCTTTTACATGTTACTTCATTTTATTCCAATAACAACCCTAGAAGGTTAGGTAAGACAGACGTCACTAACCACTAGGTAAGGAAACAAAGTAAAGCTATGACTTGCTCAGGATCACATCAAGTAACAGCGGATCTGGGACAAGAAACTCCACCTCTTGCCTCAAAGTGCAATGCTACTTCCCTTTGTCCTGACTCCATACCTCACCATATGACTTTGGATAAGTCAACTGGCATTTCTCTTTTTGAGACAAGGTCTCACTCTGTCGCCCAGGCTACAGTGCAGTGGCACGATCTCGGCTCACAGCAGCCTCTGCCTCCCAGGCTTAAGTAATCCTCCCACTCAGCCTCCCAAGTAACAGACCACAGGTGTGTGTCACCATGCGCCGCTAATTTTTAGAAAAATTTTTATAGAGACAAAGTCTCATTATGCTGCCCAGGCTGGCCTCAAACTCCTGGGCTCAAGCAATCCTCCCACCTCGGCCTCCCAAAGTGTTAGGTTTACAAGTCAGCCACCGCACTCGGTGACCTGGCATTTCTTTGTCATAGTTTCCTCATCTGTAAAACAGGGAGAATACCTGCAGTGCCTATCTAGAGTGACCTGGGAGAAGGATCAAATAAAGCAACCTAAGTTGACATACTTTGAAATGTACCAATGGAAGGTACACATTATAAGACATGCCTATTTCTCTTGGGAAAAATAGGATACAGGGTGCTAAAACACTGAGCAAATAAATAAACTGTGCTTTTTTTAAGGTGCACCAAATTCATCCATATAACCTCATGATTCATATTGCTGTTGCAGTCCCATTGACCCCATAAGGCAAACATCAATAAAGCTGGCAAAAAAGGAAGGTATTCACCTATGTACCAGATGCTATTAGAGATCCTATCAAACACCTGAATTACAGGAAACAAAGACAGGTTCTGCCTGCATCTCTCCCAAAACATGGAAAATGGTAGTTTTTGGTAAGCTACCCAAAGAACGTTTGAATACCCTGTCTGCCCCCTACCAGCACCACCACAGTTCTCATCTTTTATGCCTGAGACCTTCTCTGAGGCATAAAACAGACCTCTGTCCAATACAGCAGCTATTTCATGTAACTATTTAAATTTTAAAAACTTTTAATTTTAATAGTTTTAAGTTTAAACTATTTGAGTCAAACATCACTTCCTTGGTTACACTAGTCATTTTAAATGCTTACAAGTCACATGTGGCCAGTGGCTACCATATTAGAGCAAGTAAGATTTAGTTCCATGATTGCAGAAAATTCTATTTGACAGAGCTGCTTCAGATACTACACTATTATTTTATTATAACTTTGATTAGACTCCTTGAGGACAGGGGCCGTGTCTTATTTATCTTTGTATTCCCAGTTTATATAGCTAAGTGCATTTCACACACCAAGTACTCACTATCCTCAACTTATTATTTTCAACTGTACCAGGGTGTGAAAGTGATATGCGTTCAGTAAAAACCGTACTCTGATTATCCACATAACCATTGTTTTTCACTTTCAGTACAATATTCAATCAATTACATGAAATATTCAACACTTTATTATAAAATAGGCTTTGTGCTAGACAATTTTGCTCAACTGTACGCTAATGTAAATGTTCTGAGCATGTTTAAGGTAGATGAGGCTAAGCTATTCTGTTCAGTAGGTATATTAAATGCATTTTTGGCTTACGATCTTCTCAACTTTGATAGGTTTATTGGGAAGTAATCCCATCATAAGTCGAGGGGCCTCTAGATATCTAATTGAGTTTCTCAAACATAGCAGATCACTCTCTCCCCTTCCCTATCCCATGCACACACAGACAGGCAAACACAACACAACAATACACAAGACAACCTTTCTCATGGGGAAGGGGTCGGGGGCGAAAGGGGACACCGTCCAGAGGAAGGAGGCCTGCTTTCTAGTCCTGGAGGTGCTAGAAGCTAACCATGTAGCCTTGACCAAGTTACTTTCCGCATCTATAAAAAGTTAGAATGAAACTCCATGCACCTTAATTTTAAAACTTAAATCATCTCGCACCAAAGAAAATCAACTATTCTGCCCAAAAAGTCTTTGCACATGTCAGGAAACACACCTGCTAACACTGATGAGTACCTCGTATTAAACAGAATCCATTTCTAGGTCCCAAGCTATCATGATTAGAGTCACTTTTGTTCTCTGAGCATGTGGAATTTTTCACCTTTACTTTGGGGCACAACTACAGACTTAAACCTTCAGCCTTAAAGATTGAGTTTCTTCCATGTGCTAAAGCAAGAACTGGATACTGTGTCCCTATCTGATCAGACACACAAGGACAAGTTTCTTGAGTATCTGAATTTAACATAAGTTGTCCCATCAGTTTCTATTAGTGCTAAGCCTAAAAACTGACCAAATAATACAAAACGGAACCAAGAAAATTTTTCTATAACAATCCTTATAAAGAATATTTTATGGGCTGGGGACGGTGGCTAATGCCTGTAATCCCAGCACTTTGGGAGGACTAGGCAGGCAGATCACTTAAGGTCAGCAGTTCGACATGAACCTGGCCAACATGGCGAAACCCCCTCTCAACTAAAAATACAAAAAAATTAGCCAGGTGTGGTGGTGGGTGCCTGTAGTCCCAGCTACTCAGGAGGCTGAGGCAGGAGAATCGTTTGAACCCAGGAGGCGGAGGTTGTAGTGAGCTGAGATTGCGCCACTACACTCCAGCCTGGGGGACAGAGCGAGACTGCATCTCAAAAAAAAAAAAAAGAAAAAAAAAATTTTATGAAATGTGTTTTTAATTCAGTCTACATACTTTGTCATGTTTAATTGCTATACAAAAAAAAATCTTTATTGTCCAAAAACCTCCTCATAATGACCTTCACACACATATTCACTAACTTTTGCAAATCCTTACATGGTTTTAAGACCAACCAAGAACAAATCCAATCTGAATTATTGGTCTGCCTTCCTTTAAACTTGTAAATATGGCAAATGGGGCAATGGCAGTTCAGGCATTCTGCAATAAATATGTGCTAAATTTGTCAATTCCTGTGACAACATGATTTTACTCTTCATTAAGTACTTAACGTCCTCTCTCCTGGTGAACAGGACCAAACATTACCAATGGCAATCCCATCTGCTTGTATTTACCAAATACCAACAAGGCAGTGGCATTTAGTGGATGACAACTAAACACTTTTTTGGACAATGAAGTAGGGAACACATGCAAAGGTCTAACAGTAATAAAAAGACTTTCCCTACAGACATGATTGCGTCCGATTGTGATAGAATCAGACATTAAAAATCAAACAATGTTGATTGCACATGGTTAGTTACAGAGTGCCTTGCAATTGGTAAGAACTCAATGTGTGTGTTCAACTGCTGGACAAATTGCTGAACATAACTAGAATACTCACTCCTAAGCAAAAAGAACAAAACTCTATAAGCTGGGAACTACCAAACATCTTTTACAAAAATGGAAATAGAGAAGAATCTGTTCGCAACATGATCTATCTATGACATAAAAGGACCCAAACATTCCACTGAGTAAAAGCTTTGTGAGTCTGTATGTCAAAGCACTGGAAGGAATACAGAGATGAAGAAAACATAGTCCCTGCCCTAAAGCTTCTCATAATCTAGAAGTAGGGATAGAACTACAACTCAGAAAAATAACTGATAAGTTTCACTACGATGTTCCTAAAGAGCAAATTGGAAGGACTCAAGGTGGGTAGGGGTCAGGGACAGAGGTATCTTGAAGGGAATGCTTAAAGCTAATGCAGCCAGAGACAGGAAGAAAAGGGTATGTAGGCCTGGCACAGTGGCTCGCATCTGTAATCCCACCACTATGGCAGACCATAGTGGGTGGACTGCTTCAGCCCAGGAGTTTGAGACCAGCCTGGGCAACATGGAGAAACCCCATCTCTACAAAAAAAATTCAAAAATTAGCCAAGCGTGGTAGTCCCAGCTACTTGAGAGGCTGAGGTGGGAGGACTGCTTGAGCTCAGGAGGCGGAAGTTGCAGTGAGCCAAGATCATGCCACTGCATTCCAGCCTGGGCAACAGAGCAAGACTCTGTCTAAAAAAAAGAAAGAAAGAAAAGAAAAGGGTGTGTATATGCATATAGGAGAGAGCAGAAGTGTGTGCGTTTGGGTGGGATGGCCAGAACGTTCAGAGGATGGTCTAGGCAGACTTCCAGCATATGTAAAAACGACCCAGAGGTTACAGACGCTACACCTATAAGTACTGTATATTTAGGAAAATTGCAAACGAGCAGTTTGCATAAGATGCATACATTTTAAATGTTCCAGATGACTCAGAATCCCTGCAGAGAATTCCATCCCTAACAGTCTTTCACAAGGTGTAGTGGTCAGTCAACCTAAAGATCTCTGCGGGTGGAACCTGCAAGTTTAACAAGCTCCCAGACAATTCTCCTGCACACTTAAGCTGGAGAAAGAGAGATGCTTTTTGAGATGCAGAATTATCAAATTACATGCGGTTCCCAAACTTTGCTGCAAGCTGGAATCACTTGGGCATCTTTAAAAAAAAAATATTGAAGTCTGGCTTTCAACTCCAGACATTCTGATTGTTTTGGTCTGGGATGCCACATGGGCATCAGAAACCTTTACAATTTCCCCCAGGTGATTCTACAGTGTAGCAAAGTTGGAGAGCCACTGCCCTAATTGTTAAGCACTTGGGTCGGATGCTCCGGTTCAAATTACTAGCTATGTGACCTTGGGTAATTAAGTCACCCAACCACCCAGGGACTCAGTTGCCTCGTCAGTAAAATGGGGACAACAATCCTACCTCACAGGGTTGCTGTGAAGTTAGACGTGGAGAACGTAATGGCCTGGCATGATGCCTGGCGGATAAGAAGCGCTTAATGGGGGTTAGCTGTTTACTCCCATCATCAACTCTCCCTCATCAAAGTGTCACTGTGCAATGGGCAGCATCGTCCCCACTGGGCGGCAGCAACTTGCCTAACCTTTCTGCTGGACCAAATTCTTTGCGGGAGTTGTCTAGCTCCGCTCCAGACCCGCCCCCTCCCCCAGGTTGCCAGGAGAGAGCTTCGCCTGGCCGGGGTAGCTCCCAAGGATTAGACCGGGTTTACACAGACTCGACAGCAGCCGCCCACTCCAGGGCCAAGCTTTCCCCGCCCCCGTGGGTCTCCCAAAAATTTGCAGATGAGCTTCCAAAGGCCGGGCCCCTGGAGCACCCAGAGCCGAGAAACAAGCCTCAGCCGTCCCTTGACCGCCAGGTGGGGAAGAGAGGGAAGGAGAGGGGAGGGTCCGGCCGCGGCGGGGCCGGCTGCCCGGTTACCTGAGGCGACGGGCGGGGCCCGCATCGCCGGGGCGGGCGCCGCCGCCGGCCGTCCTCGGCCTTCCGCCTCACGCGACCCGCGCCATAGGGCTGGCGCTTTCACCGCCCTGGCCGGCCGTCCTCAGGCGGTCCGTCAGTCCACCCGTCAGCGACTCTCCCAGGGCGCCAAGGGACGACGAAGGCCACTCGAGCCAGCCGGCTGGGATCTGCTCAGGCAACTTCCGACTGCCAGGGGCGGCGGCGTCAAATAACTCCCCAGCCAAGTGGGCCACTGCGCGTGCGCGGTGCGCCTAATCAGAGCTTTCTACGGGGCTGAACCGGTGGCGTCAAATAATTCCCGAGACACAGAGCCGGAAGCTGCGCCTGCGCAGCTATCCCAGATCGCCGCGCGGGACGCATTGCGTTCCTCCCATTCCGGATCAAGTGGAGAGGGAGGAGTGAAGTGACGGATGCACCTACCTCATCGCGGCACAGAGGAGGCGCTCTACCTGCGTCCTTAGGAATCTTACGGCATCCACTCTACCTGCTTTCGGTGCAGACGGATAAGGGGCTTCTCTGCAAGATTCTGGCTCCCACCTAGGTTCTAGGAATTTCTCCCATCCCACCATTACAGCACTCTTCCTCTGAAATGATGCCCTTTGCTCGCCGCCGTCTTATTACACGGGCACAGCATTAATTATGAACAGTGCTCTATTCCAGGCCCGGTGTGGGTTACAAAGGTGAATCGAACATAAGATTTAGAGCCTCTCATTAAAGAGCTGAATCTGATCGAGATAAGACAGTAGTAATAATACTAAGAGATACTACTTCGAGCACCTGCCATGCGCTAGACATTTTGTAAACAGTACCACTTTCAATAATTTGCTTTCACTTCAACGAAGAAAATAATACCATTGGAGAGGTACAGCTTAAGTGCTTTGAGAATCTAAAGGAGGAAACTTGGACTGAGAAAGAAGAGGAGGGAGGGATGGTGGAATTCTTCACGGAGGACCTGGCCTTGAGACTGACCTTGGGTATTGAGAGAGGGAGGAGGGGTCAGGGTGTTGAGTAGAGGTGAAGGCACGGTTGTCTGAAAAGCAGAAGGGAGCAAAGAAGATTCTGACTCCTCACCTCAGTTAGAAGAGACTATGGAGGAATGAGTGATAAGGGAACTAGTATCCTCACAGAAAGGGTAAAACTGAAGAGTGTTTCCTCAAGACCACACCTCACCCCCCAGAAAAATAGCTACAGGAAGGAAGAGGGAAAAGGAGGGTAAGAATGTGCTAGGACAGGAACGAGGCTATGTCCAGGACACTGGATCCAAGCAATACATTTCAATTAAACACAGTGTGACAAATTATGTAGTTGGCTAACTCAAGATCTATTTCAACCACTCCCTTGCCTTTCTATACTACAGGGGCTGAAAAGCAAAGCACACAACTCTCAACTTTCTTTGCTGCTAAGGGTGGCAGTGAGACAAAGTCCTGGCCACTGAGATGTAGGCAGAAGTATCAAAGGAGACCTTCCCTTCCTTCTTCCCTTGGAGAAGTTTGTGTCCTTCACTTTTCCCCTGCTTCATGCTTGGAACTGGGTAACACCTGGGAGCACAGCAGCCTAGAGGCCATGAGGAGGGCTGTGCTGAGGAAGGTGGAGCAGAAAGACAGGAGCCTGTTTGTTTAAGTCATACTCAAGCAGCTACACAAACCCTGTACTACCTTCCTGTCTTATCGGGATGAGGGATCTTATATATACCAGAGTTTGTTGAGTTTTATGTTACTTGCAACCAGATGCATTCTAACACAATTAATACTGAACCCCTGTAACAGACAAGGGAGGGGTGACTAACTGGAAGAACAACGGGTGATGGGAATTGGAAAAGTGACAGGCACAGAGGATGGGAAAGCTGTCCCAAAGCCCTTGGGGAGATGATGAAAATACAGCTATCACCCTTCTAGTGGTTTCAATTCATTCCTGAAATTCTGCTTCTAAGTGGAAAGCTGTTAAATTTTTCCCATTAATTAAAATGGGCAAAATTGTGTTCAATTCCAGCCTAAGGCACCTAAATATTTTTAACAGAAAAAATATATTGATGCAACAGAAAATTATACAAACAAATAATTTTGCTTAAAATATGGTTTTTACATAACATGTAAGGCAGTAAGACTTACTGCTCTGGACAGAAAGACAAGATTTAATATTAGGTGCAAGTTGGTGGAGGAGAGATGCAAGTGAGTGGTTCTCTAAATGATGGTTTGTTTTTTTAAGACACAGGGCCTCGCTATGTTGCCCAGGCTGGCTTCAAACTCCCAGGCCCAAGCGATCCACCTGCCTCAGCCTCCCAAGTAGCTGGAACTAAAGGCACACATCACTGTGCCTGGCATAAAAGATATGTTTTTTCTGCACTCTTTGCTAATTTTTTAAAACTTTTGAAGTCTTCACTTAAACAAACATAAAAATAAAACACACATACGCACATATACCTTGAGGGAAAATTAAAGACTAAACATTAGAACACTTTGAAACATTTGAGAAAAGCACACATGTACAATAAACTTAAGAGACACATGAGATGCTACACATAGTAAAACATTTTGGATCTCCAAACATAGTGCACAATTCAAATTTGTTCCACGGCATGATCTCTAACTAGAAACATCGACTAAACTGGGGAATGTCTTCATCTGAACTGTAATGTCAAAATATCATTGTGTATAGTGTGTTTGGAAAGGCACAGAATTGGAAAAAAGAGGAGCAGCGGTATAAGCTTTTGTGACAGACTTTTTTCCAAAGATCACTACACCAGTCTTTTTTGTTTTATTTACCCTGAAAGCATCATTCTGGGAGATGCCATACCAATCTATATGATCCATCCCATGGTTCTCCTTATGATGTAACCGACACTCCTCCCACTGAGAAGTGGGATTGATGTTCCTTCTCCTTGAGTCTGGCTGCGTCTGTGACCATTCTAACCAATAGGGCAAAAGTGATGCTATGTGATTTCTGGGGCTAGGTCATAAAGAAGACACAGCTTCTACCTGGCTTGCTCCCTATCACAATGCTCACTCTGGGACCCCAGCCACCATGTTGGGAGGAAGCCCAAGCCACATAAGGAAAACATGAAGAGGTGTTCCAGCTACCAGCCCTAGCTAAGTTTCTGGTGACAGTCAGCATCAATAGCCAGACATATGAGTGAGGAAGCCTTCAGATGATTCCAGCCCCCAGGCTTCAAGCCTCCACCCCAACCTGACACCAAGCTGAGCAGGGACAAACTAACCCTATTGAGAGCAGCCCATAAGAGATGTGGATCCATGAAAAATATTGAGCAGTCCATATAGCAGATTCATGAGTAAAATAAACATTGTCATTTACCCCAACCACTAAGTTTTGGGTTAAATTGTATACAGTCGCAGTAATTGGAACACTTTTCAAGAACCATAATTGAGAAAAGTTTGTAAATGAACAGCTGTATGTGAGATACGTCTGTGGCCATTTTTTTCTTGTTTTATTTTTCCTTCTTTTTTAATTGTGCAGTACCAGCTTGGGGTAGAAATAGTTGGTCAGACCCATTGCTGTTTTCCTGAACCTAAAACAATACTGGCATGGTGTTAAGTGCTCAATGAACATGTGTTGGATGGATGGATGGATGGATGGATGGATGGATGGATGGATGGATGAGGGGACGGATAGAAACTTCATTGGCTCAGTGCTGAACCCACCTTCTTGCTCCTACTGTTAATTCTTAGTGGATAGTATCCAGTGGTTGATGGTAGTAACACCATTAGATTCAGGCAAGTGAGGCCCCTTGTGCCAGACTCTGTGCCTTAAGAGGGTCCTGCACTTTGGACTGTATTCCTCAAAAGTTTGTAAGTGCCCTTCTGGGGCTAGCAATGCCATTTAGGAAGGGTGTCTCTGTCTAGACCAGATCCCATGTGACTCTTGTTGACCACAATTTTCTACCTTGAAATTTTCTAAGTCTCTCTCCAGTGGCTGGGACTAGCTAGGGTGAGTGGTGCCATCTAGGTAGGGCAACCGAGCTCCAGACCAAGTCCTTTCCCTGTGGGTCCCATTTGCTGTTTCTCCTCTTCAGGGTGCTCTCCAACCCTCTCTCTTACCCCTACCCATCTCTCACACATATGTAGGGTCAACCAGATGCCCTGAGAAGCTCCAGAATTCATGTTTATGGAGTCGTCATGGCCAGATCTGGTTCTGAGAGCAGCCTTGCAAGCAGCTCACTCCTGCTGCCTGGTGTAGAATTTCTTTCACTAGATTATATGAGATTAGGCTGTCAGAAATGCTGCTGACATGCTTTCACTCACTTGGACACAGCACGAGTTCAAGGATCTGGGCTCTGCAAATGCTTGTGCTTGAGCTGCCTGAGTGGATATATGCCTTGGCTTATACCTCTGTCTTCAGACCAGAGTACCACCTCTGGCTTATTGCAGCCAGGGTGATCTTGGGGAGGGGGATACGTGTGGCAGGCATCCTTTACCTGTGCACCCCTTCCCCAGCTGACTCCAGGGCAGTCACCTCACCACTTTGGCAGACTCCGGATCAGCTGTCAGTCTGTCCTCCAGGATTGGCCATGCCTATGTCCTCTGTCTTAGTCTGCTCAGGTTGCTATAACAAAATACTACAGCCTGGGTACCACAGTCTAAACAACAGATGTTTATTTCCCACAGCTCTGGAGGCTGGGAGGTCCAAGATCAAGGTGCTGGCCTATTTGGTTCCTGGTGAGGGCCCTCTTCCCCACTTGCCTTCTTGCTATGTCCTCACATGTTGGAGAGAGGAAGCTTTGGTGTCTCTTCTGCTTTTTATAAAGGCATTAAACCCGGCTGGGCACAGTGGCTCACGCCTGTAATCCCAGTACTTTGGGAGGCCCAGGCGGGCAGATCATTTGAGGTCAGGAGTCCGAGACCAGCCTGGCCAACAGGCAAAACCCTGTCTCTATTAAAAATACAAAAATTAGGCCGGGAGCGGTGGCTCACACTTGTAATCCCAGCACTTTGGGAGGCCGAGGCGGGCGGATGACGAGATCAGGAGATGGAGACCATCCTGGCTGACACAGTGAAACCCCATCTCTATTAAAAAATACAAAAAAATTAGCTGGGCGTGGTGGTGGATGCCTGTAGTCCAAGCTACTCGGGAGGCTGGGGCAGGAGAATGACGTGAACCCAGGAGGCGGAGCTTGCAGTGAGCCGAGATCGCGCTACTGCACTCCAGCCTGGGCGACAGAGCGAGACTCTGTCTCAAAAAACAAAAAAACAAAACAAAAATTAGCCAGGCATGGGGGCGCATGCCTGTAATCCCAGCTACTCGGGAGGCTGAGACAGGAGAATCGCTTGAACCTGGGAGGCGGAGGTTGCAGTGAGCGGAGATTGTGCCACTACACTCCAGCCTGGGCGATAGAGGTAGCAAGACTCCATCTCAAATAAATAAACAAACAAACAAACAAACAAACAAACCTATCATGGGGGTTCCACCCTCACGACCTTATCTAAACCTAATTACCTCCCAAAGCTCCACCTCCTAATACCATCACATTGGAGGTTAGGGCTTCGGCATATGAATTTGGGGCCGGGAGGTGGGGGGAACACATATTCAGTCCATAACATCCACCAAGGATTTTTGAGATGTTGCTCCCCAACACCAACATACACCTCCTATTGATGTACTTTCACACCTCCAGTTGAGACATTATTCTCTCACCGGTTTTAAGCCATGGAGAATAAGAGATGGAAGTATCCTGCTTAAATGAGCTTGCTCTTCTCACTCTGCTCACAGGCCTCTTGCTGTGCTCCCTGCTAATGGTGGCATGTGGAAGGCAGGGGTGCAGTCATCATTGAAAGCAACCACATTATAGGAATGCAGCGATTTGGGCCTCAAGAGGTCAAGATACAGTTGTAAGAGGCGTTGTCCTACATTGAAGAAAAAAATTCCCAGTGGTAAATTTAACATGACCAGAAAATAAATTATCATGCACATTTTCCTGCATACTCTTGGCAACATTTATATTTGTAGTTCTCATCAGTAAGGCACAGTAACTATCTTTGAGAACAAGTCAGCCACCCATAGATGATATAGCATCGTACATAATGATATATCCAGCATTAAATAAATGTATTAGGGAACTGCAAAAGCAAGATCTTCAATAGTAACAGGTTCCAAACAATGTACCATTTTTTGTGATGAGAATATAAGAGTAAGCAGGAATGGCACATTTTACATTAAATAAACAAACAGAAAAAAGATGAAGAGATGGTTCCTGGACTAGAACAGAAAGAGACAGGGGCCACGCCAAAAATCTTGGTCCTGGGCCTTGCACACTCCAGGACTGCCTTGGCTGGTGTCCTGCGCTTCCCCCTATAGTCTCCTCAAGCTCCTTTGAGCCCACTTCCTCCACTCTTGAGAACACTATTTTCCAAGTAGTCCTGATTGTCAGCCTGAGCCCTCACTGGGCCCTCACTTGTACCCCAGAACACCCCCTCCAGTAGAAAAGGCCCAATTTACACACACACTTCTCCTTCTTGGAGGGAGCATACCTGCTGTTTTATTTTTAATGCCAGAAAATACATTTAGGGACCAAAAAATAACGGCAAGCCACTGATAATGGATTGTTTTCTGAATACTGTGTGCAAAGGCTGCCATACATGTTTATTTTGAGAGCTCAGCATGCCATCCTGTTTGCTGGAATCCCTCATTAGGTAGGCCAGTGTCACAGATGGGAAAGTCAACCTGGATAAGCAAAATACCCGCAGTGCCTCATCCAACAGCCAAAACCCAGTGGAATTCCACAATAACTGGCCATTTGGGGCAAGATAAGGAAAAGACTCAGGCTTTTAGCCAGAATGTGTTGGTGACAGAAACCTAACTTATGCTAAAAAGAAATAAATAAAGAGTAATATTGATTGGAAAGCTTACATAATCAAATGAGGGGGAGGGCAGAGATCAAGTCAGACTTGCAAGACAACACCAGGAACTGGAATTCCATTGAGACTCCCCGTCCTGTTTCTCTGCCTCTCTCCATCTATGGACTTCTAATTTTACACTCACTCAGCTTTCTTGCATATGTGAGGAATGCATCCCAGGTTTACCTTAGAACAAATCTCCATCCATCTTCCACTGAGGGTAGGCAGAACTGCCACCCCTGCACAACTGCCACATATGGCTGTGCAGGTTGTGTACTGCACAACTCATGGGAGCACCACTCACCTATGGTTGAGAAGTAGAAATGCTAGGGATGCTTGGCTGAGCCAATGCCACTGAAAACGCTTAATTTAAAGGAAAGAAAATGATAGGTTTTCCTAGAACCAAAGATAGTCCTTGGTGAGCCCATTCCAAGAGAGTTCAAGGAATCCCACCCTGGCCCATAATGATTGGCCTCCCTAGTCAAGCTTTCAGGGAATAATGCAAAGGCATTGGCTCTGCAAAGCTTTATATCCCCAGGCTGAACTCACATCAAGCAGAAGACAGTTAAAACTGAGACAGCAGAGCCCATACAGGGCCTATTAGAGATGAAGAGAGGTTTACAAGGTAAATGGGGCCTTCTGAAAAAGGTAGCACACATGGCAACACCTATGACACAGGACCCGACAAACCTTAAAGTTACTTAGATATTTGCCAGGGAAAATGGTCATAATTATATTCCTGTGTGATTTGTTTCACTATAGAAAAGCTGTCTGACCCAGGCACGGTGGCTCACGCCTGTAATCCCAGCACTTTGGGAGGCCGAGGCAGGCAGATCGCTTGAGGCCAGGAGTTTGAGACCAGCCTGGCCAACATGGTGAAACCCCGTCTCTACTAAAAATACAAAAATTAGTTGGGCATGGTGGCAACTGGCTGTAATCCCAGCTACTCGGGAGGCTGAGGCATGAGAATCACTTGAACCAGGGAGGTAGAGGTTGCAGTGAGCTGAGGTCACACCACTGCACTCCAGCCTGGGCGACAGAGCGAGACTCTCTCTCAAAGAAAAAAAAAAAAGAAAAGAAAAGAAAAAGAAAAGCTGTCTGTCTTGGATTTGGCAGGGACAGTATTTTTTCTTTTTTGAGACAGGGTTTCACTCTGTCACCCAGACTGGAGTGCAGCGGTGCAGTCTTGGCTCACTGCAATCTGAACCTCCCGGGCTCAAGCAATCCTCCCACCTCAGCCTCCCAAGTAGCTGCAAATACAGGTATAGGCACCACAATGCCCGGCTTTTTTTTTTTTTTTTTTTTTTTGGAGACAGAGTCTTGCTCTGTTGCCCAGGCTGGAGTGCAGTGGTGTGATTTTGGCTGACTGAAACTTTCGCCTCCTGGGTTCAAGCTATTCTCCTGCCTCAGCTTCCTGAGTAGCTGGAATTACAGGTGTGTGCCACCATGTCCGGCTAATGTTTTGTATTTTTAGTAGAGATGGGGTTTCACCATGCTGGCCAGGCTGGTCTCGAACTGCTGACCTCGTGATCTGCCCACCTCAGCCTCCCAAAGTGCTGGGATTACAGGTGTGAGCCACTGTGCCTGGCCTTTTTGTATTTTTTTTAGAGATGGGATCTCAGTATGTTGCTTAGCTGGTCTTGAACTCCTGAGCTCAAGCCATCAGCCTGCCTTGGCCTCCCAAAGTGCTGGGATTACAGGTGTGCACCACCACACACAGCCAGTATATATATATATATATATGTGTGTGTATATATATATATGTGTATATATATATGTATATATATACGTGTATATATATATGTATATATATATGTATATATATATGTATATATATATGTATATATATATGTGTATATATATAACAATATATATAACAGTATATATATAACAGTATATATATGTATATGTAACAGTATATATATATAACAGTATATATATAACAGTATATATATATCAGTATATATATAACAGTATATATATCAGTATATATATAACAGTATCTATATAACAGTATATATAAAATATATATATAACAGTATATATATAAAATATATATATAACAGTATATATATAAAAATATATATAACAGTATATATATAAAAAAATATATATAACAGTATATATATAAAAATATATATATAACAGTATATATATATAAAATATACATATAACAGTATATATATAAAATATACATATGACAGTATATATATAAAATATACATATGACAGTATATATATAAAATATATATATGACAGTATATATATATAAAATATATATATGACAGTATATATATATAAAATATATATATGACAGTATATATATAAAATATATATATGACAGTATATATATAAAATATATATATGACAGTATATATATAAAATATATATATGACAGTATATATATAAAATATATATGACAGTATATATATATAAAATATATATATGACAGTATATATATATATAAAATATATATATGACAGTATATATATATAAAATATATATATGACAGTATATATATAAAATATATATATGACAGTATATATATATAAAATATATATAACAGTATATATATATGAAATATATATATATAACAGTATACATATAAAATATATATATAACAGTATACATATAATATATATATAACAGTATACATATAAAAAATATAAATATATAACAGTATACATATATAAAATATATATATATAACAGTATATATATATAAAATATATATATAACAGTATATATGTAAAATATATATATAACAGTATATATATAATATATAACAGTATATATAAAAAATATATATAACAGTATATATATAAAAAATATATAACAGTACATATAATATATATAACAGTATATATATAAAACATTATATATATGAAACAGTATATATATGTAAAACAGTATATATATATATAAGACAGTATATATATATGAAAAACAGTATATATATATACATATATATATATATATATACTGCCCAGCCCATTTATTCCTGATACTGATGTGCTGGTATTTTTATATATATATATATTTATATATATTTATATATATAAATATATATATTTATATATAATATTTTATATATAATATATTTATATATAATATATTATATATAAATATATTTATATATAATATATTATATATAAATATATATAAATATATATTTATATATATATTTGTATATATAAAATATATATATATTTATATATATATAAATGTTAAAACCCTTGCCCCAAACAAAACAGGCTGGGTGCAGTGGCTCACGCCTGTAATCCCAACACTTTGGGAGGCCGAAGTGAGTCTAACACTTGAGCCCAGGAATTCAAGATCAGCCTAGGTAACATGGTGAAACCCTTGGCTGGGCATGGTGGCATGTGCCTGTGATCCCAGCTACTTGGGAGGCTGAAGCGGGAGGATTGCTGAGTGGAGGTTGAGGCTGCAGTGAGTTGTGATTGCACCACAGCACTCCAGCCTCGGCGACAGAGGAGACTCTGTCTCAAAATCAGCCAACCAAAGAAAGAAAAAAAAAAAGCTCCCCTCTCCCTCTCCCCTCTTTCCACGGTCTCCCTCTCCCTCTCCCTCTCCCCTCTTTCCACGGTCTCCCTCTCCCTCTCCCCTCTCCCCACGGTCTCCCTCTCCCTCTCTTTCCACGGTCTCCCTCTGATGCCAAGCCGAAGCTGGACTGTACTGCTGCCATCTCGGCTCACTGCAACCTCCCTGCCTGATTCTCCTGCCTCAGCCTGCCGAGTGCCTGCGATTGCAGGCGCGCGCCGCCACGCCTGCGTGGTTTTCGTATTTTTTTGGTGGAGACGGGGTTTCGCTGTGTTGGCCGGGCTGGTCTCCAGCTCCTAACCGCGAGTGATCCGCCAGCCTCGGCCTCCCGAGGTGCCGGGATTGCAGACGGAGTCTCGTTAACTCAGTGCTCAATGGTGCCCAGGCTGGAGTGCAGTGGCGTGATCTCGGCTCGCTACAACCTCCACTTCCCAGCCGCCTGCCTTGGCCCCCCAAAGTGCCGAGATTGCAGCCTCTGCCTGGCCGCTACCCCGTCTGGGAAGTGAGGAGTGTCTCTGCCTGGCCGCCCATCGTCTGGGATGTGAGGAGCCCCTCTGCCTGGCTGCCCAGTCTGGAAAGTGAGGAGCGTCTCTGCCCGGCCGCCATCACACCTAGGAAGTGAGGAGCGCCTCTTCCCGGCCGCCATCCCATCTAGGAAGTGAGGAGTGTCTCTGCCCGGCCACCCATCGTCTGAGATGTGGGGAGCACCTCTGCCCCGCTGCCCCGTCTGGGATGTGAGGAGCGCCTCGGCCCGGCCGCGACCCTGTCCGGGAGGTGAGGAGCGTCTCTGCCCGGCTGCCCTGTCTGAGAAGTGAGGAGACCCTCCGCCTGGCAACCGCCCCGTCTGAGAAGTGAGGAGCCCCTCCGCCCTGCTGCCACCCCGTCTGGGAAGGGAGGAGCGTCTCCGCCCGGCAGCCACCCTGTCCGGGAGGGAGGTGGGGGTCAGCCCCCGCCAGGCCAGCTGCCCAGTCCGGGAGGGAGGTGGGGGGTCAGCCCCCCGCCCGGCCAGCCGCCCCGTCTGGGAGGAGAGGGGCGCCTCTGCCCGGCCGCCCCTACTGGGAAGTGAGGAGCCCCTCTGCCCGGCCAGCCGCCCCGTCCGGGAGGGAGGTGGGGGAGTCAGCCCCCCGCCCGGCCAGCCGCCCCGTCCGGGAGGGAGGTGGGGGGGTCAGCCCCCCGCCCGGCCAGCCGCCCCGTCCGGGAGGGAGGTGGGGGGGTCAGCTCCCCGCCCCGTCCGGGAGGGAGGTGGGGGGGTCAGCCCCCCGCCAGGCGAGCCGCCCCGTCTGGGAGGGAGGTGGGGGGGTCAGCCCCCCGCCCGGCCAGCCGCCCCGTCTGGGAGAGAGGTGGGGGGTCAGCCCCCTGCCCGGCCAGCCGCCCCGTCCGGGAGGTGAGGGGCACCTCTGCCCGGCCGCCCCTACTGGGAAGTGAGGAGCCCCTCTGCCCGGCCACCACCCCGTCTGGGAGGTGTACCCAACAGCTCATTGAGAACGGGCCATGATGACAATGGCGGTTTTGTGGAATAGAAAAGGGGGAAAGGTGGGGAAAAGATTGAGAAATCGGATGGTTGCTGTGTCTGTGTAGAAAGAAGTAGACATGGGAGACTTTTCATTTTGTTCTGTACTAAGAAAAATTCTTCTGCCTTGGGATCCTGTTGATCTATGACCTTACCCCCAACCCTGTGCTCTCTGAAACATGTGCTGTGTCCACTCAGGGTTAAATGGATTAAGGGCGGTGCAAGATGTGCTTTGTTAAACAGATGCTTGAAGGCAGCATGCTGGTTAAGAGTCATCACCACTCCCTAATCTCAAGTACCCAGGGACACAAACACTCTGCCTAGGAAAACCAGAGACCTTTGTTCACTTGTTTATCTGCTGACCTTCCCTCCACTATTGTCCTATGACCCTGCCAAATCCCCCTCTGCGAGAAACACCCAAGAATGATCAATTAAAAAAAAAAAAAAAGAAAAACAAAACACAGTCTCTCTAGCAGATCTAAATAAAACATGACTTAAAACCTGATTTCCTTCAGCACCTCCAATGGAAATGGAACATATTTCACAAAGGTAAGGTGGGAAAAGATCTCATTCCTTTTCTTTGTGGAATAAAATATAATCTGTTCTGTGTCTGCATTGTACTGCACTAGTGGCTCATTCAATCTCAGTAGTTACTGGGGCTCTGATTCCCTCGGAGTGCTGCAAAAATCCTGGAGAAATGCCAAAGACACCAGGGAGAACTCTCTGAACTTCCGTCTAACCTGTGTAATGAGTCACACACTCCCTTACTGGTGGGAAGTTCTTTCCCAATGAAAGCATTTGAGGCTATAAATTTCTCCTATGTACTGTTTTAGCTATACATCATACAAGTTTTGATAATACAGTATTTTCATTACCCTTCAGGTCTGAGTATTTTTAACATTTGTTTTGTTTTTATTTAGACTTTACATTGTAGTGACATATTGCAGTCGTCATCTTTCCTTTTTTTTTTTTTTTTTTTTGAGATAGAGTCTTGCTCTGTTGCCCAGGCTAGAGTGCAGTGGCAAGATCTCAGCTTACTGCAACCTTCATCTCCCGGGTTCAAGTGATTCTCCCGCCTCAGCCTCCTGAGGAGCTGGGACTACAGGCACGCGCCACCATGCCTGGAAGATTTTTATAATTTTAGTAGAGACAGGGTTTTACCATGTTGGCCAGGCTGGTCTCAAACTCCTGACCTCAGGTGATCCACCCGACTCAGCCTCCCAAAGTGCTGGCATTAAAGGCGTGAGCCACCACGCCCAGCCCATTTATTCCTGATACTGATGTGCTGGTATTAATATTTGAGACTTGCTTTGCAGCATCAAAGTTACCACATTCTATGCTGTAGATGATATTTGTAAATATTGTAAATATGCAAACAATATTAATACATACCCCAAAGGTGCTTGAGAAAAATATATACATTCTCTCAGTGTGGGTAAAGATTTCTAAATATATATTTTTAAAATATCTATTAAAATCAAACCTATGTTCCAAATATTACGGTACGAAAAGGGAAAAATAAGAATTTCACAGCAAAGAAGTCTGGCAGTCACCACCTTAACCAAGTGATCAAGGTTAATGTCACTGATCATGAGTCACATTGATATAATGTACCCCCCATATGATGTGATGAGAAGGGCATTTCACCTCTGGAGTATTCTTCCCAGAAACCCGTAGCCTCCAGTCTAATCATGAGAAAATGTTAGGAACACCTAAATTGAGGGCCGGGTGTAGTGGCTCATGCCTGTAATCCCAGCACTTTGGAAGGCCAAGGTGGGAAGATCCCTGAGGCCAGGAGTATGAGACCAGCCTGGCCAACATGGTGAAACCCCGTCTCTATTAAAAATACAAAAATTAGGCCGGGTGAGGTGGCTCACACCTGCAGTCTTAGCACTTGGGAGGCCGAGGCGGGTGGATCACCTGAGGTCAGGAGTTCAAGACCAACCTGGCCAACATGTGAAGGCCCATCTTTACCAAAAATACAAAAATTAGCCAGGTATGGTGGCGCACGTCTGTAATCCCAGCTACCCAGGGGGCTGAGACAGGAGAATCACTGGAACTCAGGAGGCAGAGGCTGCAGTGAGCTGAGATCCCGCCACTGCACTCCAGTCTGCATGACAGAGGGAGACTCCATCTCAAAAAAACAAAACAAAATACAAAAATTAGCCGGGCATGGTGGCACGCACCTGTAGTCTCAGCTACTCGGCAGGCTAAAGCATGAGTATCGTTTGAACCTGAGAAATGGAGGCTGCAGTGAACTGAGATTGTGCCACTGCACACCAGTCTGGGCAACAGAGCAAGACTCCATCTCAAAAAAAAGAAAAAGAAAAAGAAAAATCCAAATTGAGAGACATTCTACAAAATATCTTACCAACACTTTAAAACTGTCAAGGTCATGAAAAACAAAGGAAGACTGAGAAACCATTCCAGATGGAGGAGATTAAGGATACATAACTAAATGTAATGTGCTATTCTGCATGGCAGAGAAAATGGACATCAATGGGAAAACTGGCGAAATCCAGATAGAGTCTGTGGTTCAGTTAATGGTAATGTATCAGTGTTAATTCCTTAATTTTGACAAATGTGTCATGGTTACATAAGATGCTAATATTAGGGGAAGCTGGGTGAAGGGCATATGGGAACTCTATGTACCAGGTTTTAAATTTTTCTGTAAATCTGAAGTTATTCCAAAATAAAAGTTTTATGTAAAAAAAAAATAGCTGCTCATGGCAGGGCGTGGTGGCTCATGCCTGTAATCTCAGCACTTTGGGAGGCCAAGACTAGCGGATCACGAGTTCGGGAGTTTGAGACCACTCTGGTGAAACATGGCGAAACCCCGTCTCTACTAAAAATACAAAAATTAGCCAGGTGTGGTGGTGCACGCCTGTAATCTCAGCTACTCGGGAGGCTGAGGCAGGAGAATAGCTTGAACCCGGGAAGTGGAGGTTGCAGTGAGTGGAGATTGCACCACTGCAATCCAGCCTGGGTAACAGAGCAAGACTCCGTCTTAAAAAAACAAACATCAATCTGTTTAATCTTCACCACATCCCTCTATAGGAGGTCACTGAGGCGCACAGAGTTTAAAACTTGTCATCAAAGTCACCCAGTTAAGTTGGACCAGATCTGTGACTCCAAAGCCAGTGCTCACACCACTCCGGGCTGCATGCCAGCCACACCAACCACCGTTGAGCTCCTCCCTGCATCCTCCACGCAGCTTTTGGATGTGGACCACTCTCCTCCTTTGCTCAGTTAAGTCTACTTCCCTGACTCCCAAGAGGTCAGGTGCCCTATTTACTCTTGCAGCACCTTTCCCTCTTCCTCTGTAGAATTTCTCAGAGTTTTTAACAATTTATGCATCTTGTTTATCTTGATGAAATTATGAGCTAACAAATGTCTGTTTTCACTGGCGTGCATTCACAGTGCTTAGCACAGAGGCCAGCACTTAGTAAACAGGTAGTGACTGACTGAATAACAAACGCTGGGTACACTAAAGTTAACTCCAGTAGGATCTGTGTTAGAGAAGCACACCCAGGACTCGGTGTCTTGCCTCCAGAAGGCTCTGGAACATGAGGCAGGATTCCATCAGGCATGCCTGATATATACCTCGCCCTGCTCTGCCAAGATGGAGGAGAGGGGATACCAGAGAATGGGGGATCCAAGCTGGAGCAGCTTCATTAAGCCCCCACAAGATGCAGCAGCCTTCCTGTAAAGGAGGCATCCTTGAACCCCTTATTGTCTAAATCTATGATGTCCAGTAAGATAGCTACTCGCCATATGTGGCTACTGAGCACTCTAAATGTGGCTAGTCTAAACTGAGATGTGCTGTATGTATAAAATATATACCAGATTTCAAAGATTTCATTTGGGGAAAAATCTTATTAATAACTTTTAATATTGGCTGGGCAAGGTAGCTCATGCCTGTAGTCTCAGCACTTTGGGAGGCCAAGGCGGGTGGATCATTTGAGGCCAGGAGTTCGAGACCCGCCTGGCAAACATGGCAAAACCCCATCTCTACTAAAAATACAGAAATTAGGGTAAGGTGGCACATGCCTGTAATACCAGCTACTTGGGAAACTGAGGTGGAAGGATCACTTGAACCCAGGAGGCAGAGGTTGCAGTGAGCCAAGATCACACCACTGCACTCCAGCCTGGGTGACAGAGCGAGACTCTGTCTCAAAATAATAATAATGATAATTTTTAATATTAATTACGTGTTGAAATAACAACATTCTTTGATGTAATGGGCTAAATAAAATATATAAATATTACCAAAATTTATTTCACCTGCTTTTTATTTAATGAGGTTACTATGAAATTTTATATATGTGGCTCACATTATTTTTTTAACTGGACAGCATTGTCCTATACTATAAACTCCTTCATTTGCTTTGTTCAGACCCAAATGCCCATCTGAGAGCAAGGCCCAGCACATAGTGATTGTTCCATAAGTATCTGGAGTGTGAATTCATATAACTTATCATCTATACACGTTTATGCGATCCTCTTGAGGGCAACAACTTTCTTGTTCATCATGGTATCTCTATTCCCAGCACAGTGCCTAATAAATATCTTTTGGATGGACAAATGAACCTTCATTCTGTCCAGTTCTTCATTCTCCTGGCTCAATTCTGCCGTGGAATCTCCCACCCACTGTGTCACAGGGACTCTGGTGCCAGGCAACAGTTTCCTGGTAGGATCGTGGCTCTTCTTGATGCTAATCCTGGTTATTGGGCCACATTGGTGATACCCTTCTCAAGTTTCCTCAAGTTCTGTGGGTCTTGGATGACTCTTGCTTCAGACACAACAGTAGTGGGAAGGACACTTGATATTTTGGTGTTGGCTAAAACATGGCTATTGTCCCTGTACATGTCAGGTTCATAAGTTCAATCTGCAAAACCACTGATTTAGATGAAGACTATTTCAGCAACTCTAAATAATAGGCAATAATTTGAAGCAGATGGAACAAATAGTAAAATATCCTAATTTCCAGTATTCCAGTACAAACAAGCATCTGATAAGCTTGGTATGCTTATGCTATTTATGAAATCAGTCAGCCTGAAACATTTTTCACTATTTAATACAGCAGGAAATGGAAAACTAGCTGAGCCACTCATTAGGTGTGAGACAGGTCTCTTCCATTTCTTTGAGCCTTGGTTTCCTTATTTGTAAAATGGAAAATAATTAAATCTACCTCACTGGGTTGTTGTGAAGATTAAGTGAGGTAATTATACATACAGGCTTAATACAGTGCGTGGGACTTAACAGAATTTCAATCAATGGTAGCAGTGACTAACACCAACCCCGCTGGGATGTCTGCAAATTAGCAAACAAGAAAGAAGAAAGTATTTGTGGTGCCTTAGCAGATGAGCCTGTCATAATGACATTTTATATTTGTTCTTCATTTTAACTATCAACAAGCTATATGTGCTCATCAAATAAAAACAGCAGACATTTATCAAGCACTCCGTGCAAGGCAGTTACTATGTTACGCATTTAACATGCATCATCTTCATCATTGCTATTTGGGGTAAGTGCTATGTTGATGGTCAAATTAGACAGCCAGAAGCTGAGGGTCAGGGAGGCAAAATAATGTGCTCCAGGCCCCATAGCAATTAAGTGACAGCATCAGGTTTTCGTGTGTTTTTGTTTGTTTGTTTGAGACAGGGTCTCACTGTATTGCCCAGGTTGGTCTCAAACTCCTGGACTCAAGTGATCCTTCCACCTCAGCCTCCTGGGTAGCTGGGATTCCAAGTACGAGCCACCTTGCCCAGCCACATCAGATTCTTAGTGACTTCACCAGGCCCACCTATTATCAGTCGTACCCACAGAGGCAGAGGGGCCTGCATGAGTCATTTCTGGCGCACACTATCAAGGCATCTGCTGGTATCATTCCTCATCCCTAAATGTTGACTGAGCACCTTCCACCCGTCAGGCATTATGTTGGTATGCTTTTTGACTATAATGAGAAAAGATTCATTTTGCTCCCTTTAGTAATGGAAGTAGTGAATGTAAGGGCTCTCAAAAAAAAAAAAAAAAAAAAAGAGGCCATGTGTGGTGGCTCATGCCTGTAACACCACCACTTTGGGAGGCCAATTTGGGAGGATCACTTGAGACCAGGATTTCGAGACCAGCCAGGGAAACAATGTAAAACCCCATCTCTACAAAAAAATACAAAAACTAGCCCAGCCTGATGGCGCACACCTGTAGTACCAGTTACTCATGAGGCTGAGGCAGGAGGATTGCTTGAGCCCAAGAAGTTGAAGCTGTAGTGAGTCCAGATTGCACCACTGCACTCCAGACTGGGCGACAGAGTAAAACCCTGTCTTAAAATAAATAAATAATTAAAAACAGGCTGGGCATGGTGACTCACGCCTGTCATCCCAACACTTTGGGAGGCCGAGGCAGGAGAATCACTTGAAGTCAGGAGTTTGAGACCAGCCTGGCCAACGTGACGGGGGTTTAGTAGAAACCTCGTCTCTACTAAAATTACAAAAATTAGCTGGGTGTGGTGGTGCACACCTGTAATCCCAGCTACTCGGGAGGCTGAGGCAGAAGAATCACTTGAACCTAGGAGGCAAAGGTTGCAGTGAGCCAAGATCACACCACTGCACTCCAGCCTAGGTGACAGAGCAAGACTGTCTCAAAAAATAAACTAAAAAATTTTTTAAAAAAACGAAAAGGAATCTTGGTCACATAGCCATGCCTTATAAAAATTCAGAAAAAACTGAATCCCCAGGCCTCATGGCAAATCAGAATACTGCTCACAGTCATGCCTGGAGGAGCACGAACGTGGTTTGGAAACTGAAATTTCATTCTCCACCTGTGAGTTCTAGAAACTTGCAACAGGAGCTCAATGTTCTATGCTCCTAGGCTGCTGTTAAGACTTAATTACTCTGTCTCTTCCTGTTTCTGCAACCAATTACTCAGTCTCTTGACATGCAGAACTCTCCCAGCAGAAACACTGCAGGGCTCAGTGATCACTGCTATGGGTCCTGGACCAAGGTGATGGGTTAGGCCTATCAAGGCTGTCCTTGGGTGACTGAGCTTCCCTAGACCACTGAGCTATGGTTGGAGGTGAGGGGGATGGGGAGCTGACAGGTGCAGAGCTTGGCCTCTAGACACACCCATCCAGGTGCTGACCAGTTAATCCTGGCTTGATTCAGCTGCACCTTCACAACATGGTGAAACGTTCATAATCAGAAGCAGCACTGCAGTGGCCTCAGATGCCTGTTGTCTCCCCACTTCACTGAACCTGGTATCCAAAGGAAAAGCTTCCTTTTTTTTTTTTTTTGAGACAGAGTCTCGCTCTGTTGCCCAGGCTGGAGTGCAGTGGGGCGATCTCGGCTCACTGCAAGCTCCGCCTCCCGGGTTCACGCCATTCTCCCGCCTCAGCCTCCTGAGTAGCTGGGACTACAGGCGCCCACCACCACGCCCAGCTAATTTTTTGTATTTTTAGTAGAGATGGGGTTTCACCGTGTTAGCTAGGATGGTCTCGATCTCCTGACCTCGTGATCCGCCCGCCTTAGCCTCCCAAAGTGCTGGGATTACAAGCGTGAGCCACCACGCTCGGCCAGGAAAAAGCTTCCTATTGTCCATGGTCCATGCAGTGATGGCGGCTTAAACAGCCTGCAGTGAACGCCCAGCAGTGAGAGCTCCTCACTTTAGTCAAATCTCACCTTCCTGGGGAGGCCGTCGTGTCTACTCAATTTAAAATGCCACTCCCTCTGCTGGTCCCCAAACTTCCTATCTTGTTTCCCTGCTTTATGACTTTTTTTCCTTAACATTTCTCAAGCATTCTACCTATTTTAGTACTTTGTTTTATGATATGTCCTTGTCCTCCAAAATGTAAGTACAAAGCAGGGATTTGCTCTTTTGCCTGTTTTGTTTACCAGTTCCTAGAATTGTGCCTGCACAGAACTGATAATTGATATGAATGGAAGGAGGGGCGGGGAATCCAGTCTGGGTGGAGGTTCCGCCAGCAAAGGCTTCCTGAAGAAAGTGACACAAGCTGAGTCAGCTGAGCTTGAAGCGGAGGATGCATTCCAGGCGCATAGGCCGGGAAAAGAACATGTTCAGGGACCTTAAGCAGAAGGGTGGCTGAGGCCTAGGGTGCTTGTGTGAGAAAAGGGTGGACAGGCAGGCCACAGGCAGAGTGAGGAGGGCCTTGCTGTCTCCTCGGGAGAATGGGAAGTCTAGGCTAGAGGCTGAGGGTAGGGTCGGGCGAGGGTGGCAGAGGGCAGGAGAAGAAAGACCTAAGAGGCTGGGCCAGCGATGAGGACCATTTACAATTGGAAAGGAAGTTCTAGTGATTGAGAGGAGCTATCCTTCATCGAGCACTTCCTATGTGCCAAGTGCTATGCTAAGAGCTTCTAACATATTAGTTCACCAACCTTCACATCCAGCCAGCAACCACTAGGATGCATGAAAATAGGGTGATAAATGAGGGAACCCTCCACAAATCAACCAGTCTGGCTTAGTAAGAAAACTTTTATGCCAGGGGGCCAAGCCACAGTAAGTGATCCTATCTCTATAGCTGACACTCTCTTCCCCCACTGCGTGGCAATCTCACCTCTTCCCTTGTTTTTCAGTACTCCATCATTGTTGCCTCCCATAGAACAAACTAAAAAGGGCGTAAGGGACCCCCAGGTTGCAGGATTGAGGTAGTGGGTCAAGAAGAGCATGAGAGAGAGAGAAAGAGAACGAGAGATTAAAGAAGGGAGTGTAGTGTAGACACTTGTCCTATTAGCTGACAGGAACCTGCTTAGCTATGAGAGGGGTCAGTTTGCTAAGGAAAGACAGGTCTACCAATTCAAGGCACCAACCAGTGTAAAACTTCACTAAAAATAGTGGACTCAGAAAAGGGGAGAATTTTGGCCCCCTTTCTTTGGTGGGGGAAATGTGGTCATTTCTCACTAAAGGACAAAGGCCACAGTTGGATAAAACCGGCTAGAGAGGGGTTGCAGCAGGTGGGGGGATCTTCAAGAGAGCAAACCAGAGGTGTCAGGTGGTTCTTGGGTAGGAATAAGGAGGGGGGCAATGCAGAAATAAGGCCCTCGCCAGAGATGGCTGGCAGAGCGGACTCTTCAGCCAAGAATGTCTCCTGCTGGCAGAGGTCATCAGAGATGCCTGACAGCCTGGTTTCCCTCAACCCTAGTCACAGTTATTTCTTTTTTTTTTTTTTTCTTTTGAGACAGAGTCTCACTCTGTTGCCTAGGCTGGAGTGCAGTGGCGTAATCTTGGCTCACTGCAACCTCCACCTCCCGGGTTCAAATGATTCTCCTGCGTCAGCCTCCTGAGTAGCTGGGAATATAGGTGCCTGCCACCATGCCTAATTTTTGTATTTTTAGTAGAGATGGGGTTTCACCATGTTGGCCAGGCTGGTCTCGAACTCCTGACCTCAAGTGATTCACCCGCCTCAGACTCCCAAAGTGCTGGGATTACAGGCGTGAGCCACCATGCCCGGCTTAGTCACAGTGATTTCTATTTCAACTGAAGGAGTGGGACCAACTGACTCCCAACTTTCTACCATAGCCTTTGGGAGCATTCTTGTGTGAAATTTACCTGAAAAATGAGGACAGAGCAACATATGGAGGTGGTGACACACATACAATGCACACGTAAGCACATCACTGCGATCACTGCTACCAAAGAGAATCCCCAAAGACCAAATCTATCTCATGGTAACAGAAGCCCCAGCGGCTGGCACTGCCTGCCACACCCCCAGAGCTCTCCAAGTGCAGCTATTCCTCATATACTCCACTCTCTCCTCTGCTCAAAACCAACTCCTACATTCACCTGCAATCCACCACCTGAGCTCAGGGCACTCTTGCATTCTTCAAGGACTCCAGCCCCTGCCTCCATCCCTAAGTTATCCCGTCATAGTCTTCTCTCCCAAAGCCTTGGCTCAAATGTTTCCCCTGCCAACTTAATCCTAAGAGTTCCCCTTCTCTCCTAAGCCTGAACCCCCCCACCCCTAGATGCACTTGGGATTATTGTTCAACCCCGGTCCAAATCCCACGTCCCATCTCACATTCCCTAGGTCAAGCCTTGGGTATGTGTCAAGGGGAAAGTCTTAATGAGTGAGAACCAGAAGACCTGCCCTTGTGACCCACTCTCTACACCCAGTCTTGCTGGCACACGGAGATACTGATTAAAAAAAAACCAAACACACAAAAATGAAAGAACAAGCAGCAGGGCATGTTTCAAGATTTATTGAGTGGGTGAGAGGACAATGGTCCATAGCACAGAAAAAGTCAACAGGAACAAATTCTTGGTTTTCAGAAGTCACACCAGGAGGAGGCGGGAGGACACGGAGGATGGCCACTGGATGGCCTGGCCTAGATGGAAGAAAACCTGTCTTCCTGGGCCATGGCACTCTGTGGCACTGGCAGGGCAGAGCCAGCTGAAGGGTCTTCAACTCTGGATCCCAAGTCCCCAGAGCCACAGGGCTTTTCCTCTGCCCACCCACGCTGAGGGAAAAGTCGAATAATGTTGTGCTGAGACAATAGGGGCAAGAAGGTCCAGCCATGAGTCACAGGGTGACATCACTCGTCACTCTTGGTCTGTGATCAACCCCCAAACAATCTAAAAGAGAAGACAAATGAAGCCAGCGACCTGGAATTTCCACCTCGGAAACACAGGCCAACTTAACCTCTTGGCATTCACTTACCATGAGGAGGCCCCTCCAGGGGAGCTGGGACCCCAGGTCATTGTCCTGAGAGGCTCAGTGCCTGCACCTCTTGGGGTTTCCTCTAACAGTTTCCAGACCCAAGGCAGCATCCCTGGAGTGAGGAGGGGCCACAGAGCAGAAGGCTGTAAGTACTTGGTCTCCAGTGTTCTGTCGTCTTTCTTCAAGCTGATGTCAATGGGAATGCCCCCAGTTAATCAATCAGGTATGAGTTGCCAGTTTCTTTCATACCAAACTCATCTCAAAAAGGAATCTCAATGCTCCCAAAGAATATCAAAATAAAAACTTAAGAGTCCAGCAAAACTGTCTTAAGAGTCTTAACAGGCAACTGAGCAGATGTGCAACTGGCAGAAAGACAGCTCAAGAGACCTCTCAGGGCCCCTCCCATAGATGTCCACCTCGCCGTGCTGGGAGCCAAGGATCACCCCAGCAGCCATCCCTCCATGCTGTCATTACTTGCCTACACATCTGTCTCCCTGGTGGGACTAGACACTCTTGCTCATCCCAGACTCAAAGACCTTCTCATGCTGCTACCCCTCCCTGGAATACCTTTCTACTGCCCATCACATCCCAATCCTTGAAAGACCTTCTCATGTTGCTACCCCTCCCTGGAATACCTTTCTACTGCCCATCACATCCCACTCCTTGAAAGACCTGCCCAGGCCCACCACCTCCAAAAGGCTGCTTCTCTTTGAAAATCTTAAGGCAGTGACTGTATGCCACCCATCATCACACTTATTCATTAAAAATAATTCACACAGGCTTTCTCCACCATCTAGTACTCAAACCTTGACACTGAAAGAGACTGCTCTCTGATAACAGGAGGCTAAGCTGAAAAAAGCCATACTAAAGTGTCTCCCATCACTCACTCACACAACATCCTGCAATGCTCCTGAGACCAGAAGGTGCTGGCAGGAGAGAAGGAGTGTGTGAAAGCGCCAGCATTTGAAAGGGACAGGTGTGAACCCTCCAAACACGGGAAACGGCTTTCAGCAATTCCTCTCCCTGCGTTATTGATGACCAGAGCACAGGCAGCCCGTGATCATTTTTGAATGCAGGTGTATACAAGGGCAGAGAGAGATCCATGAGGAGAAACAGATGCCAGCAGCTTGTGGACTAGGTCCAGTCCAGGAAAATGATCCAGCCCAGCACAGGATCCCAAAAGTGGCCCTGCTTTCCTGTAAAACTTCCTTGCCAGGAGGAATCACAGAGAAGTCACATGGGGCAAAAACAATCGGAAAATATTGGTTGGTAATGATAGGAATCATATGGTCTCAAGTACCACAAAAGTCACCTCTATCAGAACATTATTTTCCAAATGAAGAAAATTAGGTTCTGAATCAGTCCTTGACTGGGATAGTGGCAGAAGGGGATTCAAAGCCAGGGGACCAGAGTCTCTGAAGCCTAGGTCCACTCATTTTCCATTACAACATCCTGCTGCCCAGGGAGAAAGGGCAGAGACCTCTTATTACCAAAGTGGGACTCTGGAGGTTTCCCCCCAGCAGCAAGCCCGGAAGGCACAGGAAAGGCCAGAGGTGATCTGGGTTGGCTGGGTGGACAGCGGATCTGGGGACCCACAGTGCCATTCTCATCTCACCTCTCAGCTCCCCTACACCAACCCCAAAGCCCCTGGGAACATGTACAGAACTGTACTAGATACAAGGAACCAACATTCCAGAGAATGAACCAGAGATCTTACCTCAAGGATACTGAGGTCTAGCATGTTCCCAACATGACAACTCCCATGCCTCTGCACACAGTGGACTATCTGCAACAGATAAGATGCCATGAGTGAGCACCCAGCTTGTCCCTGCTCGCAGCAGGGATGGCAGGCAACAGGAAAGGGCTTAGCACAGTAGTTACCAGACAGTAAACACTCCTAAGCAAACACACTATTTCCTCATAAAAGAGAAAATAGTTAACTCTACAGAGGAAGACAGCGGATGGTCTATGGCAGGGTGAGGGTGGCCAACACTGATCAATGTGTAGTTAATCAGCAAAAGATTGAAAGGAGATCAAAACCAGGTTTACAGCAGTGTGCCATGGCTGAGTGGCAGTGACTCTGCTGGTCATCAAGGGGAATTTAAGCAACACACACAGCCTGGTTCCCAACAGCAGGGAGCAGGAAGTGAAAGCTCTAATCATGATATAACACACACGGCAGCCCCCAATCCCCTGGAGGCCCCAGGTGTGTGCAGCTTTGAGAAGGAGGAGTGTAGGAAAGCTCCTGGGACAGGAGGGTGAAGATGTGGACCCTCCAAACACAGCAACCTTTCCCGCATTTCCTCTGCCTGCACTACCAATGACCAGGACACGGGCAGCCCGTGATCACTTACGAATGCAGGCGCAGAAAAGAGCAAAGGGGATCCAGGAACAGAGGCCAAAGTGAGCTGCCTGGAGATTGCCAAAGCGCCAAGCCCAAAGGACCTGAGCGCTATCCACTTAATGCAGTACAAAGATCTCATCTGCCCCCATCAAGAAAGTCACAGAAGACCAATTTCTGGTTAAAAAAAAAAAAGGCTTAAATTGTTCATTCATCCCACAAATATTGAGTATCTACAAGTAGCCAGACATCATGGGTTCAAAAGCAAGAAAAACGTGCAAGATCTCCCCACTTACAGAGCTTTCGCAGTTTCCCTACATTACAGAAAGTCAAGCTCAGGAGAATGAAAGAACTTAGCCAGGCTCTCCTCTGCACCCGGCTTTGCCATACAGTTCTCGGAATTCATGACCATGCCCTCCGCTGGGGTCCCCCAGAAGGGAATTTGAAGGGTCCCCCAAAGTGCTCATGACCAGCACCACTTACCCAGGGACATCCTCACACCGCGGACAGTGGGAGCCCCTCAGGGAGTGCAGATCAGGGTGCTGCAGGAAAAATGGGGGCGCTGGCTGGTGCGGAACCAGCAAAGCCATCCAAGGGAGAGCTGTCATCTGTCTCCAGGATAGCCGCACAGCCCACGAGGCCTAGGCAGGGAAAAGCGTAGGGAAGGGGCTTAGTACAAGGTCCTGGCAAAGGAGTCTGGAATTCGCCCCTCTGGGGCCCTGGGAGCGTCCTCCATTTAAACCTCAGCCAACTGGTCTGTAAAATGGAGGTTTTACAGCTACTTTTTAAAGGTTATTGAGGAGAAAATGAGTTCACGGTTCCAAGGACGTGGCACAATGACCGACACTTTGTAGGCAACCGAAAAGCAGCTTTGGGGGCTTCCAAAGTCAGGAGTCGGAGATCGGGGTCGGGGGAGTAAAAGTCGCGAGGTCTCTAGCCCCCTCAGCCCGCGTGCAAGGCCCCGGGCACAGCGTTGCCAAGCCGTTTCTCAAGGGGGCACTAAGCCTCCCCGCAGAGAGGCTGTGCCGACCTAGGGGGGTTTGACGTCTGCATGGGGTCGGCTTAGCCCAGCGAAGGCCGAGGGCGCGGCTCACCCGCCAGTCTCTTTCCCGAGGACACGCGAAACCCGAGGGGCCCACCCCGGCAGAGGGGACGGACCACTGCACCAGCGGCTGGGCCTGACGTCCAGCCGGCTCTTCCCACTCCCCTCGGGGCCTCAGTTTCCCCTTTTGTCGGGGAGGAGGTACACAGCACCGGCCTTGGGAGGCCACCAGGGGTTCTTGGGAAGACCACTCCTCGGGCCCTGCCCCTCATTGACTCATCCGGAGCGCCAGGACGGATGGCGGCGGGTACAGGGGTAACCGCGCGGAGGAGGCTGAGGGGCAGGCCGCAGCCACAAGACGCTCTCTCTAGTGCTCAGCGCCCGCGGAAATACGGCTGGGGGCGCGGCTGCAGCCTAGAGCGGCGCTTCCGCCGGGCCCCTGCCCAAGCAGACGTGCCTGCAGCGCCCCCTGGGAGGACGGAGCTGCAATTCTGTCCCTCCACTAACGCCCTTTATCCAAGCGTTCATCTAATGGAGCATCCCTTCATGAGTTCACTCACCCATCCATTTACCCAGAAAATATTTGTGAAACATCAGCTTCCATTTGAGGACACAGTGAGAAGACAGCCATCAGTCTATAAACCAGGAAGTGGGCCCTCACCGCTTCCTAGTTTACCAAATCTACTGGTGCCTTTGATCTTGGACTTTTAGCCTCCAGAACTGTGAGAAATAAATTTCTGTTGTTTATAAGCCACCCAGTTCATGATGGCACTTTGTTATGGCAGCCCAGACAGGGGTCGGCTGGCAAATAGGTCAGCTTGGACCATGGCCAGCTTGGTGTCCACACACCCTCCTCTCCAAGCAAAAAAATAGAAAAAAATCCACTTCAAACATGCATCCTTTCTAGCATTGGCAAGAGTGTGTCTGCAGTCTTGTTTTGTTTTTGACGTCAGCATACAAATAAAGGGTCAGCCATTGAGAGTAGACTGTTCTTTTAATGCTGTAACAAAGGCTGTCACAACATACTTATTTCAAGAGCTCAACATACTGCCCTGTTTGCTGGAATCACGTACTACGTAGGCCAGTGTCCCAGATGAGAAAGTCAACGTGGATAAGCAAAATGCCCACAAGGCTGTATGCAACAGCCAAACCCTCAATGGAATTTCTTAATAACTGGCCATTTAGGACAAGTTAAGGAAAAGACTTGGGCTTTTAGATAGAATGTGTTGGTGATAGAAACCTAACTTACGCTTTAAAAATAAAATACATTATTGGAAAACTTATATAATCAAGCGAAGGGAAGGGCAGAGGTCAAGCTGGGCCTCCAAGACAACAAACACCAGAACTGGAATTCCATCCCTGTCCTGCAACTCTGCCTCTCTCTCTGGGTGGACTTCTGACTTCACACTTGCTCTGATTTTTTGCTTATAGTGAGGGACATATGCCACGTTTACCCAGGGGAACATCTCCATCCTGCTTCCATTGAGGGTAGGCAGGACTGCCACATATGGTTGTGCAGGTCGTGTACTGCACAACTCATGGGAGCACCATACACATCATAGCCTATGGTTGAGAAGCAGAGATGCCAGGGATGATTGGGCAATCTGATGACACAGAAAACACTTGACTTAAAAGAAAGAAGGTGTTTTCCCTAGCATGTTCTTCCCTGGTGTAGCAGAGTCACCCTCTGTCATACCATCTCATCCTTAAATGATGGTCCTTCTAATAAAGTCCCTTGAAAATATCTCTGAATGGCAACACTTTTGAGGAATTTTTTCTCCACGCTACTTGAGATCAAGCAGAAGACTTTAATTAAACCTGTGACAGTGAAACCTGTGCACGGTCATTAGAAAAAAAGGTTTGCAAGCAGTAGCGGGGCTTTCTGAGAAATGCTATTCTGAATTCCACAAACTTTTTTTTTTTTTTTTTGAGACAGAGTCTTGCTCTGTCACCCAGGCTGGAGTGCAGTGGCGTGATCTCAGCTCACTGCAACCTCTGCCTCCCGGGTTCAAGGGATTCTCCTGCCTCAGCCTCCTGAGTAGCTGGGATTACAGGCGCACATCACCACAGCCTGACTAATTTTTGTATTTTTAGTAGATTGCACCATATTGGCCAGGCTGGTCTCAAACTCCCAACCTCAGGTGATCTGCCTGACATCGGCCTCCCACGTGCTGGGATTACAGGTGTGAGCCACTGTGCCCGGCCTGATTTTTACAACCTTTCACACTCAAGCTCTCAATTCTCAAAATTACCTTCTGGGCCAAGGATAGGCACTTCCACCCTTTCTGGAGCTCTGGGAGGAGTCACCCATCTCTGAGGTCCCTCATCTAATTTGTCTTGAGTGTGGGTTAGGACTTGTTGAGGCTGCACACCCCTCAGGGTGTCTGTGCTTTGCTTGTTCATGGGATCCTTGGCTGAGTCCCCACTCCTTCCTGAGTAAGCTCACCCGGCAGGCACTATCCAGCATGGCAGTGTATGTGGTAGGGGTTGGAGGGTGGGCTGCAACAGAGGTAAAGGAAGGAGGAGCAGGTGTCAGGGAGCCTGCAGGTGGTCACATCCAGCTGTCACCATTGATAAAGATACAACTGATTTCCATCTGCCCAGCTCTCGTGTCCACCTCTCCCCATTGGTGGGGTCAGAAGGCATTCACAAGGCAGAAGCACTACTCCTGCCCTTCAAGGGCACTGAGGCCAAGACTTTCCAACTGAAGCCTGCCAATTTTTTTTTTTTTTTGAAACAGGGTCTTGCTCTGTTATCCAGCTTGCAGTGCAGTGGTGCAATTATGGCTCACTGCAGCCTTGACCTCCTAGGCTCAAGCGATCCTCCTGTCTCAGCCTCCTGAGTAGCTGGGACTACAGGCGCATGCCACCAGGCCCCGCTAATTAAAAAAAAAAAATTTGTAGAGATGGGGTCATACTATGTTGTCCAGGCTGGTCTTCAACTCCTGGTCTCAAACGATCCTCTTGCCTTGGTCTCATATTCAGTCCATAACATCCTCCAAGGGTTTTTGAGATGTTGTTCCACAACACTGACATACATTTCCTATTGATGTACTTTCATGCTGGGATTACAGGCATGAGCCACCAGGCCTGGCCCTATGCTCGTTTTCTGCTTTTGTTATTTCATTAATTTATTTGTTTTGTTTTGTTTTTTGAGTCAAAGTCTCGCTCTGTCACCCAGGCTGGAGTGCAGTGGTGTGATCTCAGCTCACTGCAACCTCCGTCTCCCGAGTTCAAGCAATTCTCCTGCCTCAGCCTCCCGATTAGCTGGGATTACAGGCACACGCCATCACACCCAGATAATTTTTGTATTTTTAGTAGAGACAGGGTTTCACCCTGTTGGCCAGACTGGTCTTGAACTCCTAACCTCAAATGATCCACCTGCCTCAGCCTCCCAAAGTGCTGAGATTGTAGGTGTGAGCCATCATGCCTGGCCCTAATTTTATTTTATTCGAATCAGTTAAGTTGTCCTGCTTTTTTCTTTTTTTTCTTTTTCTTTCTTTCTTTTTTTTTTTGAGATGGAGTCTTGCTCTGTTGACCAGGCTAAAGTTCAGTAGTGCGCTCACTGCAACCTCCACCTCCTGGGTTCAAGCAATTCTCCTGCCTCAGCCTCCCAAGTAGCTGGGATGAGAGGCGCCCACCACCATGCCTGGCTAATTTTTGTATTTTTAGTAGAGACGGGGTTTCACCATCTTGGCCAGTCTAGTCTCAAACTCCTGACCTCAAGTGATCCACCTGCCTCAGCCTCCCAAAGTGCTGGGATTACAGGCATGAGCCACCACGCCCAGCCTTTTTTCATTTTTTTTAAGCCCTCAGAGCCAAGAGCAGACTGGGACACAAGTAATTTTTCTTACATTTCAGAATTAAGTGAGCCCTCTCCTGTTGCCACAATGAGCATTTCCCTTTCTTCTTTTGCATCAACATTTAAAGATCATCTATTACAGGCCATGCAATGAGATGGGGGGATACTGCCCCCTCCGGTTCCTAACTTATCCACATACCAGCACAGGTGTCCACTTCCCATCCCTTCCTCCTCTTCAGCTTCAGAGTCTTCCTCTTTCTCCCCCTGACCCTTAAGAGCCTTCCCATTGCAACTTTAAAGGACTCCTATTTGAGTACTTCAAAAATCCACCAAGAGCCAGATGCATTGGTGTGTACCTGTAGTCCCAGCTACCAGGGAGTCTAAGGCAGAAGGGTCCCCTGAGGCCAGAGAAGCATAGCAAGACCTTGTCTCCAAAAAAAGAAAAACCCACCAAGGTCCAAGCACGATGACTCACACTTTCAATCTTAGCACTTTGGGAGGTTGAGGTGGGAGGATCGTTTGAGCCCAGGAGTTGGAGACCAGCCTGGACAACATAGTGAGACCTCATCTCTACAAAAAAAATTTTCTTAATTAGCCAGGTGTGATGACATGTGCTTGTAGTCCCAGCTACTTGGGAGGCTGAGGCAGGAGGATCGCTTGAGCCCAGCAGGTTGAGGCTGCAGTGAGCTCTGATCGTGCCACTGCATTCCAGCCTGGGCAACAGAGCAAGACCATGTCTCAAAAAACAAAAACAAACAAACAGAAAACCACCAAAGCACACCATCTCCAAGAAGCCATCTTTCTTTAAATCCTATCATAATCACGATCTATACTCAATGTTGTATGTATTCATACACTCAATTGTTAATTTCCGTACAGTTCACCTGGCTGGTGAAATGTTACCTCTTCTGTGCAGGGCTCATGCTCTGTGAGCCTCAGCCATCCCTTGAGTAGTTAATCTTGTCCTGGGCAACAAATAGTCCCAGATATACACAGCCTAATTTTTGCCAAGAAGTCAAGCTGAGAAAGGCCAAACAAAATGACAGCCCACAATGCCCCAGAGGCTTGAGAGTGTTCACAGAAGAGAAGTCGAATGTGAGAAAAGCACTAGCATTTCCAAGGATAGAGATGGACCCTCCAAATGCAGAAAATGCTTTGCGCAGTTCACCGGCCTGTACTATCGATGACGAAGACACAGGCTAGCTGATGATCACTTTCAAATGCAGACACAGAAAGAGAGCACAGCATGAGACAGCGCGGGAGGCAGATGCCAACGGCCAGCATGGGAAAGAGCAGCCCAGTGAGCACAGAGCCCAGCAACGGCCACCCTGTTCTCCAAACCCTGTAAAATTTCCTTGCTGGGGAATTAAAGGGAACACACTTCTGGTAAAAGAGAGGGAAATATCTTGGCTTTGGAAAAGATCAGGATTGTAGTTATAAGAACAATAACAACAACAATAGTAGAAATTCCTTTCTCTCACAGCTTTGTTTTTGGGGTGAGTAAATTGAGGTTAAGAATAGGGCACAGAGTGGCTGGACGCGGTGGCTCAAGCCTGTAATCCCAGCACTTTGGGAGGCCGAGATGGGCGGGTCACGAGGTCACGAGATCAAGACCATCCTGGCTAACATGGTGAAACCCTGTCTCTACTAAAAATACAAAAACATTAGCCGGGCGTGGTCGTGGGCGCCTGTAGTCCCAGCTACTCGGGAGGCTGAGGCAGGAGAATGGCGTGAACCCGGGAGGCAGAGCTTGCAGTGAGCCAAGATTGCACCACTACACTCCAGCCTGGGCAACAGAGCGAGATTCTGTCTCAAAAAAAAAAAAAAAAAAAAAAAAAGAATAGGGCACAGAGCTAGATTGTGGCAGAGGAGATTGGGACCCAAGCGTCTCTGATGCTCCATCATTTTTATTTTATTTTATATTTTGTTTTATTTTTAAATTTAATTTACTTTTATTATTTTCATTTTTAATTTAATTTACTTTTATTATTCATTTTATTTTATTTTTTGAGACAAAGTCTCGCTCTATTGCCCAGGCTGGAGTGAAGTGACACAATCTCGGCTTGCCATAACCTCTGCCTCCTGGGTTCAAGCGATTCTCATGCCTCAGCTTCCCGAGTAGCTGGGATTACAGGCACCCACCACTACGCTCGGCTAATTTTTCTATTTTAGTAGAGATGGGATTTCACCATGTTTGTCAGGCTGGTCACAAACTCCTGACCTCAAGTGATCTGCCTGCCTTGGCCTCCCCCAGTGCTGGGATTACAGGTGTGAGCCACCTCGCCCAGCCCATCTACCTGTTTTCTATCACAGCACACTGCTGCCAAGCTCCAAAGATGCCCCCATAGCACCCCCAGAGAGTGCTCATCACCCAAATGGGCTACTGAAAGACGCAGTAACAGAGGAGCAGTAAGAAGCCGAGGAGGAGAATGGACAGATACAACAAAATCTGCAGCACGGTGGTCACTCTTGGTGTGGAGATGGGTCTGGAGCTCCTGCAGGCCTTGCATGGTCAGTTGCTGACTTCCCACCTAGACTCCGGGCACCAACTCCTTGGAAGAAGCTGTCCAGCCAGCCATGATTCCATCTCTTCTGGTGAAGGGGCTCCAGGCCCCAGGGATTTCTCAGCCACTATGAGGTCACAGACTTCCTGTGGTGGAACCTTGTCTTCCCAGCTACAGTCCAATCCTTTGCAACGAGTATGTTGAAAGCAGGACTCCTGATATGTCTGCTTAGACTTGCTAAGTGGGAGCGTCTCTCCCCTGCCCCTAGAAAAATATAAGGCAAAAGCCTTAGAATTTCTCTGATCATTCTTAGGTAATAAAAAGTCTTGCAATCACTAAAAATGGAAAACACAGTTTCCATTCAACAATTTTATTTTATTATTTTTTAATAATACACCAGTAGGGTCAGGCACGGTGGCTCATGCCTGTAATCCTAGCACTTTGGGAGGCCAAGGCGGGTGGATTACAAGGTCGGAGTTTGAGACCAGCCTGGCCGATATGGTGAAATCCCATCTCTACTAGAAATACAAAAAAATTAGCCGGGCTTGGTGGCGCACGCCTGTAATCTCAGCTACTCAGGAGGCTGAGGCAGGAGAATTGCTTGAACCTGGGAGTGGGAGGTTGCAGTGAGCCGAGATCGCACCACTGCACTCTAGCCTGGGCGACAGAGCCAGACTCAGTCTCAAAAAAAAAAAAAAAAAAAAAAAGGCTAGGCGTGGTGGCTCACGCCTGTAATCCCAGCACTTTGGGAGGCCAAGGTGGGTGGATCACGAGGTCAGGAGTTTGAGACCAGCCTGACCAACATGGTGAAACCCCATCTCTACTAAAAATACAAAAATTAGCCAGGCGTGGTGGCACATGCCTGTAATCCCAGCTACCCGGGAGGCTGAGGCAGGAGAATCACTTGAACCCAGGAGGCGGAGGTTGCAGTAAGCCGAGATCACACCACTGCACTCAAGCCTGGGCGACAGAGCAAGAATCTGTCTCAAAAAAGAATAAAAAAACCCCACCAGGATTAGTTAAGGATCTGCTGAATCCATTCAACAAGTTTAAATGTTCAGTCTAACGCATTACTATGTTTTCAATGATCTTCCATAGGTAAGACTTCTCTCCACCAGCTGGGGCTAAGTACGGGATAGGCTGGGGTAGGGACGTGGGGCTTCTCTCTTCATGTATCCAGATATGTTTCTCTTCAACAGGAATTTTCTGTCCACTTACCCACTCTCAATACTTCCAGGATAAAAACAGGTAGAGTAAAGGGTAAGGAGCGGGGAGACGTCTCTTGTCTGTTGCTTTTGTAAGAAGCCCGCGCCCTCTCCAAGCTAGGGAGATGTTTAATCCTGATTATTTCTCTTGTGGCCTTCCCTATCAATCCCAGGCTTCTCAGAGGTTGATCTTGTGGCCTTTCTCATGGGCTCTTCAGAGAGACTCCTCCTGTTGCCTGTTGCATCCCTACTGATGTGTGCACAGACCCTCTTCTTGGAATTCCCTCACCCTAGCAGGTTCCCTCATGGATGGGACCTCCTGGGTCCCAGGCAGACATTCATACCACAGATTCTACTCCTACAGAAAGAGACTATGAACCTTTGACTCAGGAGTGGGTTGGGCCCCAGTCACCTGTGCTCCCCAACTTTGAGTGACAAATGTCAAGCTCCCTTGTGACCTGCTAAAGTGCTTCTTAATGAGTTAAGGTGAGATGCACGGGCTCCCTCCCTGTCTCTCCCTTTTGGGGGCAGGGGGTGAGACTCACAGCTCTTGCTTTTTCATAAGAAATACAATTCATCATTCGCCTTCTTTTTCATTTCTAATACTGTACCATTACTACCCTCCAATTGGAAGAGAAGATTCAAGAGTCACAAGCAACGATGTTTCGGTTATCTCCTTCCTCAGTTCTGCATTTGGTCCAGCACCTTCTTTGGAAGGCAGCTGCTATTTTATCACGGAAACTTCAAAAACTGCCAATACTCAAATCAATTTTTGCTTATCACAACAGCAATTTTATTGGATTTTCAATTCCTTCCTTCCTTCCTTCCTTCCTTCCTTCCTTCCTTCCTTCCTTCCTTCCTTTCTTTCTTGATGGAGTTTCACTCTTGTCAGTCAGGCTACAGTGCAATGGTGTGATCTCAGCTCACTGCAACCTCCGCCTCCTGGGATCAAGTGATTCTCGTGCCTCAGCCTCCCGAGTAGCTGGGATTACAGGCACCCACCACCATGCCTGGCTAATTTTTGTATTTTTTAGTAGAGATGGGGTTTCACCATGTTGGCCAGGCTGGTCTCGAACTCCTGACCTTGTCATTTGTCAGCTGAAACTTCCTTTTTTTTGTTTGTTTTTTGAGACGGAGTCTCGCTCTCTCACCCAGGCTGGAGTGCAGTGGTGTCATCTTGGCTCACTGTAAGCTCTGCTTCCCGGGTTCACACCATTCTCCTGCCTCAGCCTCCCGAATAGCTGGGACTACAGGCGCCCGCCACCACGCCCGGCTAATTTAACATCCTGTTCCACTACCGTGGAACAAGCATGAACCACTCCTCTTAGGTGTCCATCCTCCTATAGGCACTGGGGCTGCAGGAATGAACCCGCCAAGGTGCCCTCCTTAGTGTTATGAGAATAAGGAGTGCAAAAGAAAATCTGGAACTACAGAAAATCTGCAGTTCTGCCCGTTCCCAGCTTTCTGAGGGCACCTTGGCCTTAATTGCCAGCCCAGAAGATTCAGCCTGGTGAGGCCTCAATCTGAATATGCAGGAGGCCAAGCCCTTTCAGGCTCATAGGTAGGGCGGCGGAGGTGGGTGTGGGTTGTGGATGCACTCAGCCTACTGTTTGCTGTGTCTCTTCCAGCTCCAAAGGGCTGATGAGAGCCAGATTGCCTTATATCTGTGCTGGGGAGCACAGCAGCAACCAGCCACATGTGACTACAGAGCACTGGAAACGTGGCCAGTCGGAATTGTAATGTACCATAAATGTAAATCACACACCAGATTCCAAAGATCTCATACAAGAAAAAGAATAGTAAATAGCTCATGAATAATTATAAAATATTGATTACATGCTGACATGATAATATTTTGGTTATATTCAGTTAAATTATTAAAATTAATTTTACTTTTACTTTTTATCTTTTTTTTTTTTTTTTTTTGAGATGGAGTTTCGCTCTTGTTGCCCAGGCTGGAGTGCAATGGCGAGATCTCGGCTCAACGCAACCTCCGCCTCCCGGGTTCAAGCGATTCTCCCGCCTCAGCCTCCCAAGTAGCTGGGATTACAGGCATGTGCCACCATGCCCTACTAATTTTGTATTTTTAGTAGAGGCGGGGTTTCTCCATGTTGGTCAGACTGGTCTGGAACTCCCAGCCTCAGGTGATCCACCTGCCTCAGCCTCCCAAAGTGCTGCGATTACAGGCGTGAGCCACCATGCCCGGCCTTGTGTTATATTTCTATTGGACAATGCTATCTTTCTTCTTCTTTTTCTTTTTTGAGACAGGGTCTCGTTCTGTCAACCTGGAATGCAGTGGTGTGATCTCAGCTTACTGCAGCCTCAACCTCCCAGGCTCAAGTGATTCTCCTGCCTCAGCCTCCTGAGTAGCTGGGACTACAGGACTGCTCCATCACACCGGGCTGACAATGCCATCTTAGACTTTTCAAACACAGCACATTTCCTCTGCTTCATAAAGAATCCCAGAGTCCTTACGGTGACAGAAGCCCTCAGCTTTCTCAGAAATACTATAATATAGCAACTACTAGGCCTTGGATATTTGTTCTGTGCTACGGTCTTGATATAAATCATTCCATTTAATTCTCACAGCAACGCTATGAGCAGGGAACTATGACTGCCTATTTTCCATAACTGGAAACTGAGGCGGGGCGGAGAAGTTAGGTCACTTAGCCAAAGTCACATGGAGAGTAACAGCAAGAGTGGGAGGCAGAAGAGGACACCAGGGCTGTGTGGCCACAAGTGGGCACACCTGACCACCCTGCCCAGTGTCCTCTCAGCCACAGCATCTGTATTAGTCCATCCTCACACTGTTATAAAGAACTGCCTGAGACTGGGTAATTCATGAAGGAAAGAGGTTTAATTGACTCACAGTTCAGCATGGCTGTGGAGGCCTCAGGAAACTTACAATCATGGCGGAAGTGGAAGCAAACATGTCTTTCTTCACATGGTGGCAGCAAGGAGAAGTATAGAGCAAAAGTGGGTAAAGCCCCTTATAAAACCATCAGGTCTCATGAGAACTCACTCACTATCAGAAGAACCGCAGCATGGGGGTAACCACCCCCATGATTCCATTACCTCCCACGACAGGTGGGAATTATGGGAAGTACAGTTCCAGATGAGATTTAGGTGGGGTCACAGCCAAACCATAGCAGCATCCCACAGCCCCTCCCCATCACAGAGACTCCCAGTGTTCTCACAGTCTGGGAATCCCATGGGCCTCTCCCAGGTACAAAATATGGAGCAGATCTCACCTCAGGGACCCCCATTTCCCTCATGGTTGCATAGATCAGGACTGGATTTTCTTGTCCTTCTGACCTATTGAGTACCAAGAATCTGACTGGAGCGGGGCGGAGGGTGGGGCGTGGGCTCCTCATCAGGCCCAAGGGTGGGCTGCTTGCACTCCAGAACATGGGCAGAGTCAGTAGCAGGGCTGTCTCAGGCCGAAGAGGCACATCCTGCCCAGGGTGCAGGCAGTGCCAATGCTTATGAGGATTTGTGGGCCATGAGTCCCCTCCCAAGATTGTCTCCAGTATGTTGCAGGGAACATGGGACATCTGTCTACAGTCTCTGTCACTGTGCAAATCTGATCAGGTTCCTCAGATGCCAGTCTGGTCAGGTCTCTT